>NC_000017.11:18369898-18672929 GCF_000001405.40 Homo sapiens | reverse complement strand
AAGATGGCAGAGGCACCGGCTTCCCCGGCCCCGCTTTCTCCGCTCGAAGTGGAGCTGGACCCGGAGTTCGAGCCCCAGAGCCGTCCGCGATCCTGTACGTGGCCCCTGCAAAGGCCGGAGCTCCAAGCGAGCCCTGCCAAGCCCTCGGGGGAGACGGCCGCCGACTCCATGATCCCCGAGGAGGAGGACGATGAAGACGACGAGGACGGCGGGGGACGGGCCGGCTCGGCCATGGCGATCGGCGGCGGCGGCGGGAGCCGCACGCTGGTCTCCGGGCTGCTCCTTGAGGACTCGGTCCGGGTGCTGGCACCCGGAGGGCAAGACCCCGGGTCTGGGCCAGCCACCGCGGCGGGCGGGCTGAGCGGGGGTACACAGGCGCTGCTGCAGCCTCAGCAACCGCTGCCACCGCCGCAGCCGGGGGCGGCTGGGGGCTCCGGGCAGCCGAGGAAATGTTCGTCGCGGCGGAACGCCTGGGGAAACCTGTCCTACGCGGACCTGATCACCCGCGCCATCGAGAGCTCCCCGGACAGACGGCTCACTCTGTCCCAGATCTACGAGTGGATGGTGAGTTGCGTGCCCTACTTCAAGGATAAGGGCAACAGCAACAGCTCTGCCGGCTAGAAGAACTCCATCCGGCACAACCTGTCACTGCATAGTCGATTCATGCGGGTCCAGAATGAGGGAACTGGCAAGAGCTCTTGGTGGATCATCAACCCTGATGGGGGGAAGAGCGGAAAAGCCCCCCGGCGGCGGGCTGTCTCCATGGACAATAGCAACAAGTATACCAAGAGCCGTGGCCGCACAGCCAAGAAGAAGGCAGCCCTGCAGACAGCCCCCGAATCAGCTGACGACAGTCCCTCCCAGCTCTCCAAGTGGTCTGGCAGCCCCACGTCACGCAGCAGTGATGAGCTGGATGCGTGGACGGACTTCCGTTCACGCACCAATTCTAACGCCAGCACAGTCAGTGGCCGCCTGTCGCCCATCATGGCAAGCACAGAGTTGGATGAAGTCCAGGACGACGATGCGCCTCTCTCGCCCATGCTCTACAGCAGCTCAGCGAGCCTGTCACCTTCAGTAAGCAAGCCGTGCACGGTGGAACTGCTACGGCTGACTGACATGGCAGGCACCATGAATCTGAATGATGGGGCTGACTGAAAACCTCATGGACGACCTGCTGGATAACATCACGCTCCCGCCATCCCAGCCATCGCCCACTGGGGGACTCATGCAGCGGAGTTCTAGCTTCCCGTATACCACCAAGGGCTCGGGCCTGAGCTCCCCAACCAGCTCCTTTAACAGCACGGTGTTTGGACCTTCATCTCTGAACTCCCTACGCCAGTCTCCCATGCAGACCATCCAAGAGAACAAGCCAGCTACCTTCTCTTCCATGTCACACTATGGTAACCAGACACTCCAGGACCTGCTCACTTCGGACTCACTTAGCCACAGCGATGTCATGATGACACAGTCGGACCCCTTGATGTCTCAGGCCAGCACCGCTGTGTCTGCCCAGAATTCCCGCCGGAACGTGATGCTTCGCAATGATCCGATGATGTCCTTTGCTGCCCAGCCTAACCAGGGAAGTGTGGTCAATCAGAACTTGCTCCACCACCAGCACCAAACCCAGGGCGCTCTTGGTGGCAGCCGTGCCTTGTCGAATTCTGTCAGCAACATGGGCTTGAGTGAGTCCAGCAGCCTTGGGTCAGCCAAACACCAGCAGCAGTCTCCTGTCAGCCAGTCTATGCAAACCCTCTCGGACTCTCTCTCAGGCTCCTCCTTGTACTCAACTAGTGCAAACCTGCCCGTCATGGGCCATGAGAAGTTCCCCAGCGACTTGGACCTGGACATGTTCAATGGGAGCTTGGAATGTGACATGGAGTCCATTATCCGTAGTGAACTCATGGATGCTGATGGGTTGGATTTTAACTTTGATTCCCTCATCTCCACACAGAATGTTGTTGGTTTGAACGTGGGGAACTTCACTGGTGCTAAGCAGGCCTCATCTCAGAGCTGGGTGCCAGGCTGAAGGATCACTGAGGAAGGGGAAGTGGGCAAAGCAGACCCTCAAACTGACACAAGACCTACAGAGAAAACCCTTTGCCAAATCTGCTCTCAGCAAGTGGACAGTGATACCGTTTACAGCTTAACACCTTTGTGAATCCCACGCCATTTTCCTAACCCAGCAGAGACTGTTAATGGCCCCTTACCCTGGGTGAAGCACTTACCCTTGGAATAGAACTCTAAAAAGTATGCAAAATCTTCTTTGTACAGGGTGGTGAGCCGCCTGCCAGTGGAGGACAGCACCCCTCAGCACCACCCACCCTCGTTCAGAGCACACCGTGAGCCCTCTTCGGCCATTCTGTGGTGTTTTAATATTGCGATGGTTTATGGGATGTTTTAAGTGTTGTTCTTGTGTTTGTTTTCCTTTGACTTTCTGAGTTTTTCACATGCATTAACTTGCGGTATTTTTCTGTTAAAATGTTAACCGTCCTTCCCCTAGCAAATTTAAAAACAGAAAGACAATGTTGTACCAGTTACCATTCCAGGTTTGAGCATCACAAGCTTTTGAGCGCATGGAACTCCATAAACTAACAAATTACATAAACTAAAGGGGGATTTTCTTTCTTCTTTTGTTTGGTAGAAAATTATCCTTTTCTAAAAACTGAACAATGGCACAATTGTTTGCTATGCGCACCCGTCCAGGACTGAACCATGCATAGGCAAAACGAGTGGAGCACAGCGTCCAGCCCAGTGTGTTTCCAGTTCTGAGTCAGGGTGATCTGTGGACGGGACCCCAGCACCAGGTCTACGGGTGCCAGATCAGTAGGGCCTGTGATCTCCTGTCAGTGTCCTCAGCTAATGTGAACAGTGTTGGTCTGCTGGTTAGAAACTAGAATAATGATATTTTCAGGAAAGAAATCAGCTCAGCTCTCCACTCATTGCCAAATGTCACCCAAAAAGGGTTTAGTTTTAAGGAGAAAGAAAAGGAAAAAAAAAAAAAGTCCTGTTTTGCTTTGCAGAACAAATGAACTTACAGGTGAGCATTAAGCTTGCAGTGAGAAATGTGCAAAGAGTAAAAACCCAAGTCAATGCTGAGGCAGTTCCAACTTCACTGTTTTCCTAAATACACATCCTTGATTATTTTCAGCCTTGCTATATAATCTGATCTGCTAGAAGTGTATGAGTGAGAGGCAATAGCATATAAACTGATTTTTTAAATATAAGCTTAGGTTGTAATTGTACAAGCGACTCAATGGAAGTACAAAATAGGGCAGTTTTAACTTTTTTTTCTGCTTCTGTGGATTTCATTTTGTTGTGTTTTCAAAAAGTTATGGTGCTGTATAGGTGCTTTCTGTTTAACCTGGAAAGTGTGATTATATTCGTTACCTTCTTTGGTAGACGGAATAGTTGGGACCACCTTTGGTACATATGAAATTGGTATAACGATGCTCTGATTAGCACAGCATATGCATACTTCTCCAAAGTGATATATGAAGACTCTTTTCTTTGCATAAAAAGCATTAGGCGTATAAATGTATAAATATATTTTATTATGTACAGTACAAAAATGGAACCTTATGCATGGGCCTTAGGAATACAGGCTAGTATTTCAGCACAGACTTCCCTGCTTGAGTTCTTGCTGATGCTTGCACCGTGACAGTGGGCACCAACACAGACGTGCCACCCAACCCCCTGCACACACCACCGGCCACCAGGGGCCCCCTTGTGCGCCTTGGCTTTATAACTCCTCTGGGGGTGATATTGGTGGTGATCACAGCTCCTAGCATAATGAGAGTTCCATTTGGTATTGTCACACGTCTCCTGCCTCGCTTGGGTTGCCATGTTTGAGCGATGGCCCTGTTGATTTCACCCTGCCTTTTACTGAATCTGTAAATTGTTGTGCAATTGTGGTTATAGTAGACTGTAGCACATTGCCTTTTCTAAACTGCTACATGTTTATAATCTTCATTTTTAAAGTATGTATAATTTTTTAAAGTATGTATTCTATTCATATGGTCTGCTTGTCAGTGAGCCAGACTTGCTTACTATATTCCTTTATAATAATGCTAGCCACTTCCTGGATTCTTTAGTAATGTGCTGTATGCAAGAACTTTCCAGTAGCAGTGAAGGAGGGTTGCCTCTCCAAGCTTCCTAAGGGATGCTGCCCTGGGTGGGGATGCATTGCAGAGGCAGTAGTAGCATGGGGGCTAGAGTGGGGAGCGAGATGGAAAAGGGTGGGGGGATAGGAGAATTCTAGAGTGCTTCCAGCATGAGGGTCCTGAGAACTTCTGTCCTGAGTTCAGAGAAACATGCAAAGTAACTAACAAAATCGCTACTTGCCTTTGCAGTTTTACAGACCCAGGGAGCTGCTTTGGGAGTGAGAAAGGCAACCCTCCAATGTGTTTCAACTTTAAAATGTTGAATTCTTTTCAGACATGTGGTATCTCATTTATTCTCCTTTTCTAGCGTTTGTTGAATTTCAGGCAGAATGTCTTACAGAATGTCCTAGAACCAGATTATCATTTAATCCGAAACAGCTGAGGAAGGGACAGAGAAGGTACAAGGGCAAGGCAGCATAAAACAGATCAGGAGAATGAAGAGGGAATGCTTTGGTTTTTTGTTCTGTTTTGTTTTTTCTTTTTCAAGTAACTAAAACAGCATCTACATGTAGAGTGTCGTGGAGAGCTGAGACCAGGGTAAAGTCAAGTGCAGCATCAGTACTGCGAGACCCACCAGCCCCTGGAGAGGGTCAGCTGAGAATCTGGTAGTGAAGCCTGTGTAGGGTCCCGGCACCCTCACCCTCAGCCACCTGCAGAGAGGCCAGGGCCCCAGAGACTAGCCCGGTTCTGAAGTGGGCAGGGGTGCTGCCAGAGCCTTCCGCCCCTTATATTGAGACCCTGCTTTCAGGACAGGCCAGCCGTTGGCCACCATGTCACATTCTGAGTGAGTGTCACGGGTCCCTAACAATAATTTTCTGATCTGGAGCATATCAGCAGAATGCTTAGCCTCAAGGGGCCTGGCAGCTGTAATGTTTGATTTATGATGAGAACTATCCGAGGCCACACTTGGCCTCTAAATAAGCTGCTCTAGGGAGCCGCCTACTTTTTGGTGAGAAATTAGAAGAGTACCTAATGTTGAAAACATGACATGCGCTCTTGGGATCTGCTGTTCTCTCCAGGGCTCCAGAACCTGATACCTGTTACCAAAGCTAGGAAAGAGCTTTATCACAAGCCTTCACTGTCCTGGCATGAGAACTGGCTGCCAGGCTCAGTGTACCCCATTAAATGTGAATGAATCTGAGCTTGGTTTCCTTTATTGCTTCCTCTGCAATATGATTGCTGAAACACATTTTAAAAATTCAGAAGTTTGTCACTCCTGTTAATGGGAGGATCATTCACACATGTGTAGTACAAGGCGGACTTTGTGTTTGTTTTTGGTGTTAATTTTTAGCATTGTGTGTGTTGCTTCCCCACCCTGAGGAGAGGACACCATGGCTTACTACTCAGGACAAGTATGCCCCGCTCAGGGTGTGATTTCAGGTGGCTTCCAAACTTATACGCAGTTTAAAGATGGTGGGGACAGACTTTGCCTCTACCTAGTGAACCCCACTTAAAGAATAAGGAGCATTTGAATCTCTTGGAAAAGGCCATGAAGAATAAAGCAGTCAAAAAGAAGTCCTCCATGTTGGTGCCAAGGGCTTGCGAGGGGAAATAAAAATGTTATCCAGCCTGACCAACATGGAGAAACCCCGTCTCTATTAAAAATACAAAATTAGCCTGGCATGGTGGTGCATGCCTGTAATCCCAGCTACTCTGGAGGCTGAGGCAGGAGAATCGCTTGAACCCAGGAGGCGGAGGTCGCAGTGAGCCGAGATCATGCCAGTGCACTCCAGCCTGGGTAACAAGAGTGAAACTCCGTGTCAAAAAAAAAAAAAAAATGTTACTCATCCTCTCTCAAAGCAAAAAAGAAACCCTAACAGCTCTGAACTCTGGTTTTATTTTTCTTGCTGTATTTGGGTGAACATTGTACGATTAGGTATAATTTAAAAAAAAAAATTTTTTTTTTGGTAGAAATGCAATCACCAGTAAAGAGGTACGAAAAAGCTAGCCTCTCTCAGAGACTGGGGAGGCAGAGTACTACTAGAGGAAGTGAAGTTCTGATGGAATCATGCCTGTCAAATGAGGTCTTGAAGCGGATGCCCAAATAAAAGAGTATATTATATTTTATCTAAATCTTAAGTGGGTAACATTTTATGCAGTTTAAATGAATGGAATATTTTCCTCTTCTTTAGTTGTATCTGTTTGTATTTTTCTTTGATGAATGATTGGTCATGAGGCCTCTTGCCACACTCCAGAAATACGTGTGCGGCTGCTTTTAAGAACTATGTGTCTGGTCACTTATTTCTCTAAAATTATCTCATTGCCTGGCAATCAGTCTTCTCTTGTATACTTGTCCTAGCACATTATGTACATGGGAAATGTAAACAAATGTGAAGGAGGACCAGAAAAATTAGTTAATATTTAAAAAACTGTATTGTGCATTTTGGCTTCACATGTTTAACTTTTTTTAAGAAAAAAGTTGCATGAATGGAAAAAAAATCTGTATACAGTATCTGTAAAAACTGTCTTATCTGTTTCAATTCCTTGCTCATATCCCATATAATCTAGAACTAAATATGGTGCGTGGCCATATTTAAACACCTGAGAGTCAAGCAGTTCAGACTTTGATTTGAAGCACCTCATCCTTCTTTCAATGCGAACACTATCATATGGCATTCTTACTGAGGATTTTGTCTAACCATATGTTGCCATGAATTAACTCTGCCGCCTTTCTTAAGGATCAAAACCAGTTTGATTTGGGAATCTTCCCCTTTCCAAATGAAATAGAGATGCAGTACTTACTTTCCTTGGTGTTTGTAGATATTGCCTTGTGTATTCCACTTAAAACCGTAATCTAGTTTGTAAAAGAGATGGTGACGCATGTAAATAAAGCATCAGTGACACTCTAAAAAAAAAAAAAAAAAAAAAAGAAGAAGTATGGCATTGTTTTACACTTTTGCCAATCTCTTTAATGTATGACATAATAGAAGGTAGCTATATTCTTACAACTGCTTCTGAATGCAACTTGATATGACATGTTGTTTTGGTTGCCATGCATGGAGAAAATCCAGTGTCACGCAGATATAAGTTGAAAAAGGAAGGAGTATTTTATAGTCTTTTCAGGTAATTATGGCTATTCTTCTTTGAAACAGCTCCAAAACTGAACAAGTGATACTTTCTGAAAGATTAGGTACAATGTAGAATCTGAAACCACATCCATAAATTTTTCATATATTGAAATCTATCAATCTTTTGGACAATATTGGTTCACTAAGTGCAGATCTTCTTTGTTGACACTTTATATTGTGCAATATTTTTGAATATTATAACTTTTAGTATCACAACTGACCTTATCAGAAAAGCCTTTAAGTTTTAGGAAGCCATCAAGCTCTCGGTGGTAAATAGAAGTTTTCCAAAACTTGTAATTTCTGCCTGAAAGCTCAAATTTTATAAAAAACTCATTTGTTGTCCTTGATACAACAGGTTCACTTTGTTCATTTTTGAGAAACTGTCTGCCAGATACCCAAGTTAGATAACATAGTTTGCCATTCAGTCATCCTTTCAGGTAAAATGGTGGTCTGTGAAACAAGTGGCTGGTTCAGCTCACAACTCAAATGATTGCATGGTATATTTCCTCAAGACGACCATTGTTCTTTGGTATAAACAGAATTGCTTTGCGAATATTTCCTATTTCATTAACCCTGAATATTAAAAAGGCACTTCAAGGATTAAAATTCAATGAAATTAATGTTTATGCTTCCTTAGACATTTTTAAATAAAACTGGCTTTTTTTTTTTTAAACCAAGAGTACATGATGGGGAAGAATACAAGGACTACTAGTAAGTTTAGTATCATTGTGTTGATTTGTGCGAAGTTGTAAGCAATTTTACCACTACTTTTACGACATCATTGAAAATGTTGAGACAATGAAAAAGGCAAATAACATCTAAATGTTATTTTGGAAGCAGTTTTGAACTTATAGTTTCCCAGGGGTTCATGGACCATACTTGAGGATCTTTACCTCTACCTACCTATACAAGCCTTATGTCAATTTATGTTTTATTTATTTAACAAGCACTTAATGTAGCACTTATGCTGTGTCAGAGTTTTAAATGCTTCATAGATATTTGCATTAATGCTCATTAAGGTAGCTATTGCTATCATTCCTTGCAAGACGGATACTGTTATTGCCCTCTCTTACACATAAGGAAACCGAAGTAAAGAGGTTAAATAACTTATCCAGTATCACACAGCTAGTAAGTGGCAAAACTGCAATTCAGATTTTGCTCATGAATGTTAGATTAAATTTTCTCTTCCTCTATATGTATAGTGACTGTTTTTTCCCAAGTGACTAGTTCAGAGCCTAGCACATGGAAGATATTCTATAAATATTTGTTGAATAAAATGGATAGAAGATGAATAGATAGATGAATGAATATAATTTATTTGAGTGTATGAAATGAGTGACTCATCTAACTTAATTTTCTTCTAATAGTTAATCAGTTGCCATGGCATCATTGGAAAAACAAATCTATGTTTTGTTCACTGACTGAAATACCACCTTCATATTATCTTTAATTCTTACATATACTTTATTTCTGTATTTGCTCTTCTATTTTACTCCTGTTTATTTCTTTGAACTACACTGCTTAAAATATTTTCTCTATATAAATTAACTTTATATTGGATATAAAAATTCTACTATATTTATATTAGATATATTTAGAGAGGTTAAGCTTCCATCTCTGCCCTCTCTCCTGTGTTCTGATGTTTTCCCTATAGGTACAAATTTTTATTGGTTTTCCATTTATCCTTTTTTTATTTTTTTTTAAATGTAAGCAAACAGTATAGGTATTTGTACCCCTTTTTTTTCTTTATAAAAAAGTAGCAAACTGTGCGTGCTTATTTATATCTTGCTTTTTCCTTTTAAACTTAATATATCCTGGTGGTCACCTTATAGCAATATGTAAAGATCTTTGTCATTTTTTAAGGAGATGGATAGTACTCCATTGTTTGTATCCACTATATGTTCAATCATTTCTGTATAGTAGGATATGTGAAATGTTATCAGTCTTTTGCTACCTGAATTAGTGCTTCAACAAATAGCCTTGTGCATATATCATTTCGTATATTTGTCATTATGCCTTTGGGAGATCATAGGAGGTTTTTGATCAGCAAAATGTTATAAAAGCATTGTTAGGAAGATTAAACTGGCAATGGAATACATATTTGGATGTGAGTAGGATTGGAATAGTGAAAATTTAGAAGCCATAACTGTACTGTACACTAAGATGGTTGTGTGCCTAGAAATTTATTACAATAAGTAGGTATTCTATAAAAAGTTATTTCTTCCCATCCTGATCTGTGTACTCATTGTCTGCTCATCCATGGATATATTGCTTCATCGGCATCTCTACTCTTATATTTTTTGTCATCTTTCTCCTCTTCCGACTCTCCTGGATAGGATGTACTTATTTTCTCTGCATATTCTGAGCATTTGTTTCCCTCCCTTTGTTTCTCTTTGCAAGTCATCTGAAAGAGTCAAATCCACTTGCTCCTTGAAGGCATGCTTTTCACTTTCATTAACTCTTACCTATTACAGAACTGCCTTTTTGTTGAGCACAGAAAACGAAGGAAATTTGCATTTCCAATGTCCTTCAGACGTGGAGACTAGACCACAGAGCAAGGATTCAACTTCAGTGCAAGATTTTTCCAAAGCAGAATCATGCAAAGTTGCAATAATAGACAGACTGACACGGAATAGTGTCTATGACTCTAACTTGGAAGCAGCCCTTGAATGTGAAAATTGGTTAGAGAAGCAGCAAGGAAATCAGGAGAGACATTTGAGAGAAATGTTCACTCACATGAATTCACTCTCTGAGGAAACAGACCATGAGCATGATGTATACTGGAAAAGCTTCAATCAGAAATCTGTCCTTATCACTGAAGACAGAGTTCCCAAAGGATCTTATGCCTTCCATACACTTGAAAAAAGCTTGAAACAAAAATCAAACTTAATGAAAAAGCAGAGAACTTATAAAGAGAAAAAACCTCATAAATGTAATGATTGTGGTGAACTCTTCACCTGCCATTCAGTGCATATTCAACACCAGAGAGTCCATACTGGAGAGAAACCCTATACCTGCAATGAATGTGGGAAATCTTTTAGCCACAGAGCTAATTTAACTAAACACCAGAGAACTCATACTAGAATTCTCTTTGAATGCCGTGAATGTAAGAAAACCTTCACAGAAAGCTCATCCCTTGCAACACATCAGAGAATTCACGTTGGAGAGAGACCTTATGAATGCAATGAATGTGGGAAAGGTTTTAATCGAAGTACACATCTTGTGCAGCATCAGTTGATTCATACTGGAGTGAGGCCTTATGAATGTAATGAATGTGATAAAGCTTTTATTCATTCATCAGCACTCATTAAACATCAAAGAACTCATACTGGAGAGAAACCTTATAAATGTCAAGAATGTGGGAAAGCCTTTAGCCATTGCTCATCCCTAACTAAGCATCAGAGAGTTCATACTGGAGAAAAGCCATATGAATGCAGTGAATGTGGAAAAACTTTTAGTCAGAGCACACATCTTGTTCAACATCAGAGAATTCACACTGGAGAGAAACCCTATGAGTGTAGTGAATGTGGGAAAACCTTCAGCCAGAGCTCCAATTTTGCTAAACATCAAAGAATTCATATTGGAAAGAAACCGTACAAATGTAGTGAGTGTGGAAAAGCCTTCATTCATTCATCAGCTCTTATTCAACATCAGAGAACTCATACCGGAGAGAAACCCTTTAGATGTAATGAGTGTGGGAAAAGCTTTAAGTGCAGTTCATCTCTCATCAGACATCAAAGAGTTCACACTGAAGAGCAACCCTGAAAAATTACTGAATGTGAAGAAATGTAAGTTGGTTTTATCACTATATTAAATACTTGAGTGTTTAGGTGGAAGGCCCATCCATAATATGCATGTGAGGACCAATTCTATATGCATCTAATTTCATTTGTGTAATACATAGTTTTGAGCCATAGGCAGGTTCTTTATGTCCGTTAATTTGATAATTATGAAATCTAGCCAGCGATTTCAAAATTTTAATCTCCAACCTCCCAAATAGCTATCTGTGGAAATTCAAGAAGTCCCTGAGAGTGGGTAGCAGTACAAACATTGTGAAATCCAGTTTTCCCCTCTCTTGTTTATGTCAGAGCTTTGTTGTAAGCCTCTCACTTTGTAAGGAAATTCTTATTGGGTAGGTTAGGCTGAGGGCTTACATCCTTATCATCAGGAAGACACAATGTTGTTATTTATTACTCCTTGAGATCTAGATACACATATGGTATAATTCATCTAGAGTGTCATTTCTTTTATATTAGCCTTAAAAACCAAAAATGCTGGGTTCAAAGTCCTTAGCATTCCCTTCCTCCCTCAACAAGCTGCTGTCTATTTTGATGACCATAACTAGGATGTATAATATTTACAGACAATTCTAATTTATGTTCACATGGATTATGTA
Organism: Homo sapiens; assembly: GCF_000001405.40. Taxonomy (NCBI): domain Eukaryota; kingdom Metazoa; phylum Chordata; class Mammalia; order Primates; family Hominidae; genus Homo; species Homo sapiens. The sequence continues at coordinate 18,661,305 of NC_000017.11, read as the reverse complement.
CATCATTGATTTTTTTTTTTTTTTTTTTTTGAGACAGAGTCTCGCTCTGTTGCCCGGGCTGGAGTGCAGTGGCGTGATCTCAGCTCACTGCAACCTCCACCTCCCAGGTTCATGCCATTCTCTTGTCTCAGCCTCCTGAGTAGCTGGGACTACAGGCACCTGCCAGTACGCCTGGCTAATTTTTTTTGTATTTTTAGTAGAGATGGGGTTTCACCATGTTAGCCAGGATGGTCTTGATCTCCTGACCTCGTGATCTGCCTGCCTCGGCCTCCCAAAGTGCTGGGATTACAGGCGTGAGCCACCATGCCTGGCATCATCATTGATTTATGTCATTGTTATCCCTCTACCGCGGAGACCTTCTTTCATTTTCCATTTCCCTGGGAGTTCACGTGAAGTAGTGAATGGGTCAAAATCTTAACAGTGGTTGTTGATCAAGTCCTTCCTTTCTTATCCTTGGCACTGAATAAATCTTTGGTTTTCCATAATCAAAGGGTGAGGGAGACTTCTTTTGTCTACATTATTCAGCTTTCTGAAAGCTATGCTGTGTCCATTTGAGAAAAAGCCCCAGGGATATTGAAGGTCTGAGAAGTTGAGTGGTTCAGTGTGTTATTATATTTAGGGTCCCAGTAAAGAAGAACTGAAGCAACTGTGAGACACCAGGGCATACTTCCCTGTATGAGTGGAAAACAAGGTACGGAAAATAGCTCACAGGATAGTCCTCAACTGACTTGCTTGAGGATAAGCAGCTTCCCTTCATGAAGAAGTTGCCATTTCTCTGGCCTTCATATTTACCTACTTTTTGTTATTGTTATCTGTATCGGTTCAATCTCACACTGCTATAAAGAAATGCCTGAGACTGGGTAACTTATAAAGAAAAAAGGTTTAATTGGCTCATGGTTCCATGGGCTGTACAGGAAGTATGACTGGGGAGGTCTCAGGGAGCTTTTACTCATGGCAAAAGGCAAAGCCAGAGCAGGTATCTTCACAGGGCTAGAGCAAGAGGAAAAGAGAGAGGGGAGGTGCTACACACTTTTTATGCAACCAAATCTCATGAGAACTCTATCACGAGACAGCAGTAGGGGGACAGTGCTAAATCATTCATGAGAAACTACCTGCGTGGTCCAGTCACCTTGCACCAGGCCCCACCTCCCACATTGGGGATTACAATTAAACATGAGATTTGGGTGGGGATACAGATCTAAACTGTATCATTACTCAAAAAAAAAAAAAAAAGAAAAAAGAAAGAAAACACAGGAAAAGGAACTCACCTCTTTTATCATCTTAGTATTTAGTACTAATGGTTTAGAGCAGGAGTTGACAAACTGTGGCCTGGACTCATGGACCAACTCTGGCCCACCACCTGTTTCTCAGAAGAAAATTTTATTGGAACTCAGCCACACTTACTCATTTACATGTTGTCCTTGACTGCCTTTGTGTCCAGTGTCAGAACTGAGTAGCTGCAGCGGAGGTTGTGCCTCTGGGCTTTAATATCACAAACAGAGCAGCTTATAAGCAACAGAAACTTACTTCTCACAGTTTTGGAGGCTGGGAAGTCCAAGATCAAGGTGTCAACATATTTAGGGTCTAGGGAAGGTCTGCTTCTTGGTTAATAGAAAGCACCTTTCACTGTGTCTTCACATGGTAGAAGGGGAGAGCTCTGGTATCTTCAGGCCCTTATAAGGGCACTAATCCCATTCATGAGCGCTCCACCCTCACGACCTAATCACCTCCAAAAGGCCCCATTTCATAATACCATCAATTAAGTTTCATTATATGACTTTGATGGGGATATAGCCCATAGTAGGTTCTATGTCCCTGAAAGCCTAAAATATTTACTGTTTGGCTCTTTACAGAAAATATTTTCTTGGCCCCTGTTCCAGAGCATTCATCAAGAAGTCAGATAAAGGGTTTAAACCAGTCAGAGAAAGTAGGTGGAATGGAAAAGTTGAACTTACTGAGAGATAACTGGGGACAGAAAAATAAAAGAGGTGGGAAATGATGCATCAAAATACTCCTACCTCTAGGATGTTACTATATATTGTCAGGAGAATTCAAGTTATTGAAACTTGCCAAATTCTTGAGTGAAAAGAAATTCATTTGAGGGCCAAAATTTGACTAAGGAAAGAAGACCAACATGGGCTTTCCAAAGTTGAGTTTGAATTCTGCCATCCCCACTAAGCAGTCATGTGACCTTGGAAAAACTCCCTACTCTGAGTCTCAGTTTCTTTATCTGTATTAGGTTTCAACAAAGGGAATAAATCATTGGCTTCTCATGAGGTTGTCATAAGGATTAAATAAGACAATGCATACAAAAGAACTGGCAGACAATAAATATAGAGTCCCCCACTCCTGCTTGGTGCTCTCTTTCTCTCTCCTTCTCTACATAGAGAAGTGCCAGAGCATCCGTCAGTAGAAGTTACTTAAGGTTGGCTGTGTCTTCCACATCTTTTGTTTACCCATGAAGAACTGTGACCATCTTGTTCTGTGGCTTGTCATAAAGATGGGACGTGACTTCTTTCTGCTCTTGCTTCCATCTGGTGCTGTTTTCTGCACAGCCTCCTTGAGACCTTCCAGAACCTTCTTTTTTCCTACTTCGTATCACTTAACCAGTAGCTATCTGGGATGGTTCCAGAGGCTGAAGTTTGCAGTTGAATAACATTTTAAATAGTGTTAAGCGACTTGGGATCTCTGGCCCTTTGCGTTTCAGTATTTGTCCTTTTTATGCCTGATGTTTAACCTGCCACATGTTTGTACTGCAACATGAATCTTGGAAATTTTAATGTTATGCATTTCAAATGTTTTTGGTTATCTGTAAACTAAATGTGCCCTTATTGGCTCACTTGTCAATAAAGATGTTTGTATATGTTTTGTCAGAAACTTTTGTAAATTTCTTTTAAATTCTTCCTTTTTTAAAGCATATTTTAAGATGTAATGAAGGACCAACCAAAAAATATCTCCATATCATTCAGGATACCAATCCCATTTCTAGCTGGTCATCTGGCTTCACAACTTCTGGAGAGATGGGATGGGAGATACCGTCAGCAACCCAAGTATCTGCAAGAAGGTTAAGGAGTAGAGGAAGATAGTTTCTAACAAGTAGTACTGAGTCCCCAGGCCAGGTATAGGCACTACTCAGTAGGGCTAATTGGGGTGAAAGGGAGGGAATAACTTCGTATAAAAAGCACAGTTAAAATTAGGCAAAATGGGCCAGGTGCGGTGGCTTAAGCCTGTAATCCCAGCACTTTGGGAGGCTGAGGGAGGCAGATCACCTGAGGTCAGGAGCTCGAGACCAGCCTGACCAACATGGAGAAACCCCATCTCTACTAAAAATACAAAATTAGCCAGGCATGGTGATGCATGGCTGTAATCCCAGCTACTCGGAGGCTGAGTCAGGAGAATCACTTGAACCCGGGAGGCAGAGGTTGCAGTGAGCCAAGATAGTGCCATTGCACTCCAGCCTGGACAACAAGAGCGAAACTCCATCCCCCAAAAAAAAAAAATAGGTAAAATGTCATAAAAATCTGATTTTGTGTAAGTTTTCAATTATATCTGGTTTGGGGGAAGACAATGTAATATCACCCAAAAGTATAAAAGTGATAATGTAAGAATACTAAATATTCAAATTGATTGGCAATTAACTAGATCAATTATCTATTGAAAATCTGTCATAGTTTTTATTTTCTTAGATGTGTTCTCACTTTTAAAAATATGTGTTTATCGGTTGGGCGCGGTGGCTCACGCCTGTAATCCCAGCACTTTGGGAGGCTGAGGCGGGTGGATCATGAGGTCAAGAGATCGAGACCATCCTGGCCAACATGGTGAAACCCTGTCTCTACTAAAAATACAAAAATTAGCTGGGTGTGGTGGCTACTAGGGAGGCTGAGGCAGGAGAATCGCTTGAACCCAGGAGATGCAGGTTGCAGTGAGCCGAGATTGAGTCACTGCACTCCAGCCTGATGACAGACCAAGACTCCGTCTCAAAAAAAAAAACAATGTGTTTATCAGAAGATGACTCAAGTTGGAAGCCTGCTTTCTTCCCTTCCTTGTGTAATTCTTTCTGGGCCCCAACTAGGCAGTCTTGGGACCCGTAGCCATGTGAGCTGTCCCTCTCCATAAGTTTTATTGACAAGGTAGAAGGCTATTCCCTGTAGTAATAAATATAAAATGTGGCATCTGGTCCTACTGTGTAGTTTCCACTTATAAACCTCAAAAAATTAGATGTTTTTACTGAATTGTTTTTTATTTTTTTCATGATGTAACCTCTGTTTATAAATCCCTTAGATTGAGTGGACTATACAAAAAAGGTGCATGCTTCACCTCCCTCCCACTCCCACCAATTCATGAAACACGTAATCATCATGTTAGCAAAGTTCACATATCTGGGGCAATCCATGGAGTCAAACTAGAGATAAATGCTTTGCTATTAATAGATCGAGGACTGTCCGCCTCCATCTCTGCTCTGGCTTCCTCTCTGTTGGATGTGCTTTTCTTAGTCTCTTGCAGCGACAAATAGCCTACTGGCACTTGGAAGTTATATTACAGTTCTTGGCATTCACAATTCCAAGGAAAGTACCTCTTTCCAAATAGCTCCAGCAAAATCCCTGAGGCTACTTCTCCACTTTGCTTGAGTCATGCTGATCACTGAACCTTTTATAATACCACCCTGGAAATGGGGTCCTCTCATCGACCAGGCTTGAGTCTGTGTAAAACCCTGGAGGAAGAGAGGGTGGAGTCCATCCCATTGATGCAACTTGCACTGTGGGTGGGGACAGGGTGCTTCCCTCAAATAAATCCAAAGATGCTGTGCAGGTAAAACAAACACTGCTATTGGAAGTTAACTTCAGCATGAATAAGACAATCTGGCCTCCTGCTCCCCAACTATTCCCCCCACAAGAGCAGTTTTTCAAAGATCAAACAGTGATAACATTGACAGAAGTTTAAAACCTAAGAAAGTTGGGTGCAGTAGCTCATGCCTGTAATCTCAGCACTTTGGGAGGCCAAGGCGGACAGATCACGAGGTCAGGAGATTGAGACCATCCTGGCAACACGGTGAAACCCCGTCTCTACTAAAAATAACAAAAAAATTAGCCAGGCATGGTGGCTGGCGCCTGTAGTCCCAGCTACTCGGGAGGCTGAGGCAGGAGAATGACGTGAACCTGGGAGGCAGAGCTTGCTTGCAGTGAGCCAAGATCGTGCCACTGCACTCCAGCCTGGGTGACACAGCGAGACTCCATCTCAAAAAAAAAAAAAAAACAAAAAAACCAACTAAGGAAGTATTTCCAACATTGATTTCATAGAGTTTCTGTGAGGGTTATGTGAAATTATATATGTGAAAGGGCTTTGTTGCACATTGCTGAGTTATATTTTGATGATAATTTTCTATTCTTTGAGACCAGGCTCTAGTATACAAAAAGCATGGACCTCTCACCAGGGTGCCATTTCTTAATGCTAACTTGTGCTACCTGTCCTTTGTGGCCTGGCAGGGAGTCTTTGCTCATCAGTAGTCATTTAGGGACCCAAGATGGTATAGGGCAGCCACCACCATAAATATTACTTTTGCCATATCAAAAACATAGTTTTATGTATGGTTGATTCAATTCCCAGTCTTGTGACCTATGCATCTCATGTTGTAGTGACTCAAACCTGCTGGGTTATCCAGGACTGTAATTTTTTTTTTTTTTTTTTGAGGCAGAGTCTCTCTCTGTCGCCCAGGCTGGAGTGCAGTGGCGCGATCTCGGCTCACTGCAAGCTCCACCTCCCAGGTTAATGCTATTCTCCTGCCTCAGCCTCCCAAGTAGCTGTGACTACAGGCGCCCGCCACCACGCCCGGCTGATTTTTTGCATTTTTAGTAGAGATGGGGTTTCACTGTGCTAGCCAGGATGGTCTCGATCTCCTGACCTCGTGATCCACCCGCCTAAGCCTCCCAAAGTGCTGGGATTACAGGCGTGAGCCACCACGCCCGGCCCAGGACTGTAATTTTTAAAAACCCATGGTGAGATCTAGCTTCAGATATGACTGGATTCAGATATTCAGAAGATGTCATCAGCTCATTCTCTTGCTATCTCAGCACCATTTAATTCCATCTGAATTTATAATTAACACTTCATAATTTATTATAATAACTATCAGAATGAAGGAGAGTAAAATCCTTTATTGGAGTATAACACATGATTATTTCAAAGAGGAGTTGATCAGTGTTCCCCTGAGAGTAAGAATGCATTATATACAGTGTGGACATCTCCAGGGCCTTCCAAACATAAGTAAGTATACAGTTTCTGAAACATTTGTTTTAGTAACATATCTATACAAAATTAAACTAGGGAAGGTTTCCCTTCTCTTTGGTCTGACACCTCTTCCCATAAACAGAGCAGCTCTTACAATCATTTTGAACTAATTAATAACTATAGGACATACCAAACAAACCCAAGTATTTCTTACATTTTCCTGTTTATGAGTGCCATATCATAAGCTCCAAGATAAGGGTCTGTTTTGGCTTTGTTCATATATATATATATATATATATATATATATATATATATATATATATATATATGTATGTATAATGAAAAGCATAACACAGAACAAAGCACAAAACTGTAGTTCTGATGAGAGACAATTTCTACTATTTGGGCAGATTACACAGAAGGTAAAGAATGATCTTTCCCTTTCTCTTGTTGAACAAACTATCATTTAAGCAAAGATAACCGAAGTTTAATCTTTTTAAATATAATATTTTGAATTAAAGATTTCATAGATTTTAATGAACTCATCAAAATCAAGCCAACTTTTGTCAAAATTTTAATACATTTTATTTCTTCTTTTCAGAATTTGCAGCTATTATAAAGCACAAGTAAAGTTCACTTTCCCCCAAACCTTCCAAAACTTACAGCATCCTCTCCAGTTTTATGCTTTAACTATCTTTTGCATTCTGCAACAACCACACATTTCACTCTAAGAGAAAAATAGTCCTGTTTTCTTTTGATAAACAAAAACATAACATTTTCTTTCTACATGTTTAGGGATCCCCAAGACCACCCTCAGGTTCAATGATTCACTAGAAGGATTCCCAGGACTCAGCATGTTGTCATTTTCTTGGCTGTGGTTTATTATAGTAAAAGGACACACAGCAAAACCAGTAAAGAGAAAAGGCTCATGGGGCGGCAAGGTCTGGAGGAAACAAGGAACAAGCTTCCCCGAGTCCTCTCCCAGTGAAGTCACACAAGACTTGCTCATTTCCCCCAGCAAGGAGTTGTGACAGCATGTGTGAAATGTGATCTATCAGGGAAGCTCAGTAGAGATTCAAATCCCAAGGTTTGTACTGGGTGCTAGTCACATAGGCAGTCTCTGTCTAGCATGTACCAAAACTCCAGACTTCAGAAGGAAAGCAGGTGTTCAGCATAAGCTTCATTGTTTTTACAGACAGTTTAGGAGCAGTGATCCACTTTAATTCTGGAATTAGCGGGAACGATCCCAAAGTTATACTTCCCAGATGCCCGCCTGTGGCCAACCTTGTAGGCAAGTCTTTCTAAAGATAGCAGGCTCGGACTTGCTATGTTAACTTTTCTGCACAGTTTCGTTGCCACTATTGTTTTCATACAGCCTCCCAGCCACTCATATTAATCACAAATTTGCTAACCAAAGAAATTAACTGGGATGTAGATAATCAGAACTCTCTACATTAGACAGGCAACTTAGCAGATGAGCAAAACTCACAAACACACATAAAATGACCTCCTGCAGCCACACATCCCTTTTACACCTTCTTAGCACACACATTTCCATGCTCTTTCTACTGAAACGGGCTAAAAGCAATGACATCTCAGTTGCAATGAGCCCAGATCTTGGTTTCTGATACCGTTCTCTGCTAAAAGGAACTAAGGCTCCTCAGAAAAATGGCTGATTGCAGGTCTGAGGGAAGGAAACTCCAAGAAGATCCTGGAACATCTTATTCCAGAAAAAAAAAAAAGTAGCACTCAAAAAAATGATGAGGGTAGGTCACAAAGACACAGGAAGTAGCCCTCACTGACTAAATCCAGAACAATTTGAGCAGCAAAACAAGAAAATGATGAATTGCAAACCATTGAAGAAGTAGTAGTCCATGAGTTCACATTGATAATAAGTAAATAAATGAGCGATAACAGAGGACACTTGCTTACCGCAGAATATCCTATGCCAATGGGTAAATGCGAAGGGAATGTTGGAGCTGGAAAACTATCATTTTGTAGCCATAACAGTAAAGACTGATTCAAGCAAGAATCAATGGATGCTAAATCTAAGGGGAAATTTTGATGAGGAACAGGATATTTGCATAGAATTGAAGTATCTTTTCCAGAGATTGCTTGTTATGATTAGCAATTGCAAGGCAAAAAATAATTATATAGTGGAAGAACTGGGAAAAACTTTGATTACATGATCAAAATTAATATGAGTAAGCAGCACATGGCCATTCTGTGCCTCAGATGTGATACCATGAGAAGGACACAGCATAATGTGTGTACTATTCTGGCTGGGAATGCATAACAGGAATCTAATCATGAAGAAATATTTGACAAACTCCAAAATGAGGACTATTAAAAGGACTGCATTCTTCAAAAATATTTTTTTTAGAGGAAACAGAACTATTTAAGCTTTATTTTCAAAGTCTAATTTTAATTCAGACTGAACAAACAAGCAGAAAAGTGAGAAAGCTAACTGTATTAGCAGACACAGATGTACCAAATGTAAAACAGTGGGTTATTAACAGAACTATTTACATGCATATTTACAAGCAATCCTTTTGTACATAGTTTTTAGTTAGCTGGAAAAAGATTTGACATTAGGTAAAAATATTATTTATTAGGGCTGAGGTGGTACCACATTATAGTAAAAGTATTAGAAAAGTGACCCTCAAGGTGTATCAATTATAAAGCAGATGAAAACTTGAATGACAAATATCTAGTAAAATTCTCTAGTAAAAAAGTCGATGCAACCCATGCTACAAAATAAAAGTGAGAAAGCCATATAAATAAAGCAGAATAATGTTCTAGGCTTTAAGGTAATGAAGTTAGTCAGTTGAAAAAATAAAAATAAAAAAGAACAATTCTAGAATTGGAATAAATCTTCAGTGAAGTCTTGGCTGTTTAGCTGGGAGTTCACCAAGTTGGGATTTCCCCCCCATGACATTTAAAAAGCCCTTGGTATCAAATAGCATCTGCATATGTAAATCAGTTGTTGATATATTCCAAGACTTTAGTGCTAAAGATTTTCAAGATTATGATTCATATTTGAAATTCAATTCATTGGGACACTAAATGTCAAACTAAAATGAAAGCTATAATACTCCTACCTAAAAAAGGATGCTACATTTTTGCAGTGATATGTATTTCCAGAGGAAGACTTTTTCACCTCAAGAAAAGTAGAATTTAAAGGATAAGCATCTAACCAACTAGCAAAATTTTCAACATTTCATTTATTTCAAAATCGATTTTATTGCAGCCAAAACAGTAGAATTAACTGTACATAATAAACTATTATATATATATATATACACACATATATATATATATATATATATATATATATATATATATACACATTTTAAGTTATAGGGAATAAAGTTTATTTTGGCAGATAGTGTTAAACAAAATTAAAGTTGCATACATTAGTAACATAACTCAACATCCTTAATTTGGTATAGATGTGACACATTTTCTTGCTCTCCTGTGTTCTGCTAAATCACCATACCTAAACTGCTTTATAAAACTGATATGCTGAAATTTAACTTTACTGTTTTCGCTTACGCTCTGATTCCAAACAAAACTTTTCATAAGCTTCTTCTATCTCTGGGTCCATCTCATCATCAATATCATCCAAGTATGGATCACCAGCCCCGGATAAATCTGTTCCATTTTCTTCATAATCTGGAAAAAAGTCCTCTCTTTCAAGTAATTCTTGGTATTTCTCTTGGTAATCTGGATCAGCTGCAGTGAAAGGAACACCATCAGATGTATAAAATGTTGGTTCATTCATAAAGTAGTTAGGATCATTTTCTGGTGTTGCTTCTCTATATGTTGAAGTTGCATGGACTCTACCCCAGTTACTTGACCGGAGTTCTACAAGCTTCAAGAGCATCTGTTTTACATCTCTACTGCAGTTTGCATCTAGGACAACGTTTTCAATTCTCTGAATAATTTCTTCCATATCCATCTTTCCTTTTTCCTTCCAAGCATCTTCCAAAACTGATCCTGTCAATTTTAACAATTTTACTGCACAAATTAAATTGTCATCCATAGGATTAGAAAACAGGGCATTCAGCAATTCTCGAAGACCAACCTGAAGAATATCTGCTCTTGTAACCTGTCCATTTGTTCCCTTGATCTCCAGGTTAAGATAAAGTTCTCCCAGAAAGAATACAAATGCATGAAATCGTTTTCGAGTAACTTCATCCCCTTTTGCAGCTTGATCTTTAACTTCATATTCAGTCCGACATCTTTGAAGTAGCAATTGGCGGAAGTTGCCACTCTGTGGGCTAATTGTCAGATGATGGGACAGGTAATTACACAGGCGAGCTCCCATATAAGAGAAATTTGGGATAGACGTGGCCTGTTGATAGATGAGTTCCGCAAGTTCTTGCAAAGCATCATCTGTTGTAACGCAACCATTCAGGGTCTCTGCAAACTGTTCAATTTCAGTTTCAAAACTGCCAGGCTGCTCTGTAAGATGATTCAAAAAATCCTGAACATATTCTGATGGAGTAGGATAATCCTCACAACCAACCTCATAGGATTCTGTGTAACTGGAGGAATAACCTGAAGGGTAAAATTCAGGGGCATTCACAGACAGCTTAGACCTTAATACAGGAGCTACAACCACCTGGGGCTTAGCCATTGCTGACTCCGAGTTCTGCTGTGGGATTTTATCCTGTGAACTAGGTGGAGCTCTCAGGGACCTCGTTTGCTCTGGGAGCGCCCCGGGCGGGGAAGGCCGCTGGGGGCTGGCGGGGACCTCGCACTGGGCCCCTGGCGGCGGGGTCGTCCTGGGCTGGCGCAGCGGCGGTGGCTGCAGGAAGCCCGGGGCTTTGGGTTGCGGCGGCTGGTGCCGCGCCCGCTCAGCAGGCCCCGCTCCGTTCGGGCCTTCAAAAATATTAATGTCACATAAGACAAGGAAAAGCTGAATAACTTCCAAATTAAAAGAGACTAAAGCATCATGACAACTAAATACAATACAGGATCTTTGACTAGGTCTTGTGTGAGAGAAAATCTCCTAAAGACATTGTTGGTTCAATTTTTCAAAACTGGAATACAAGCAGTAGAATAGATAAAAGTAATGTATTGATGTTAAATTTACTGCAGTTGATAACTGTATCATGGTTGTGTAAAGTATTAATAATATCCTCATTATTGAGAAATGCATATTGGAAGTATTTAGAGGTAAAGAAGAGTAATGTATGAAATTGAAATGATTCAAGAAAAATTTGTATATAGAAAGAGCAAATGATAAAACAAGCAGGATTAAACGTTAACTGTGTGTCAGTCTAAGAGGAACCTGGCTATCCTTTGTAATTCTATTGTAGTCTTTGTGTAAATTTCAGGTTACTTCCAAATTTAGAAAAAAATTAAGTGAACACATATATTGACCCAAAGTTAGACCCATTCTGTAACATGAAAATACAAGGCAAAAATATATATAATACAACTATGTTAAAAGACCCTTTTTTCTATCTTACCTAAAACTTAACATCTCCAATGATTATCCATTAATAAGCTCTTTTTATTTTATTTTATTTATTTTATTTTTTTTTTTGAGACGGAGTCTTGCTCTGTAGTCCAGGCTGGAGTGCAGTGGCGCCATCTCGGCTCACTGCAACCTCCAACTCCTGGGTTCAAGCGATTCTCCTGCCTCAGCCTCCCTAGTAGCTGCGATTACAGGCGCCCGCCACCACGCCCGGCTGATTTTTTGTATTTTTAGTAGAGACAGGGTTTCACCATGTTAGCCAGGATGGTCTCAATCTCCTGCCCTCGTGATCCGCCGGCCTCGGCCTCCCACAGTGCTAGGATTACAGGCGTGAGCCACCGTGCCCGGCCTAATAAGCTCTTTGTTTTTTCCTTTTCTTTCTTTCTTTCTTTTTTTTTTTTTTTTTTGAGACTGAGTCTGGCTCTGTCGCCCAGGCTGGAGTGCGATCTCCGCTCACTGCAAGCTCCGCCTCCCGGGCTCACGTCATTCTCCTGTCTCAGCCTCCTCTCCTGCCTCCTGTCTCAGCCTGTAGCTGGGTCTACAGGCGCCCGCCACCACGCCCGGCTAATTTTTTTTGTAGTTTTTAGTAGAGATGGAGTTTCACCTTGTTAGCCACGATGGTCTCCATCTGACCTCGTGATCAGCCCGCCTCGGCCTCCCAAAATGCTGGGATTACAGGCGTGAGCCACCACGCCCAGCCAAGCTCTTTCTTAAAGAGAAGATATTTCCACCTTTAACTGACAAAATCCCAAAAATTTATGTCAAGAATTTATTTTTAAAAACTTCTCGAAGATCATTTAGAAAGATTGATAACCACATTGGAAAAAGTATAAAAAATTGCATAGACCCCTGAAAATATGATTATATACATTTTCTTTTTTTGTTGTTTTTTTGAGACGGAGTTTTGCTCTTGAAGCACAGGCTGGAGTGCAATGGTGCAATCTCGGCTCACTGCAACCTCTGCCTCCCGGGTTCAAGCGATTCTCCTGCCTCAGCCTCCTGAGTAGCTGGGATTACAGGCGTACGCACCACCACGCGAGTTTCGCTCTTGTCCCCCGCGCTTGAGTGCAGTGGCACGTTCTTGGCTCACTGCAACATCTGCCTCCCGGTTTCCAGCAATTCTCCCACCTCAACCTCCCGAGTAGCTGGGATTACAGGCGCCTGCCACCATGGCGAGCTAATTTTTTTTTGTATTTTTAGTAGAGACGGGGTTTCATCATGTTAGCCAGGCTGGTCTCGAACTCCGGACCTCAAGAGATCCGCCCACCTCGGCCTCCCAAAGTACTGGGATTACAAGCATGAGCCACCGTGCCCAGCCTGATTATATACATTTTCAATAAACATTTATGAAAGTGGTATCAGGCCTTTTAATAATCAGAAGACCAAAATAAATGAAAACGAAATAACATTATCCACTAACCAGAATATATAAAAGGAAGACTGACAAAATCAGGTGTTGGAAAGGACATCTAATTAGAACTCTCAAACTTGTGGTTGGGTTATATATTAGTCAAAAAAATCTTTGGAATTAAAATTTAATTGATAAATTGTATGTATTTGTGCTATACCACATTTTACATACACACACACACACATTGTAGAATAGCTAAATCTGTGTATATATATGTATAGCAACAGACAGACATTGTAGAATGGCTAAATCAAGCTACCTAGCATATCAGTTACCTCAGATACTTATCTTTTTTTTTTTGTGGTGAGAACATTTAAAATCTGCTGTCTCAACAATTTCAAGTATTACCACATTGTTATTAACTGTAGTCAACATGTTGTACAATAGAGCTCTTGAGCTTTTCCTCCTAGCTGACATTTTTAGTGACATGCGTTGCATTTGAACATATGCAGTTACCATGACCAAGCTATTTTATTTGTAGGGCTGTACTTAACTAAAATATCTATACATGTGTACCAAAAGAAATTAACAAGAATGTTCATAGTGGCTTTATTGCTTGTAGTCCCAAATTAGAAACAAACCAATGTCCATCAACAGTAGAATTGGTAGATGTGCCATATTCATGCAGAGCACCACTGAGCAGGGAAAAGAAATGAACTGCTTGGGCCGGGCACGGTGGCTCACGCCTGTAATCCCAGCACTTTGGGAGGCTGAGGGGGACGGATCACTAGGTCAGGAGATTGAGACCATCCTGGCTAACACAGTGAAACCTCATCTCTGCTACAAATACAAAAAAATTAGCTGGGCATGGTGGCAAGCGCCTGTAAGTCCCAGCTACTCGGGAGGCTGAGGCAGGAGAATGGTGTGAACCTGGGAGGCAGAGCTTGCAGTGAGCCGAGATCGCATCACTGCACTCCAGCCTGGCCGACAGAGCGAAACTCCATCTCGAAAAAAAAAAAAAAAAAAGAACTGCTTCATGAAACCACTTGAAGGAGTGTCACAAATGTAATGCTGGGCCAAAGAAGCCACACACAAAACCATTCCTACTGAATGGCCCTCCATGCATCCATTTATGAAACAGACAACACTAATTGGGGCTGCTAAAAACCAGGTGACTCTTTGCTTTGACAAGACAGGTGGGCAGTGGTTAGGGAGCAGACCTTCAGGAGAGGGATTTCCAGATTGTTATTTTTATTTCATTTTCTTGGACTGTGTGGTAGCTCCAAGCATGTGTCCTCTTTGTGATAAATCACTGAGTAGTAGAATAATAGGATTCCTGTGTATATTATACTTTAATAAACATATTTGAATTCCTTTTTCCATTAGGACAAATAATATAAAACATAATAAATCTTTGCAATTTTAATATTATTTCTAGTTGATGAAAAATAAGTCACCTGAAGGATTCCAAACTTGCGCATTTCAATATAGAACTTACATGTTCTAATATATATTTCTAGAGATCCAAAACTGTCTGATTAATGTCATTTGAGTGTAAAAAAGCACAGTTATGTTTACAATTTGCTCTCTAATCTTTTACTTGAAGTTAAGCTAATTATCCACATCCATCAATGAAACTGCTTTCACAGAAGAGTCCAATCCATGGCATAAATGACAGGAACTTTAGAAAAGTCATTTCTTCTTCATTGTTTATGTAAAAACATTAAATTTCTTAGAAACACAGGCCAGCAAACTCCCAGTTTAGTGTTGCTTTCATTGCTTTCTGTAGTCTTGTTACCAGAGAAGATTTTTATGTTCCAGAATTGCACAGAGGGAAAACCTGACTATTATGGTTACCACTGTGGCCATCAAGACAAGGCACTTGATTCCTAGGATCCCAGCAATGACCCTCCCTGGAGGTGATGGGAATTAAGAGACCTGCTATGGAAATTGTGGGGGCTGAGTAAACAGTATCTACAAATCTTTCTCTGTGTCTGATACTTGAAGTCCACAGGCAGTAAACAAGGGAAGACTGCAGAACAGGCAGGGAGGGATTCCATGAGCAAGAGCTGGAACCCCATAAAAATAAAGTGAAACCCATGTTCATGAAGCTAAACACAGGCCAGTAACCCAGCAGTCAGAGAAACTAAAGGAAAAATCCAAGGAAAGGCAGAGCAATTACAGGCTTAGCTGCTGTTTCATGGCAGTGAGATAAGTCAGCAGATCAGCAACAAGTGGTGTGTGTGTGTGTGTGTGTGTGTGTGTGTGTGCGCGCGCGCTCCCACGCGCACGTGACCACTTGCTACGAAATTCGTTTTATTCCAGTGTGTGAGTGTGCACCTGTGTGCGTGTGTGCACTCCTGTTGACCCAGTTTCTGCTCTGTGGCCAGGTCCATGACCCTAGACGACCCCAGGTGTGCCCTCGATGACGTCTGCAGGGATGGAGCACCGCCCCTGCCATTGGGTATTGCACTGTGTGATGCCATCCTCGGGGCCCTCAGGGTGATGGAACCCAATAGGCTTCCTTAGGCTTTCCTTTCAGATGGACAGGAAATAGATGATGTTCCATTGTCATTTTGTTTTCTTTCTTTCCATGGATTCTGTGACCATCTTCCTCTCCTCATTGACTCTGCCAGAAGGGGATTCCTGGTGGGGCAAGGGTAGCTGGTGGGAAATGAGCTACCAGGAAATTAGCAAAGGGTCTTCTGGCCATCTGGGGACAGTTCTCATGTGGTCCCCAGCCCAGTCTCGAGGCTTCTGGGCCGGTCACCCTGCAGCCTCGGTGCTGCGCCTCTGGATCCAGCCTCCGCAGGAAGAACCCTGGGAGACCCAGCAAAACGGGGTGCCTGGTCTGACAAACGTCCCCCCGTTCCTCTGGCTCTGCGGCTCAGGAATAGGCCGAGACATCATGTCCAGGCAGTGCCAGGCCACCTCACTGCCCCCTTTAAGGTTGAGCGCAGAGGGCTTTTGGGGGCGAGCATGAAGCTGGGCACCCAGAGCCTGAGGCCGACTGTCCCTCCCTGTGTCCTGGAGTGGGGGCCTTGACCCGAGAAGACCCCCAGGGGATGGCCTGTGGGTGCTGATGTGGGGAGGGGAGGTCTGTGGACTGAGGGGGGTCATTGGCAGGGGACATTGATCACCGCGGCTCAGGGTTCTGCTCAGTGGGGTCAGTGGGAACGTGGTCAGTGAAGGCCTGGTCAGTGGGGGCCTGGTCAGTGGGGGTCTGGCTGGCAGAAGCCTGGCCAGGTGGCAGCTAGGTGACTTCAGGCAGGGTTTGTCCTTGGAGCCTCCTTGCCGCCATCTGTAGTGGGAACGAGTCATGGCACTCCGGAGGGCTGCTGGGAAGAGGAGGTGAGCAGGTGTGTGGAATCCAGCCCTGCCAAACAGATCTAGCACTTTACAGCCTAGATGAGTCCCCTGCTAGGGAGGGGACCTGCCCTTTGCCTTTTGCCCCCAACCCTCAACCTTCTGCCCCCTATCTTCCATCTGCAATCCCAGGAATGCCCTGGATGGGGAGGTCTGAGTTTAGGGAGCACCTGTGGATGCTCTGATGATGGCCATGGGTCCCGAGGGGGGAGAGAGTGACAAGGGTGACCCAGTGTCCTGGGTGCACATATGAGTGGGGCAGCTGGGCCTAGCCAGAGCAGTGACAAACGCATGCACACATGTGTTCACCCACATACACGTGCATGCTCACATGCACAAACACTGCACACACGCACGTTGACACTTCAAGGGGTGGAGGGTGCTGACTCTGGTCCCGGCTGACCCAGGCAGGGGCCCATTGTGATGGGTGTCATGACCTCACAATGTCACTGGTGCTGAGCACTCGCCCACCTGTCCGCTTGCCGTCTCTATGTCTGGAGCTCTTAGAGATAAGACATAGAGGTGTCTGGTTCTGAGAAAAGGAAGTTTTGCTAAGTGAGAGACACAACTGACTCAACTGACTCAGGTGAGTGTGACCTGCTCTGTTCCTTCCCTGCTGACCTGGGTACAGTCATTACCTGGTGGGCAGGGCTAGCCTCTGGGCAGGTGCCGAGGAGGGTCATCCCTGAGCACTCACCAGGTGCCTGTTCTGCACTGACCTGGTGGACTCTGTGGGGTGGGTGCTGTCCCCGAATGTACCCATTCCACAAGTGAGATGTCTAGGGTCAGAGAGGAGGTGACTGGCCAAGAGACCCAGATGTGATCCTGGGCTGTGCTCTCAGCCCTGCCCTGTGCATGCCCTGGTCTCTATGGCCCTAGATTCCAAATCTGCCCAGGGTTTTCTGGCCCCTGATGGGGCAGAGTCTGGCCCTGAAAGAGCTACTGGGATGGAACTCCTATGGGTGTGGTGGAGGGAGGTGGTGCTCGGTCCAAGTCTGTGCCCTAAGCTGGGTGTCCGCAGGAGGAGGTCTCACCAACTCAGACTTCACGTGCGGTCACTGAGGGTCTCCGTGGGACCCACTGGACACATGGGGTCCCTTGTCTGGGAGTAGGGAGCCCTCTGCCTGTGGGCAGTTGTGGTAGAGGACCTTGAACACTGCTGCTCTGGGGCCTGGGCAGGGAGGACTTGGACAGTGGGGACCTGGTCAGGAAGGCCTGGTCACTGGGGGACTGGTCAGCGAGGACATGGTCAGTGGGGAATTGGTCATCAGGGGCCTGGTCAGCAGAGGCTTGGCCACTGGGGCTTAGTCAGTGAAAAACTGGTCAGTGGGGACATGGTCAGTTGGAGCCTGGTCATCAGGGGCCTGATCAGTGAGGACCTAGTCAGAAGGCCTGGTCACTGGGAAAACGGTCAGTGAAAGCCTGGCCGGCAGGGGTCTGGTTAGTGGGGGCCTGGCCAGATGGTTGCTTGGTGACCTCAGGCACGGGGTTTGTCCTTAGAGCCTCCTTGCCTCCGTCCATAGCAGAAATGAGTCATGGCACCCTGGAAGGCTACTGGGAGGAGGAGGTGAAAAAATGTGTGGAATCCGACCTTGCCACTCACACCCAGCATTTTACAGTCTAGCTGAGTTCCCCCTAATGAGGGGCCCTGTCCTGTGCCCTCTAACCCCTAGCCCCCATCTGCATCTTCAGGACTGCCCCGTGTGGGGAGTTCTGAGGTTGGGGAGGACCCATGGATGCTCTGATGCTTGCCACAGGCCTCAAGGGAAGGTGACGCTGATTAAGACTTGATGAGCACTTGGGTGCACATGTAAGTGGGACAGCCAGCCCTGGCCAGAGACGCTACTCGTGCACACACATGTTCACCCACATAAACATACATGCTCACCTGCACAAACACATTTTGACACCTTAGGGGCTGGAGGACACCGACTCTGGGCCCTCTTGACCTGGGCAATGGCCCATTATGATGGGTGCCATGACCTCAAAATGTCACTGGTGCTGAGTGACCGCCCACCTGCCCACCCACTCACCTCTGTGTTGTGCAGCACTTGCACATAAGACGCACACAGGTGTCTGGTTCTGTGGTGCATGAACGACTTTTCTAAGCGAGAGACACAGCAGCCTGAGCAGACTCAGGTGAGTGACCTCTGGGCAGATGCCGACGAGGGTCACCCCTGAGCACTCACCGGGTACATGTTCTGCACTGACGGCGTGGACCATCCTCTCCTTTGTCCTCACAGAGACTCTGTGGCGATGGGTGCTGTCCCCAAATGTAGCCATTCCACAGGTGAGATGTGTAGAGTCAGAGAGGCGGTGACTGGCCCAGAGACCCAGATGTGACCCGGGCCGTGCACTCAGCCCTACCCTTTGCCATGCTGGACTTGAGCTTTGACCGCTGAGGCCTCTCTACCCTAGATTCCAAATCTTCCTTGAGTTCTGGAATTCAATGAGGCAGGGTCTGGTCCTGGAAGAGCCACTGGGACAGAGCCCCTGTGGGTGGGGTGGAGGGTGAAATTCTTGGTCCAAGTCTGTGCCCTAAGCTTGGTCCCCACAGGAGGAGGTCACTGATGGTTGCTGTGGGACCCACTGGACACATGGGGTCCTTCATCTAGGAGTGGGGTGGGGAGCCCTCTGCCCTCAGGCAGTTGTGGAAAATGAAGGAGCCCTGGAGGGCTGCCTGGAGGGTGACAATCGTCTCTCCTGGTCAAAGAGGCTTGGGGACTGGAACCCTCCTGCAGCGTCCCATTCTCTCTGTCTGGTCCTCTAGAGGCCTTGCCTTCCGTTTGCCCCGAGTATTCCTGGGGGGGACGGTTCCCCCAGGTGTTCTCTAGGACTAAGGCCCCAGCGTTCTCTTGTTCTTTCTTGGTGACCCAGGAAAACAAAGTCCCCTCCTGTATTGACAGCTGGGAATTGTGGTGTCCACCGTCCTCGACCTGCGACGGGGTCTCCATGAGCACAGAGGCTGCTCTGGAGTCAACAGATCATCTTTTCCCCAAACCAAACTGCTTGGCTGGCGTTGTTCCTGAAGGGGCTTCACTGGCCAGAGTGAGTGAGAATTGGGGTAGAACGGAGCAGTCACCAGATGTCTTGCTTCCTACGGAAAACTGATTATCTTCCTGGTCCCTGAACCATCCTATAGAGACATCCAGTCCCTGACTCCACCTGCCTCCAGGTGCCCAGAACAGCCCATCGTGGGGACTTCACCCTCAGCAAGTGGACGCCGTTTGTCCTGCCAGGGCAGGTGTGTGTCTGCCTTGGGGTGTTCGGGGACAATAGGCCTCTCTGTTCAGGTCCCCGTGTGCTCAAATCCTCAAGAAGGAGCCCACCACTGGTTGGAGGTCAGGACTTCAGAGATCCAGTCAGGGGTGGGGCCACTGAGTCTGGCCCCTTGTCATCTGGGAGGGGTAGTGGAATGGGGCTCACCAGACTGGAGTGTGTCTGGGAGTGCAGTGCGTGTGGTTTGGCTGTTCTCTGGAGCTCTTGGGTGCGGGAGAGCCTTGGGATGACTTTGTCTTGCAGGATGGAGATGGATGAGGACCCGGATAACCTGCCTGCCCAGGGGCAAGGCAATATCATCATTACTAAGTATGAGCAGGTACAAGTTGGGCCGCTCCCTCAAGGGAAGCAGGGCCTCGCCTCTCCCGCTGTGCCCTGGTCACAGGGTCCTGGGCTTCCTAAGATCACAGGGTGGGGAGGGGCTGCCCACCTCCCTGGGCCTCCCACACCTCTCACCTTACCCCCACTATCCTGGCCTCCTCTGGGTTTCAGGGACACCGAGCTGGGGCAGCAGTGGACTTGGGGCATGAGCAGGTTGATGTCAGAAAATACACCAATAACCTCGGGATTGTGCAGTAAGTCCTCTGTCCCCCCGACCCCAGCCACCAATCTCACCTCAGGGATGGGTTTTGTTTTTAGAAAGGCCTCTCTGAAGCAGGACATGTCTCCCTGGCTGGGCCAACCTCCTCTCCAGGGTCAGAACTCCTCCCAGGCTCTCCTGTCGGTCCAGCCTGTGGTCAGGGTTAGGGCACAGCCTCATGACACATTTAGGGAGCTCAGGAGAGGGGGTAGGGACAGAGAGGGGACCAGAGCAGGCCCGTGGGCTCTCAGCACTGTGGTCTCCAAGTAAGCTGGAGAGGAGGGGCAGCCTGAGGATCTGGCCCTGTTCCCTTGGGGCCTGCCTTGGTGAGATCTGAGGGTTGTGGCCACAGGGCAAGAGGGCACCTGGCCTGGCCTCTGGGCAGTTGTATAGCAGATCTCTGAGGGCTCAGGGGGCTCAGCCATGAGGAAGGGGCATAGGGACAGTGAGGGCCTTGGCCCTGGCCCTGGTAGGTTGTGGAAGAAGAAGGGCAGGGCCCTGGCCTGGGCTTCTCACTGAGGCCAGGGGGACAACAGAGCATGCAACTGAAGGCCCCGGGAGTGGTGCAGGGAAGGGACCTGGGCCTGGTAATGGGAGCCCAGCCTGAAGCCGGCCCCTCATGACTCACAGGATGGAGAGAGGGAGGAGCCTGGGGGAGGGGGGCAGGGTGAGCCCCTGAGACCTGCCACTTCTGGAAGGCACCTGAACCAAGCCAGACCCGGGTGGAGCTGACAGCCTGGGGAGGACAACAGATGGGGTGGGCAGGGAACAGTGGCTCACCTGGGACCCCTCAGTGGGGGAACTTGGTCAGTCCCCAAGGCTCTGCATGGCCCTCCAGAGATTCTGCTTCCCGCTGGCTCAGTCAGCACTGCGCAGGGTGGATGGAGGGGCCAAGTCAGGGCAGGCAGGACAGTAGGGGAGGACAGCCAAGCATCCCATGTCCTGGTTTTTGCAGTGGCTGGGAGGAGGCTGAGGGCTGAAGGCCAATGACCCTGAGAGCCAGCTGAGGCTGGAGCAGGAGTGCTGGGGCCAGCCCCACTGCCTGCAGGGCCCTTGGTCATCCTTGCTGCCCTGAGTGTCTCCCCAGCAGTGCTGGGCAGCCCAGTCAGAGAGTGGCCAAGGCGTGGGTGTGGACGGATCTGGGAGGTCTCACTCAGAGGTTCTGAAAGGACAAGGGTCACAGAAGGGCCAGAGTGGCCGGAGAGAGGGTCATAGTGTCTGGGCTGGGCAGGATGGGGGAAGATGGGGAGCAGGCAGGGTGAGCGGCCAGGATGCAGGGAGAGGCAGGTGCACGCTGGGAGGTCAGACCTTGCAAGGCCCATGGGGAGTGTCAGATGGGATGGGCTCCAGGTGCATCCTCAGGGCACTGGGCAGCTCTCAGGCCAGGCTCCCTGGACTCTGGTGGGTGATGTGGTCACTCCTGAGGTACTGCTGTTAGTCAGGGCTTGGCCACCCACCCTGGGTGGCACCCATCCCATCTCAGAACTGGACTTTCTTAGCGTCCACAGAGGGTGTCACCTCCAGCCCAGGTGGAGCAGCACCGTTGTGCAGCCCAAGGCACCCCACGGGCTTCAAGTGTCCCCCCCACCCAGGGCCAGCTTTGAGCTTCTTCTTCACCAAGGTCCCAGTGCCTTGCTAGTGTCAGATCCGCAGGGAGGCCCTTGCCTTCCTTCTCTGTGCCTTGTCCCAGGCTGAGACTTAGGGTGGATGGGGGTAGGCTGGTCCTTCCCTGGGGCCCTCTCAGGGAGAGGGATGGCTCCTGGCCTGGGCAGGTCCTCAGCTCTGCCTGGGTTGCCTTACAGTGAGATGGAGCTGCCCCGCGTCAGTGCCCTGGAGGTGAAGGTAAGAGCCTGTGCCTGCTGCGTGGGAGGCTGCTTCAGGGACTGGGAATCGGGTGATCGGTAAGGCAGAGGGGGTGGCCTGTGGGCCTGTGTGGTGGTGAGTGGGCCACGGCTGTCACTGGGAGGGGTGGCCTTTCCTGCTGGACTCTGTTCCCATGAGGGCTTGACCAAAACCCAAACCAAGAACTGTAGTCCTGGCTCAGAGTCCACTGCCTGTTTGAACCAAGACCCCAGCTGAAGGCTGGACCTGACCAAAACTTGGGGCCTCTATGGCCTGAGGATGGCATGTCCTGGCATCACCAGTCCAGACTACCAGCTCCAGTTCCTTCAGAGGGTCTCAGCCCCTGGGGCCTGCCCTTTCCTGGCTTCTTCAGGTTGGGTCCCTTCAGGGCCCCAAAGCCCTGGACCCAGCATCCACGGGCCACTGTCAGACGACTGACAGCTCCGCTAACTCCATCATGGCTCATTTGACAGCAAAGACGCAAGGAAAGTAAACGTACCAACAAGTGGCAAAAGATGCTTGCAGACTGGACAAAATATAGGAGCACCAAGAAGGTAACATGGGGAGGAAGCGGCCCCCGTGACTGCTCTCTGCAGAGCCAGGAGACAGGCGCCCATGGTTTTGGCCTGGGTGGGTGCCTCTCAGTGGGTGGGTGGTACCCCATCCTTGCCATAGGACTGCAGGCCTGTTCGCCAGCTTTCCTCTGCGGGGTTGCCCCATGTCCTTTCTCACTGGAGTGTTCTTCTGTCTGTAGCTGTCTCAAAGAGTATGCAAAGTCATTCCCCTGGCGGTGCGGGGCCGGGCGTTGTCACTTTTGCTAGATATTGACAAAATCAAGTCCCAGAACCCAGGCAAATATAAGGTAAGTCCCTCCCACACTCAGCTAGGGCAGTACAAACAAGCTAGACTGTATCAGGATCCCAGGACTCCAGCTGGAGGGAACGTTGAGCCTGGGTTGGGGGTGGGGGCTGTGGTCAGATGCACATCCTGGGCATAGATGGTAACTCAGGCACCACAGGTGCGCTGGGCTCTGCTGACCCTCCCTGGCGTCAGAAACAAGGCAAAAAGGAGCTTTCTGCAGAAGGAAACCTTCCTTCCTTCCTTCCTTCCAGAAGTGCTGACTGTGGGATGACTGCCGTTTGGGGCAGGGAGTCTTTTGTCTGTTCTGAGGCTGCTTCCTCCTCTTGGCCCCGCCCTACAGGTCATGAAGGAGAAGGGCAAGAGGTCCTCCAGAATCATCCACTGCATCCAGCTAGATGTCAGCCACACCCTGCAGAAACACATGATGTTCATACAAAGATTCGGAGTCAAGTAAGGCCAATGGGGCTTGCAGGGGTCCCAGAGAAGATGGGGCAATCCAGAGGAATGAGGTTGTCCCCAGGGCAGAGGCCAGGGTCACCCAGGAGAGGTGACAGAGCCACCAAGGGCTCTCCTGGCCCAGGGAGCAGCCGGCACCATGGACTGAGCACCTCCCGGCTCTAAGCCCTGGGCCGGGCTGGGACATGTAGGGCCAGAACCCAGGTGACTCCCAAGGAGACGGAAGGCAGAAAAAAAAAGAGTCATGCAGATGGTGAAAAGTGCTCTCCATGACCCACAACTATCCAGGATAGGGACCCATGGGAAGGTGGCACGATGGCAGGGCTTGGGAGCCTTCCCAGGCAACACTGACTGCCCAAAATACTAGAAAGGATGCGGGGCCCCGGAAACTCTCATCCATGGCTGGTGGGAACGTGACAGGGCACAGCCATTTTGTAAGTCACATGGGCTGTGGCTCACAAAGCTCAGTGGCCTCGTACCACACATCCCCAAAGTGTGACAGATATTGGCCACACTGATTTGAAAACTGACGTCCAAGTAAAACCCGCATGTGACGTTCACCGCTTGATTGGTTGTAACTCACACCCGGAGGCTACGGAGATGATCTTCAACATGGGAACTCGGGAGGAAGGGGGTTCCACTCTTCAGACAGAGGCGACTCAGTGAGGAAAAGGAACGAACCCCTAATGCCTGCAGGAACATGGGTGGATCTTAGATGAGTATTGCTGAGGGAATGACGCCAGACCCAACAGGCTACCACCATGGGATTCCAATTCATTGGCCATTCTGGGAAAGGGCAAACCATAGAGACAAAGAACAGATCAGGATGGCCAGGGGCTGACAGAGCCGGGAGACGTTGCCTGCAAAGGGGACATGCTAGGGACTTGGAAGATGAAGGAGCCGCTCTGGGAGGGGCTGCAGTGGTGGACGGGAGGCTCTGCACATTAGTTCAGAATCGTGGAACTGCACGTCCCAAAGACTGGACTTCTGTGTGTGCAAACTGAGAAAAAGGGGAAGAAAAAATCAACCAGAGTGAAAAATGATCACTGATCCAACTGTACACCTACGACATTGCATTGCAAGGAATGTGGATTTTACTGAAAAAAAATTCCTAAAAACTCAGGTGTCCTAAAGAGCTCACTGCTTATTTGGGGGGATCATCTGAACCCAGAATTGTGTTCGTTATTTGGGTTTGTAGACAAAATGAAATTGACAGCGTCTGCACAAAAAAAACAAAACCCTCTTTCCCCTCTTTTCTAGGCAGCAGGAATTATGTGACATCCTCGTGGCCTATTCTGCATATAACCCTGTGAGTATTCCCGGGCAGCGATATTCCTGGTACCTGTGCCCATATTCACAGGCATGGGTGTCTCTCGGGGGTGTTGCAACTTCTTGAAAATTCAGCGTTTGTCCACCAGGACGTAGTAGGCAGGACTTCAGCTCGCTGCTGGCAGAAAAGGGTTGAAGCCCAGACTCCTGGTCTCACATGGACCCAATCACCACATCTCAGATGAAGAAATGACCTTCCCCTCCTGGTGTTGCCCCAAAGCCTAGGAGCTTGGCAGGGTCCCACACAGGATGGTCCTTGTAGGAGACAGGTTTGACAAGTTGCTGAGGTGCCTGATGGGCCAGGCACTTGTCATGAAATGAGTTTGCATCCTGGGGGAGCCTCTTCTTCACTGGAAACCTGGCAAGGATCCAATTTCCCCTTTGCCTGATCCCCACAGGAGCATAGCAGATAGGGAGGGGGGTCACCCAGGTGGCTCTTCCTGCTTGGCCCCCACTTTCCAGACCATTCCAGGCAGGGAGAGCTGCTGAGCTGACTGCATGAGCTGCCCACATGGAGGACCCAGCCACCCCTTATGTTCGGCAGGCAGCCCTTGGGCTGTTGCAGGACCGTGGCCAGTTCTTGGTATTGCTCAAGTCCCCTGGGCCTTCAGACTGGCGGGTGACTTCAAGGGAGCAACCATCCTGGGCCTCTCCTGGGACAAACACTTGCCTTCACCCACTATCGATGTCTTGCTCAGCCCTCAGAGGAGCGTGGTTGGCGTGGATTACTTCATGCCTTGATTCTGCCTTCCCGGAAACCACGGTGGCAGCAGGCTTGGATGTCACCAAGTCACCGTGTTTCATGCTATTTCTGGAGGTTCTCGCCTTTGTGGCCTCGGAAAGGAAGGCGATCTGGTGCTTTGGGGAAAGCCCTCGGGATGCTCCTCCAGATGGTCTTCTTCAGGCCTTTTGCTCAGCATTGGTCTGATCAGTTCTGCCAGCTCTGGGCCATGATCTCTTGGCACTGGCGCGGCTTTCCTTCAATAATTCCATAAACTCCAGACTTCGTGTCTTTTGCATGGAAAGCACGCGGTGCCCATTTCATCGACACCGCACCCCGGAGTCCAAACGTCAGCCCTGCGGGTGTTGGGTTTGTTAGGGACAATTTCGGGCTCAGGTGCAGGGGGCGCTTCCCCAGCGCGGGCGCTTCCTGGGCCCCATCTGAGGCCGTGGGCTCCTGGCAGGAGGACCTGGAGTTTTCAGATCCCCGGGAAGGATGCATTTCCCCCACTCTCGGGCACAAGCTGCCCTTTGCTGGCGTTGGGCACGGATCATGGCCTCGCAGAAGCCCGCGACAGCGTGGAGCAGGTGGTGCCCCCGCCCGGGACTCCTGGTGGGTGATGGCTCCGGGAGGCCTTGGCTGGGACAGAGTGGGGCCTCCGGGTCGGTCAGCGGCCCGAGCCCGGCTGCGGCTCTCGGAGGCTTGGGTTTGGAAGACACCGCCTGCCATCCCGCGGCGCCTCTCGGGGTCCGCTCCCCCGGACTGGCCCTGCCCACCGCGCGCGAGTAGTAGCGGGCGGCCAGGAGTCAGTGGCAGGCGCGGCCGGTGGGATGCCGGGTAGGAGGCTGCGCTGGAGCCCGCTGGGCAGCGCCGACCCCTAAGGCAGCCGGGCGGGTGAGCGAGCAGAGGCGTGGGCGGCTGAGGGGCTGAGGGGCTGAGGCGGCTGAGGCGGCTGAGGGGCTGAGGAGGCTGAGGGGCTGAGGGGCTGAGGCGGCTGAGGGGCTGAGGGGCTGAGGGGCGGGCAGCCTGGCCGGTCCCTGCCGCAGGGTCCACCGCACGTCACGTGGCCGAATCCCTCGGGCTGCTTTCTCTCTGGGCTGTTTTCTTACTGTGAACCTCGTGGGCTCCTGCTCGGTGTCCTTTCTTACTCTGTCTCTGTTTTTGCATTCTATTGGCAAGTATTTTATTTAGGATATTTTACTGATATAACTGAGGATGAACTGTGTTTTGCAGCATTTTGTTTTATTACGCGTTTTCTCCTAGATTTTGGTATCATTTTTATGCTGACTTGATTAAACATTTTGGAAACTTTCCTGGAACTGATAGCTTTTATATGATCTTTTTCTTGAGGTAATAAAATAATTTACTTTGAAATGTCTCAGCCTAACAACTTTTGTGCTTTTGTTGTTTTGTGCAGAGGTGGGAAGACTCCTTTGCATTTTTGGTATCACTTCTGTGTTAATGATTTTGTTGTTTGTTTCGCAAAATCACTTAGTGATCCGTGTTTTCCAACTTAAGAGTTAACATGTACCATTTTGTGAAATAAAAAAAGTCTCGTATATCTCTTTGTATGTCTCTTTTCGTTTGTCATATTTGGAATTGCCTTTTTTTTTTATCATTAGTTTAAAGCAGGAATTTATTAAATATTCCAAAAAGACCGAAGTTTTACTTCATCTCCTAGGCATTCATTTTTCAGTGTGTTATTCACTGATTTCTCCATGTTCATTAATATTTGGAATAATTTATGTAAATTGATTATTGCTGCGTTATGAGCTTATGGAGCAACATTCTTTGTCTTCAGTATTTTAATGTATTTTTCTATTAAATATACTTCAGTCACTTATACCATATTTAGGATTATTTTCCTAATTCTAGACCTACTAATTATAAACTGGAATGCTGATAATTTTCCCTAAGCTTCAATTGTTTATAATTTATTCATTTATTTATGACAGATGGGCATAAAACTACTTTATTACAAAGATTTAATGATGTGTAGAGATTTTATACTATGTGCTTGGACACAAACACTCTTAAATAATTGTTTATTTTTTCCACCTGCTTTTGACATAATGAAAGTGCATTTTTAATTTTTTAATTTTTTTATTTAGTTGTAACAGACTTTAGCATGTAATGGTCCCAGATTCTTTTGTTATCTGTTTTATAGCCACATTGTTTATTCTGTTGTCATTATATAGTATTTACATGCTGTATTAGTCTGCTCAGGCTGTTATAACAAAATACTATAAACAGTGCTTTCAACAACAGACATTTATTTTTCACAGCCCTGGAGGCTGGGAAGTCTGTGACCAAGACAATGGCTGATTTGGTTCTTGAGCAGGCTTTCTGTCCTCTTCTTATAAGGGCATTAATTCCATCATAAGGACCCCACTCTCATGACCTCATGTAAACCTAATTACCTTCAAAGGCCCTATTTCCAAATCCCATCACACTGAGAGTTAGATCTTCAGCACATAAATTCTGGGGGAAACAAATGTTCATGCCATAACACACACTGCTGACCCTTTCTTTCCATTTCCGTAGTTGTTTAGTGTTATTATTTATAATATTTTGGAGGAATACCCTAATTATAGTATGGGTACTTATTAATTTTGTAATACAAAATGCATTTATTAAGCAGTGAAAATGCTAATAAAGTCATATAGTAGTTGCTTCCTATACTATATATATCTTGTGACATTTGAGAAAGATTTTGCATAATATATGTAATGCTATCATTCAAACATCTTTAATAAGTTGGTCAGAAAGAGAAGAATGTTTTCCATCTTCAACCCAACTAAGGATACATTCCAGGTCCAAATCACCAAATACATGAACTTAGATTTAAATGTTTGTAGTCAGGCATTCAACTGTTTAATTACAGTCCACCCGGAACACACATTTTATTCTCAGTTCTCATATCAGCAGGGCATTGATAACGTGTATTTGTCTAATGGCAAGTCCAAGCATTAGCTTTTGATAGCATCTTAACCCAATTTGACATTTCTGTGTGTGCTTAAGTGTCCAGACAAGCATTCACCAATGCTTTTTGTGATGTTGGAAATGTTCTCTATGCTACGAAATGTGCTAACCACTACCCACATGTGGCTTTTGAGAAGTTGAAAGGTAGCTAGTGTGACTAACCAAATTTTTATATTATTGTAATTAATTTAAATTTAAATGTAGTAGCCATGTGTGGCTATTGGACAACGTACCTCTAGGTCATTATCACTGGTATCTGGATAGATCAGACAACTCACAGAAGCCTCACACTTAACCCCATTCTTCTTAATGTCAAAGCATGGGGCCTGCTACTTCATCTCTCTACACTTTTGAATTATCCCTCATTTTTTACCCTAACATAAGTCAAGGTGGATATTATGCCAAACATTACAGAAAAGTAGTGACAGGCCAGGCCTGGTGGCTGTAATCCCAGCACTTTGGGAGGCTGAGGTGGGTGGATCACGAGGTCAGGAGTTCGAGACCCACTTGACCAACATGGTGAAACTCCGTTTCTACTAAAAATACAAAAATTAGCCGGGCCTGATGGTGTCCACCTGTAATCCCAGCTACTCTGGAGGCTGAGGCAGGAGAATCCCTTGAACCTGGGAGGCAGAGGTTGCAGTGAGTTGAGATCACGCCACTGCACTCCAGCCTGGATGACAGAGTGAGATGCTGTCTCAAAAATAAAAAAGTAAAGAAAAAAGAAAACTAGTGACAAAATCAGTAACTTAGCAGTTTTCCTTGAACTCTTCGATGTAGTCCAGTAAATAATCTTGTGGGGTTTTTTGTTTGTTTTTTGCTTTTTTTTTTTGGACAGAGTCTGGCTCTGTCACCCAGGCTGGAGTGCAATGGCGTGATCTTGGTTCACGGCAACCTCTGCCTCCCGGGTTCAGGTGATTCTCCTGCCTCAGCCTCCCGAGTAGCTGGGATTACATAATCTTGTGTTTTTTTTATGATCTCTATATGTTGATTTTATTATCTTTAAAATGATAACACTAGGAAGACCTACTTCATATTATTTTATTTTTTTAAGACATGGTCCCACTCTGGCACCCAGGCTGGAGTGCATTGGTCCTAACAGGGCTCACTGCAGCCTCAACCTTTCAGGTTGCAGTGATACTCCCATCTCAGCCTCCCAAGGAGTTGGGACTACGGCTGGGTGCCACCAAGCCCGGCTAATTTTTAGATTGTTTTATAGAGACAGGGTTTCGCCATGGTGTCCAGGCTGATCTCCAATTCCTGAGCTCAAGAGATCTGCCCACCTTGGCCTCCAAAAGTGCCGGGATTACAAATGTGAGCCATCGTCCCCCACCCTCTATAATTTTAAATTAGGCAACTGAAGTAATGCATACAGCATACCACATCATGTTTTATAAAGCATAAAGTCAGGATAATAAGGTGGTTAAGAGCATGAGCTCAGAGGTGAAATCATGCTGGAAACAGTTACTTTTGGTAAGAAGAGCAACACTTGGAATAGAAGATAAAATGATCTTTGAATTATTTGCAATGTTTTCATTTTTACAAAAATGTTTATGTTTGCATTTAATGTGAAGGGGAAATTTTAAAAGAACTATTTTAAATAATACAAAATATTTATATCATCACTTTTTTTTTTTTTTTGAGACACAGTCTCGCTCTGTCACCCGGTTGGAGTGCAGTGGCACGATCTCAACTCACTACAACCTCCACCTCCTGGGTTCAAGCAATTCTCCTGCCTCAGCCTCCCGAGTAGCTGGGATTACAGGCGCCCACCACCACGCCTACCTAATTTTTGTATTTTTAGTAGAGATGGGGTTTTGCCATGTTGGCCAGGCTGGTCTCAAACTCGTGACCTCAGGTGATCTGCCACCTTGGCCTCCCAATGTGCTGGGTTTACAGGTGTGAGCAACCATGCCCGGCCTATCATTACCTCTTTGTTTATTAAAGGGTTACATTAAAATGAGGATTTAAAATATCATTTAAATTATTCAAATTGTTATTCAAAATTTGAGAAGGAAATACTGGGTTACAAAATAGGCATTATTTGTAAGTTCTGTGTCCTGCTCTGAGCATAAGTGGTCTGATATTAGGAAAGTCAATAATTACCTTAGTAGTACTTTCTTTTCAAATACCATAAATAAATAATGTAATTACATGTATCATTTAATCATTACATGTGGTAAATCAGTGACACACACACACACACTTACACACACAGAGTGAATTTACCAGATGCATCCCATCAGTCTGGCAAAATGCCCATGATTAATAAAATATGTGTGGAGACATATTGGTCCCTACTCTTCAAAGTAAAATTCAAGTGTATATGGATATATTATCTTTACCTTTGAAACCGAAAGTAAGGTAATATTCTACCTTTTGAAGGGATAATCATTCTAAGTTTTAACTATGAGAATATTTCTATCATTCACTTACCTATTTCACAATTCTGAGACAGCCTGAAACAAAATGAACAAGAATAAACCATATGTATTAACATATATTACCTTATATAAAAAATATTTTGACTGTACTTCTGCCCTTTATTAAGACATATGCCAACTAAATATTATTTTAAAGGAGCTATAGATGATGATGAAATAATTTTCAAGTACAGTTTTTAAAAAAGCTACATCTACTCTTGCTGCTCCTGTCATAGCCTAGATTTATAGCTAATTTTCATGAGTTACAGTTTTGTATTACACATCCTCCCAACCATGCCATTTCCCAGCTTTTAAAATAACTTAATGATTTTTAATAGGAATGTAGACAAAGTATTGCTGCCTCTTATCAGAATTTACTGGCACCTTTGCCCACAAATTGGAGGTAAAATATGTCACTGTGACCCTTATTGGTATCCCTGATGTGTGACATCAATTGCACATTTTCTTTCCTCTGATTTTATGTGTATGTTTTGTAGATCAGACAAACCTGGGACATGTCATCCAGGCACGGTGGCTCATGCCTGTAATCCCAGCTATTCGGGAGGCTGAGGCAGGAGAATGGCTTGAACCTGAGAGGTGGAGGTTGCCATGAGCCAAGATTGCGCCATTGCACTCTAGCCTGGGGGAGAAGAGCAAAACTCCGTCTCAAAAAAAACAAACCTGGGACATGTCAAAATTTCTCTAATGAAATACTTGTGTTTACCTAAAATAAATTCCTATTAGAACAATAAAAGTGAGAAACAAAACAAACGCAAAATGGAAACAATTTGTATAACCTGGCAAAAGGCAGTAACATTAACCTATATTTAATGTATTTAATGAACACATCGAAACTCAAACCAATAATTTATCATTGTAGTAAAAATATACAACAGAAATTATGAGATGGTTTCATCAGTGAAAAGCACTGTGTATACAATCATTCCCTAGGTGACTTCATATTTCTCTAGACCAATTCTAATAATTTGCTCATAATAGTATAAATGAAACTGTTTTCCAAATAATATTAATGTCTACCTTCGCCTATCACCATTGTGTCAATATTTGTGTGATTCTATAAAATTTAGAATGTGTAGAAGGATGCCTTTGCTTTTGCAATACAAAAAATGGCCTAACACAGATATAGTTGATAAAGATATAGATAGATAGGGGGTTGCATTTTGAAATTTATTTCTTCAAGGGACTTATTTCAAGTTTGAAATTATTCTGGTTTTAAAATTAACAAATGATAAACCTTATAGAATGATAACACAATTGTACATGTTATAAGGTCACAGCGTATATCAAATGATGAATCAATCATTTTGTGTTGAGGTTTGGTAGTATTTATTTATTTTTTATTTATTTATATTTTTTTTTACTGAGACTTCAATTTGAGAACAGTTTTTATACGGAGGGGCCCTACCACTGCCGCTTACTGGGGCTGTTCTCAGACTGTGAGATTCTGCCCACACCAAGCCAGGATGAGAGTTTTATTCCTCATACTGCTCTCAGTACTTGTTTGCATCCCATAATATCCCCCCAAAAGTTCATTTTTTATGCTGTTATTCGCTTACATTTAATACATGTATCAAAAAGTCATTTTTTTTTTTTGAGACGGAGTTTTGCTCTTTTTGCCCTGCCTAGAGTGCAATGGCGCGATATCGGCTCACCACAACCTCCGCCTCCTGGGTTCAAGCAACTCTCCTGCCTCAGCCTCCCAAGTAGCTGGGATTACAGGTGCCCGCCACCACACCTGGCTAATTTTGTATTTTTAGTAGGGACAGTGTTTCATTATGTTGGTCAGACCAGCCTGGCCAACATGATGAAACACTGTCCCTACTAAAAATACAAAAATGAGCCAAGTGTGGTGGCACGTGCCTGTAATCCCAGCTACTAGGGAGGCTGAGGCAGGAGAATTGCTTGAACCCAGGAGGCAGAGGTTGCAGAGAGCCGAGATTATACCACTCTGCACTCCAGCCTGGGCAACAGTGAGACTCCATCTCAAAAAAAAAAGGAATGTATAATAGTTCTCATTATCTCCCCAATAAATCTCTGCAGTAGAGATTTTGACCTTGTGAGGGAAGTACTGACCTTGTGAAGGAAGTATAAGTGGTGAGGGAGGGAAGGTGAATTTGAAAACACCATTTGGAATTATTGCACTTTAAAGGTAAAGCTGGTAGTTTTTCCATACACGTCAGATCTGAAAATGTGTGTGTGTGTATGTGATGGAGAGATAGAGAGGGAATGAAAACCAGACAGATATAGAGAGAACTAAAAGGGGACATCAAGAATATTCAGCTGAGAAATTATAAAATGGGAGTTGCCGCTAAACAGAAAGCGGAAGACCAAGTTTGGGGAGTACTGGTGGCTCCATGTGGACATTCATTTTGAGATTCCTAAATGATACCCAAGTGAAGAAGTCAGACGGTGTTGGGTGTAGTCTAATGTTGAGGTGTAATATGAAATATCAGGGAATTAAAGCATAAAAATTAGTAAGAAAGCAAAGATAAGAAAGATAAGTCCAAGTCCTGAGCCTAGTGGTTCTCTAACATTAAAAAAGTAGTAAAGATGAGAAGAAACCAGCAAAAAATGACTAGGAGTAATTATCAAAAATGTTGGGGAAAGTAGGTTAAGTGTTCTGGAATTCTATCAAAGAAGTTTTGCAAAAACGAGGGAGAGATTGACTGTGTCAAATGCTGCTGATACATAAATTAAGACAAAGGCTGGGGAATTATGCTTTAATTAATAATTTAACAATGTGAACATGGTTTGTGCTTTGATAAGAGCAATTTTGTTGGAGTGAGTAGGTGAGAAACCATTTTGGAGTGGTGGCTCAAAGGAATGTCAGATCTCTGTATTCTTTTTTTTTTTTTGAGATGGAGTTTTGCTCTTATTGCCCAGGCTGGAGTACAGTGGCACGATCTCAGCACACTGCAACCTCCGCCTTCTGGTTTCAAGAGATTCTCCTGCCTCAGCCTCCCGAGTAGCCGGGATTACTGGCACACGCCACCACACCCAGCTAATTTTTTGTAGTTTTTTAGTAGAGACGGGGTTTCACCCTGTTGACCAGGCTGGTCTCGAACTCCTGACCTCAGGTGATACACTCGCCTCTGCCTCCCAAAGGGCTGGGATTACAGGCATGAGCCACCGCGCCCGGCCCTTTATCCAGTCTACTATTGATGGACACCTAGGTTGATTTCATGTCTTTGCTATTGTGACTAGCACTGTGATGAACATAAGTGTGCATGTGTTTTTGGTAGAACGATTTCTTTTCTTCTGGATATATACCCAGTAATGGTATTGCTGAGTCAAATGGTAGTTCTGTTTTAAGTTCTTTGAGAAATCTCCAGATTGCTTTCCACAGTAGCTGAACTAATTTACATTTCCACCAAAAGTGTATTCCCTTTTCTCCACAGCCTTGTCAGCATCTGTTATTTTTTGACTTTTTATCAATAGCCGTTCTGACTGATGTGAGATGATGAAATCTTTAAAAGTGAAGCTCTATAGTCTTCCCCAGTTATTAGAAAGTGTTCTTCCTCAGCCACCGTGTAAGGAGAGCATCTTAGCCAGCCCAATTGCAGGCGCGAGTGACTCCCCAGAAAAGGAATTAGGTGAAGGATGATATGTGACATCGCTGTCATAAAAATGGCCATAACATGTGTCCCTAGGGCTGCTGTGTCTTTATAAGGCCATGTAGTCTGTGAGGGGTGTTGCTCACTGAGTGCCAGCGTGCCCACCAGGACAGCCGCTGCGGGACTGGGTGCTGCATGTCCCTGTGGAGGGAGGTCACCACACAGCAATTCCTGAGGCATGGCTGGGCCTACTCTGCAAGTGTAAACTTGATGAGCTGTGCTTAAATAGCTAATTTGTGCTTGATTATGTGAATGCAATTTTTTTCATATTTACTGTATGTATTTACTGTTTACCATTCTGGGCATTTTTCATGTATGGACTTGTTGGACCCTCACAGAGGTCCTGTGAGGTGGATGCACTCTGCAGGAGGAAACTGAGACACATGGCTTATGAGCAGGAAAGGCAAGAGGCAAGGCCAGGCAGGCAGCTCCAGAGCCCATGCCCTCAACCACCCTGACAGCTCTACCTTCTGCACATATCTGGTTAGATTTAGACCTTAGTCGGTTTTTTTTCGGGTTTTTTTTTTTGTTTTTTGTTTGGTGCTGTCGCAATTGGTATTGTTTTTCTTATTACCAAATCCAATTGTTCAATCGGTATATGGGACAGCAATTGACGTTTGTATGCTGACTTTGTATCCTGAGACTTAGCTAAACCTGCATGTAAACAAACACTTTGGGATTTTCTAAGCAATCATGTCATCTGCAAATAAAGGCAGTTTTATGTCTTCCTTTCCAATCTGCATGCCATTTATTTCTTTAACGTGCCTTTTTGCACTAGCTAGAACTTCCAACACCGTTTTTTGTTGTTGTTGTTTTTGGTTTTGTTTTTGAGATAGAGTCTGTGAAACAGCACTCATGACAGGCAGGCTAGGCGCCGCCACCCCGAAACCTCCGAGGGAGGACCAGCCAGCCCAGGTTGGCGCTGGAGCTGCAGCACCACCTGCAGGCCAAGGAGTCTTTTTCTGGGAGGCTGGAGCTACAGCGCCACCTGCAGGCCAAGGAGTCTTTTTCTGGGAGGCTGGAGCTGCAGCGCCACCTGCAGGCCAAGGAGTCTTTTTCTGGGAGGCTGGAGCTGCAGTTGCAGTGAAGTCACAGGTTCCGTGACGTCACAGGTGGGCAGGCGCACTGGTCTGTAACGGATTGGCTTGGCCTTACCCGCGAGGCTTTGCGGTGGCTGCTTGGCTTGGCGGTGGTCGCTTGGCTTGGCGTGGCAGTGATCGCTTGGCTTGGCATTTCTGGCTTGGCGGTCCTCCTTTCGCAGATTGGAAACCGCGGGCTATCCTGCTGGGAGGTTGTGGCCGAGGCAGTAGCTCGCTACTGATGGCCTCCTGGGGTGGAGAAAAGCGGGGAGGGGCTGAGGGGTCTCCGAAGCTGGCAGTCTACGCCACGAGGAAGACCCGTAGCGTCAGGAGCCAGGAGGACCAGTGGTACTTGGGCTACCCGGGGGACCAGTGGTCTTCGGGCTTCTCCTACAGCTGGTGGAAAAATAGCGTCGGCAGCGAGAGCAAGCACGGTGAGGGCGCCTTAGACCAGCCCCAGCACGACGTCCGCCTGGAAGATCTTGGCGAGCTCCACAGAGCTGCCCGGTCGGGCGACGTCCCTGGGGTGGAGCACGTCTTGGCTCCTGGAGACACTGGCGTGGACAAGAGGGATAGGAAGAAGAGGTAATGGCCAGGTGAAGGATGCGGGTGCGCCGTCCTGTCGGGGACACTGGCTTTCTGGTGCCCGGAGGCCCCATGGCACCCGGGATGGGGAAACGTCAGAGGGGTCAGGGGCCCAGGCCTCTTAGTGAGACGGGATCAAATATAAAGGATTATTACTATTGCAAAAGTGTTGGTCTACTTTACAGGAGTTTTCTTTAAAAATATTGCACTTCCCAACTGTGTTTATCCATTTTCTCAATTTATTCATCAAACATAAGCTGAATACATATTATACAGCAGACATATTCTACTGTCGCTCAGGTTCCTTCCACCCTTAAGAACTTCATGTTGGCCGGGCTCGGTGGCTCATGCCTGTAATCCCAGCACTTTGGGAGGCCGAGGAGGGCAGATCACGAGGTCAGAAGTTCGAGACCAGCCTGACCAACATGGTGAAACCCCGCCTGTTATGCTTTTGTCTCAGCCTAGACTTAGCTAAGACCTTCATGATAAATTATCCTTTAGGCCCTCGGGGTTCAGTTCAAATAATGTTGCAGAAAGAGATGAGTTTCCTTTTTTCATTGCTACCAGATCTGTATGCTGAGGACTCTTTTCTTTTTTTTTTTTTTTTTTTTTTTGAGACGGAGTCTCGCTCTGTCGCCCAGGCTGGAGTGCAGTGGCGGGATCTCGGCTCACTGCAAGCTCCGCCTCCCGGGTTCACGCCATTCTCCTGCCTCAGCCTCCCGAGTAGCTGGGACTACAGGCGCCCGCCACTACGCCCGGCTAATTTTTTGTATTTTTAGTAGAGACGGGGTTTCACCGTTTTAGCCGGGATGGTCTCGATCTCCTGACCTCGTGATCCGCCCGCCTCGGCCTCCCAAAGTGCTGGGATTACAGGCGTGAGCCACCGCGCCCGGCCGGACCCTTTTCTTAGATCGTGGAATGTCCCATATTATCGTTTCCCAGATTTGTGACAGGAAGCCCTCACCAGAATTCTGAGTCTCAAGTATGTTAGCTGGATTTAACAGAGCCAAGTCTCATCCATGACTCATGAATATCCATGTATAAAATGAGAGCTTTGGCAGGGTGCAGTGGCTCATGCCTGTAATCCCAGCAATTTGGGAGGCTAAGGTGGGCGGATCACGAGGTCAGGTGATTGAGAGCATCCTGGCTAACACGGTGAAACCCCGTCACTACTAAAAAATACAAAAAAAATAGCCGGGCGTGGTGGTGGGCGCCTGTAGTCCCAGCTACTCAGGAGGCTAAGGCAGGAGAATGGCATGAACCCGGGAGGCGGAGCTTGCAGTGAGCCGAGATCGCGCCACTGCACTCAAGCCTGGGTGACAGAGCGAGACTCAGTCTAAAACAAACAAACAAACAAAACTTGCTTCAGCAGCAAACATATACTAAAATTGAAACAAAATGGCAGCATGGCCCCTGCCTGCATAAGGATGATGCACAGATTTTTGAAGTCCATATTTTGCGCAGTCACTAGAAGTTCATTTGACTATTTGCTGACTACTTCCAAAGACAGTGTGAGTCAAAGCAAACTGGGTATCACCTAATATTAAAATTGTGATTTTTCACTACAAAAATATGCAGTAAGGTGATCAATGGAGCTGAGTAACACGTGGGATGTTGTGTGCAAATATATTGTCAGTATGTATCTCAGAAATGAGAGAATGTCAACTTGCATGTCTTTCATGGAACTGAAAAAAAAAAGTAGAATTTTGTTTTCCATGTCAGTTGGAGATGAACATGGGGATTGAGCATCCTTCTAACAAAGATCTGCCGATTCAGAGTTTGAGTCTGTATGGAACAGTAGTCCAAGCTAGGTCTTGACATCTATTAGCTTTCTCCCCTTGGCGTGATTGATGAGCTCAGTAATAGTGGACAGTGTTGCTATCTAGTTTGATGAAATAATATATTTATAAGTAAATTTAGTTACAAACTATGAACTAGCTGTGATGCCCCAAATTATAAGCCACAAAGAATAGAACTAATAAAACTAGAACTTAATAACAGTTTTGGAAAACTGCAACATTTGAATATTAGAACCTCTGGAAAAAATACACATTGGGTTTTATTTGTGATTCCAAAACCATTTCCTCAATAAAGCTCAAGAACAAATTATTTCATTGCTTCACTGTTTCTCTGAGCATTTACAAAACGTTTTCTTGTTAAATCTTTTTAACAACCTAGTGAAATAAGGCAGGAAAATCCTTGCTTTTTAGAAGAATACATTGAGCCTAAGAGAAGCAACTTGTCAGAGAATAAATAGCTGCTGGTAATAGAGCTAGGATGCTTTCCATTATGCCAAGCTAATGTGAGTTAATTTACTGAGCTATACTCCCTTCAATTCATGAGTACTTCATCTTTTTTTCTTCTTCAGAAGCTTAAAGAGAAGTTGGTAGAACTCACAAATCGAAGTATATGGGATAATTAAAAGCTCTGATATTAACTCTGATATTGTTTGAAATACTCCAAAAATTTAATATATTTGGTATTTTTCATTTGTTTTAAAATAGTAATTTCATTTATTACATTTTTATCCATAGCATTCAGCAACTAGTTCCTGAATATAAGGAAAAACAGACACCTGAAAGTCTTCCTCAAAATAACAATCCAGGTAAGACTTCTGATAGTGAATTATTTTTGGTGGTCCTACCATAGGTAAAAAAGAAGTAAGAGTAAAGAAGTTTTGATCATGAAAGAGCAGTTTTAAAAAATCTTTATTTCTTTCTTGATAGGTTAGATTTCTTGGTAGGTTAGATGTCACAATTATTTAAAAAGTTAATTGTAGGTCATTTATTTTTTCAAACAATCTGGTCTGAAAAAAAATTAATTATGGTCCCTAAAATCCTATGTGATATTTTTGTATAAATAAGAAAAAGTTTTTTTTTTTTTTTTTGAGATGGAGTCTCGCTGTCGCCCAGGCTGGAGTGCAGTGGTGCGATCTCGGCTCACTGCAGGCTCCACCCCCTGGGGTTCATGCCATTCTCTTGCCTCAGCCTCCAGAGTAGCTGGGACTACAGGCGCCCGCCACCCAGCCCGGCTAATTTTTTGTATTTTTAGTAGAGACGGGGTTTCACCATGTTAGCCAGGATGGTCTCGATCTCCTGACCTCGTGATCCATCCGCCTTGGCCTCCCAAAATGCTGGGATTACAGGCGTGAGCCACCGCGCCCGGCCAAGAAAAAGATATTTTTGAGTTAGTAAGTTGTATGTTTTCTTTATAGTCACATTATAATGAATTAGACTTGTTATGAAATTGGAACTTCTATTTAATTTTTAAAATAAATGACTTATGTTTAGTAAATGAATATCAATCACAATTGACCCTTAACAATGTGGAATTTAGGGATGCTTGATTCCCTCTGCAGTCAAACATCTGTGTATAACTTTTGACTCCCCCAAGAACGTAACTACTAATAGCTAACTGTTGACCAGCAGCCTTATTGATAACATAAACAGTCAATTAAGATATGTTTGGTATGGTATATGTATTAATATGCTGTATTCTTACAATAAAGGAAGCTAGGGAAATAAACTGTTAAGAAAATCATAAGGCAGAAAAAATACGCTTACTGTTCATTAAATGCAAGTGGATCATTCTATAACTCTTCATCATAGTCTTCAAGTTGAGCAGGCTAAGGAGAAGGAGGAAGAGGAAGATTGGTCTTCGCTGTCTCAGGTGGTAGAGGTGGGAGAAAATCTGCTCATAAGTAGACCCCTGCAGTTCAAATCCGTGTTGTTCAAAGGCTAACTATATTACATAGTGATTTGTGTCACTAAAAAAAAGAAATTAGTTTCAAAACTGGAAACTCAGCAATACCTTTCTGGCACCATAAACAAATGGCAATAAGAACTGTGAAATGGCCAGGTGTGCTGCCCACACCTGCAGTCCCAGCAAGTTGGGAGGCCTAGGTGGGAGGATCGCTTGTGTCCAGAAGTTCCAGACCAGCCTGGGTGACAGAGTGAGACCACATCTCTACAAAAACAAATACAAAATTAGCTGGGTGTTTTGGTGCACACCTGTAATCCCAGCTACTTGGGAGACTGAGATGGGAGGATCGCTTGAGCCTGGGAGTCAAGGCTGTAGTGAGCTGTGATCATGATCACAACCTGGATGACAGAGTGAGACCCTGTCTCAGAAAAAAACAAAAACAAAAACACAAACAAAACCCTGCCAAACATACCCAATGTGCACTAATACTAATGGGAAATTATTTTTTAAAGAGACCTTCTGAGTGCAGAAGTCAGAAAAGCAATTCCTTGTTGAGAAGAACAGGTCATGTTACATACTTATAAACCAACAAGGTGTCACTATTATTGACTTTCCCCCAATTTGAAATCGAATGAGGTATATTTACTTCATTAGAACAAGATGTGTTTTTCTACCTGCTGGTTAATTGCTATGTTAACAGTAATTTTGTTAGAACAAGATATGCTGTTACCATTAGCCAAAAGATTATCATAATAAATATTCAAATAGCCCAACTCTAGGCTCAACAAATTATAATGAAAGTATAAAAATGTTTCACAATAACAAAAAATGCTTCTGTGCTTCCAAGATGTGATGCCTAATGCATTGGACAATCTGAACTGTAAGAGGACACCTTTAATTTAGTACATATTAATCAAAGAACTTCTCTAAGTTAGGTTTTGCACGTTATGGGAGACAAACATGAAATAGACATAGTTTTGGTCTTTGAGGTGCTCATGATAGAACAGAGCTTTCTCTATTTAATTTCTGTGTTTTTTTCAACAGAATTTTCAAGGAAATCATTTATTCATTTGTCCACTTAACAAATAATTATCAAATGTCTTTTAGTACTAAGCTTTTTTTTTCTAATGTTACAGAATACAGACATTTAAAAATACTGTTGGGGCCAGCACAGTGGTGCATGCCTGTAATCTCATCACTTTGGGAGGCTGAGATGGGAGGATCACTTGAGCCCAGAAGTTCGAGACCAGCCCAGGCAACATGACAAGACCTCATCTCTACTAAATTTTTTAAAAAACAATAAAACATTAGCTGGGCATGGTGCCAGGTGCCTGTACTTCCAGCTACTTGGGAGGCTGAGGTGGGAGGATTGCTTGAGCCTGGCTGTTTGAGGCTACAGTGAGCTATGATCATGCCACTGCGCTCGTGTCTGGGTAACAGAGTGAGACCCTGTCTCAAAAAAGAAAAAAAACAAACCAACAAAACCCAGGAGCTTGTTATTATCATTGTCACTTTAATTATTTGATGAATTATTTATTCAGTGCCTACTACTGTGTTAGATGCCCTCTGGAACCGTATAGTGATCATTTATTATGTTAAATATGTGCCAGACACTTTATGTGGTGAGGAATGAAAGCTGTAAAAAAGTGGGTAAGATTTAAGGTAAGCATGAAGAGTGAGTAGAACTTTTCTAGGTAAAGAGGCAGAAGGATGATGTGGGCAGAAGATTGTGTGTGTGGCAGAAGGAGCAGCGAGTGCAAAAGTAAGATGCTTGAGTGAACTTTGCAGGGTTTATGAGCAGTTCAGTTTTGCCAGTGCAAAACATATGAGATGTGAATGGTTGGGAATGAAGTGAATACCTAAGGCAAGCTCATGACAGACTTTTTTTTGAGACAAAGTCTCACTCTGTCACCCAGGCTGGAGTGCAGTGGCGTTCGCTTGGCTCACTGCAACCTCCGCCTCCCGAGTTCAAGTGATTCTCGTGCCTCAGCCTCCCAGGTAGCTGGGATTACAGGCGCGAGCCACCATGCCCAGCTGATTTTTGTATTTTCAGTAGAGACAGGGTTTCGGCATGTTTGACGGGCTGGTCTCAAACTCCTGACCTCAAGTGATCCACCCACCTCGGCCTCTCAAGTGCTGGGATTACAGACGTGAGCCACCACTCCCTGCCCAGACTTTTTAATACTATAGAAATGAGTAGATCTCGGGCCGGGCATGGTGGCTTATGCCTATAATCCCAGCATTTTGGGAGGCCAAGGAGGGCAGATCACAAGGTCAGGAGATTGAGACCATCCTGGCCAACATGGTGAAACCTGTCTCTACTAAGAATACACATGAAAAATTAGCCAGACGTGGTGGAGCATGCCTATGGTCCCAGCTACTCAGGAGGCTGAGGCAGGAGAATCACTTGAACCTTGGAGGCAGAGGCTGCAGTGAGCCAAGATCGCACCACTGCACTCCAGCCTGGGTGACAGAGCAAGACTCTGTCTCAAAAAAAAAAAAAAAAGAAAAAAAGAAAAAAGAAAGAAATGAGTAGAACTTTTCCTGTAGGCCATGGGAAATTTACCAGGTGGAATGCTTTGGGCTGTAAATACTAGATGACCTAACTAACAGTGGCTAAAACAGTAGGGACCAGAGTTGTTTTGATGGTTCAGTGATAACATGGTGTTTTGTTCATGTCTGTTTTCATGGCTGACTAATTAGCAACAGCTCCAAACATCGTGGTCTCACCGACAATATCTTTACATGTTTCTTTTAGTTAGGGAGAAGACTCAGAAGGGTGCAGTTGACTTCCTGTAACATTTTATTGGCTGGGTCCTACCACATGCTCATTCCTAAAGCAGGCACTGGGGAAGCAAATGTAATTACTATGATGAGCTTAGAATAATCATTTCTTCTTTTGGAGTGGGGAGGGCTATTGGCATGATAAATATCCAAATAGATGCGTGTTTCTCTATTGAGAAACAGGGAATCGCTATTGGGTAGGGAGACAGCAATGTTTACTGTAGGGACTCATTGGAGTGGGGAGTCACATGATTAGATTTGAGTATTAGGGCAATCTGGTTATGGTATAAAGCAGGGATTGGCAAGCATTTTCTGTACAGGGCTTTTTCATGTGGTCTGTCATTCCTACTCAACCCTACCATTGAAGTATGAAAACAGTCATAAAAAGGCAAGCAAATATACATGACTGAGCTCCGGTAAAACTTTATTTACAAAACTATAAGGCAGACTGGATTTGCTCCATGGCCTGTAGTTTGCTGACCCCTCATATGGAGAGCAGCTGGAAGATAACCACATAAAGAGACAGGGAAACAAAAGAAACATTTGCATTTATCAGAGCTATAGTTTCCTTGTGCTGTCCTCAGACTAGTGTCGGTCTGTTGTGAGGTTTTCACCCATCCATGGTGAAATCAGTAAGGTTAAGGAGCTCAGTTACTCATTTAAAAATGTCGGTCTTTTTCTTGGCATGATGCCTTTTTCATTTATTTTACTTAAACTTTTTTTTTCATTTAAGAAATAACATTAATAGTTGTTTTTTCCCTATAAAAGCCAATTCTTAAGAGCCCATGTTTAACTAGGAAATATAAACATAAAATAAATGTGTCACAGTGGAAATATAAAGCAGATGCAGAAAAGAGGTACAGTTAATATGATTTAGTGATTGTTGAATGTAAAAAGATAGGGGATAGGGAGAAATCTCAGATGATTCTCAGGTTTCTGGCTTGTGCCCTAGCATTTAACCTGGACACGAGGGAGTAGGCAGTTTTCAGGTGTATAGAGGAGAGCAGCAGGTCAGCAGTCACGACTAACAGTTTTCTCTGCATTGCTGAGTTTACTGAAATGTCCATGTGGGATATTTTCAGTAGGTAATTGGAAAAATTTTTATGGCTGGAGATGGAACTCTGAGGTTGGAGTTGCAGACTTGGAATAACTGAGGCAAAGTTGTAGATCTGAGTGAGCTTGTCCATGATGGGAAAGGTATAGAATGAGCAGAGGGCCAGTGACAGAACCCTGGGAATATCAGCATTTCCCAGAGGAATTAGGAAAGAAGCCTGAGCCGTGGCTAAAGAAAAAGAGGAGAGGAATCATAAAGTGATGTTGCAAAAATTAACAAAGGTGAGAATTTCAAGGAGGGAGTATCAATTCTAACCAG
This sequence comes from Homo sapiens, assembly GCF_000001405.40. Classification (NCBI taxonomy): domain Eukaryota; kingdom Metazoa; phylum Chordata; class Mammalia; order Primates; family Hominidae; genus Homo; species Homo sapiens. The sequence goes on along the minus strand of NC_000017.11, from coordinate 18,617,245 downwards.
TAAGATTACTAAAAAGTAAAGTGAGTTAACCTTTTAAAAGCCTTCAGTGGCACTGTCTTCTAAAGAACAATCATAGAGTTGTGGGGTTCGCTGTTTATGTGATCAGTACTTCTGATGTTCAAATGGGGAAGAATACACCTACCAAGATCCTACCTAACTTTTGTAACTGCAGCAGCTCCCTGTACAGGATCAGGGAAAATGGTCAAGACTGGTGAGTTAATGTACCACCATTTTCCTAGAATTGTCTAAACCTAAGGTCATATGTGAGGAAAAGTGTAGTCTTTCTTACCTGCTTTTTTGTGGAAATGCTTGTTTGGTACTCAAGTCCTTGATAGGCTCTTCTGAATGCATTCCCAAACAAACATCTGACAGCAACAACTGGAAGCCACCACCAGATGCACGTATATATCGTTCCTCTGACATGGAATCATAATACAGCCATGTTGTGACACAATTTCAGGTTTTGATTAGAAATAGTTTACAGGCCAGCAGTTTAGACAAACTGACATTTTAAAAATATTTTATTGCAGGAAACTAATATAATGTCCTGGAGAAAAATATAAAGTGAAATGCTGAATATAGCAGTTCTCAGTACTTGGGGTTTTGGTCACATCAGGAGAAAAGTCAGTGCCTGACTCCTTTTGTTAGTGCAGTTCCCTTTTCATTTACCCTCTTGTGATATTTCTGCTCTTACTGCTTCCTTTTGAATTCCATTCCTAAAGAAAATACTATTAGAACACATTTCAAATGCACTTCTTTATATCTGCACCACAATGACACAATGATGGTCTGCCAAGATTTTAAGTGTCTTCTGGGTTGTCAAATACAAATTGTTTTATCTGACATAGTTTAAATGTGAAGTGCTTTTGTGGTATTACATTTCTTCAGAAATTGGTAATCTGTGATTTAACTAGAATATGTGGTCAATTGGATTACCACACTTTTAACCATCTATACATAAGATGTCTCTTCTCCCGGCCAGATAAGTTAAAAGTCCTGTTGATCCTTACTGATCAGTTCCACTATTTGCAGGGCTTTTTTGGACTTTTTTTGTTGTTGTTGTTGAGACGGAGTCTGGCTCTTCCACCCAGGCGGGACTGCAGTGGCGCTATCTCGGCTCACTGCAAGCTCCGCCTCCCGGGTTCACGCCATTCTCCTGCCTCAGCCTCCTGAGTAGCTGGGACTACAGGCGCCCGCCACCGCGCCCGGCTAAATTTTTGTATTTTTAGTAGGGACGGGGTTTCACCGTGTTAGCCAGGATGGTCTCGATCTCCTGACCTCGTGATCCACCCGCCTCGGCCTCCCAGAGTGCTGGGATTACAGGCGTGAGCCGCCGCGCCCGGCCTGGACTTTTTTTTTGAACGGGTGTGATTATAGCACACTGCAGCTTTAGTTCCTAGCCTCAAGCAATCGTTCTGCCTCAGCCTCCTGAGTAGGTGGAACAACAGATGTGTGCTACTGCACCTGGCCTGCTGCACAATTATTATAAAAATGAATTAAATCCTACCTAGTGGGAGAAAATTGACTGTGATCTTATAATTTTTTGTTCCAGAAACTTTTATACTGTAGAATATATTGTCAGTCATTAAGATTTTCTATTTTTAATTGAGTTAAAATAGGATTGTTGCTTTTAAAAATTACTTTCTGACATCATTGTTTCATGCATTTTTAATGCCTTTAGTCCAGTGGATATAGAAGTACAGGAATCTCCAAGGCAAATGTCAAAAAATAAAAAATAAGCAGATTAGGGAAAGGTATTCTGTGAAATTACCTTCTGATTGTAGTCACATGTAACACATCAACTTAAACAATAAAAAATTGTTTAATGCAATTGTATCAGGGGTTCCCAAGACCCCCTTCACTGAGGTTTGGTAATTCACTGAGAAGGACTCACAGGACTCAGCAGATAGTCATACTTGGGGCTTTGATTTATTACATTTAATACAGCAAAAAGACACAAAGCAACATTTGAGAAAGGAAAAGGTGCATGTGTCAAAGTCTGGAGGAAGCCAGGCACAAGCTACAGGAGTCATCTCCTGTGTAGCTAGCAGGATATGCTTAATTCCCCCAGCCTCAAATTTTGACGACACATGTGCAATGTTGTCTACCTTACCAGAGTTTCATTAGAGGCTCAGCACCCATGTTTTCGATGGAGGCTAGTCACATAGGCCACCTCTCCTCTCCCTCACATGTAACAAAACTCTAGACTCCCAGGAGGAAATTAATTGTTCATAGTAAACCACATTTGCACAAACACTTTAGGCACAGTGAGCCACTCCCTTCTTCTAAGTTAGGGAATGCTGGGAACCCTCCCAAATTCAAGGTCCCAAACACCAGCCAAGGACTAGCCTTGCAAGCAAGCCTTTCTAAGGATGGGTGTCTCATGCCTGCTATATGAAATCTTTGCTGCCCAGCAGCTATGCCCCTGAGTAAATTTTTGGTGTTATCTTAACATTTTATATAATACAATAGCAAATAATATGATAGACCATAACATGGTACTGGTTTCAGCTGCATCATTCATATTAAATAGCAAGGCTGCTTACAGTTTTGACATTTGGTGAATACTTAACAGGTATTGGTACATAAGTTACTATGGCAATATTAAGTAATTATAATCTGTCCTTCTTATCTGATTAACCTTTCAGTAAAATTGTGGGATAAAGTAGGCATAATAAGTTCTGATTTAAAATTAGAATAAAAATTGTCTTTCATTTTATTTTCATGGATGGACCAGTTTTGATTCATATTGTACTAAATCCCTGTTTACAATTATGAAATAAGATCAGATATTCAATCATTTTTGTGAATTTTTTTTTGCCTAAGTATACAATTAAAATTAATTGCTTTATGTGTTTTTATATGCTTCAATTTCGGAGATAGTACTCGTATTCTGTTACCTTGATCTTTAGTGATTTGCAATTTTCAAGGTGACTCTGTCTTTTTATAATTTAGGGTAATAGCAAGTTCAGTGAGTATGTGCTTTAGAATTAATAATATTATTTTCTGAGCAGTTCTAGATTCACAGCAAAATTGAGAAGGTACAGAGATTTTCCATATTCCCCATGACCCCTGACATATGAATAGCCTCCCTCATTATCAGTACCCCCCATCAGAGTTCATCAGAGTTACAGTTGAGGAATCTACCTTGACAGACACATCACCCCCAAGGTCCACAGTCTACGTTAGGGTTCACTCTTGGTTTTGTACATTCTATGGTGTTGGACAAATGTGTGATGGCATGTATATACCCTTGTAGTATCACAGACAAAATAGTTTCACTGCCCTAAATATCCTCTGTCCTCCACTGTTTCGTCTCTTCCTCTCCACTGGTTTCTGGCAACCATTGGTCTTTTTGGTGTCTCAGTAGTTTTGCTTTTTCCAGACTAGTCATATAGTTGGAATAAAACAGTGGTGGATATCTTTTTGAATATTTAAACAATAAAGTTCCATGGTAATTTGATTCTGTCATTTTAGATGTTCTTTGTCCTTGTGTTTGTTTTCCTCATGTTGTGTTCATCAGAACAGGATCTGATGGCGTATGATTTGACGTGCTGAGAAAGCGTGATTTCTGTAGATGTTTGCCACGTAACGGGGAGGGTGGGGAAAAATGGCATCATGCAGTATTCCACAGCACTAACTGGACCATCGTGCTCTAGGAGATGGGTCCAGATAGAGTCTAGCGATGGGACGGGATAATCTCAAGAGCTGGACTTTATAAAACTGGAATCACAAAGTCTTGCATACTTACCTTGCACTTAAAAAGAAGATCAGGCAGTGAACACTACAGGTGAATAAATATGTTCCTCTCTGGTTCTCTTCCTTTTAGGGATGAGCTTGAAAACAGTCTATATTATTAGAATATGGCTCATCTACAACTAAATGCTCTGTCATAGGAAATGCCAGTGTTTTTCTTTACAATAAATGAAAAATAATGTTGTTTTCACCAGAGAGAGTAACAACTGTTGGCACATTCTGGCAGCTTGAGTGAGCTGATAGTTCTGTTTATATATATTTTTCATACCAGGTAGTACTCCCTGGCAACCTGCCACCACTGTGGCAGTGTTTCTTCTTAAGCTTCTCACTGAATGAATGGTGTGGCTCAGAGTGAATAAGCTCTTTAAGGGAGTGATCTTTCCAGTGGTTCTGTCCATAGGAGGTAAAATGGGAGGTGAATTTGAGCCTTGTTTGTGCTAGGGAAAATAGCTAGAACTCAGTAAACATTGCCAGCATCTGCCCCAGAAGAGGATTAGTGAGAGTGAGTACATTGATCTCCCTTGAGCTCTTCTCCACTGGCAGCTGAAAAGTCTTTGCAAAGATCCTTATCCCTGGTCTCTTCCCTATGTTTTGCCACAGAACACAGCACAGCACCCATAGACCTACACAATAAAATGTACAGTTTTCCCCCCTTATCCATGGGGGTTATGTTCCAAGACCCCCAGTGAATGCCTGGAACAGTGGATACTACTGAACCCTAGATATGCAATGTCAGGATAGAAGGAAGAGGATAAGAGTAAAAGGGGGAATAAAGAATGTGGAAGGCAGAGAGTACAGAGAGTAAATGAAGGGAAAAGAAGCAAGTGGATATGATGGAGGGTGGTAAAATGAGATAATACTTCAAAAGAAGAGTGGGGTATTAGAAAGGTGGAAAGAATATAAGGTGAACGTGCAGCACCAAAACTTATCAGATAAGACAAACTTTACTTGCCAATATGTTAGTTGTGCTTTAAGTTTAATTATTTCATCATAGTGTGGCTATACTGATGATTTTAAGCCAGTCAGATATTCTGGTCAGCAAATCATGTGTGTGTGTTTTGATTATCAAAAACGAAGAAAGCAATTAATTACCCTTAATAACTACATGGTGGACACAGTCTTTTAAAACATTGATTCTGAAACTTTTTGGCCTGGGGTTCGTTTTATATGATTAAATATTATTGCCTAGAGGTAACCAACACCCTGAATTAAGAATTTATTATGTCCATTCCCTTTTAAAACATTTTATTACATATGTGTATGGTCATAAATAATATGTAGAATTTGTTTTCATGTCCTAAAATTGTATATAAATTGTTTTACACTCTACATATTTTGCAACTTTCTTTTGTCTGGTCACATTACATTTTTGAGGTCAGTCCTTATTGACACAGGAAGCTCTGGTTTTCTATCAAATGACTGGATCTCAAACTCTCTTCATAATGATAAATAAATAATTAAAATAAAGAAAAATTATTGCAAATTCCAAAGAGCTTTTATTTAAGTCGGTTGTGTCTTTTGATATTTACTATTTTAGAAATAAAAACTAAAATATTTTAAAAACAAGCATGCGGCCAGGCGTGGTGGCTAACGCCTGTAATGCCAGCACTTTGGGAGGCCGAGGCGGGCGGATCACGAGGTCAGGAGATCGAGACCATCCTGGCTAACACGGTGAAACCCCGTCTCTACTAAAAATACAAAAAATTAGCCGGGCGTGGTGGAGGGCGCCGGTAGTCCCAGCTACTCGGGAGGCTGAGGCAGAGAATGGTGTGAACCTGGCAGGCGGAGCTTGCAGTGAGCCGAGATCGCGCCACTGCACTCCAGGCTGGGTGACAGAGTGAGACTCCATCTGAAAAAACAAACAAACGAACAAAAAAAAACAAGCACGCTCAGCCATACATTCCAAAGCCTTTAGAACTATGACCCATTCACCATTAGAGCTATGATGTTATGACACACCATGTCTATGAAAAGCTCCACTGTACACGTGAAACAGAATGAGAGTGAAAATGGCAAATAACATTTTGTATTATTTGACGTCTTGGCCCCTCATCTGGATCTTGAACTCCAGGGATTCTCAGATCATAATTGAGAGTCAACATTTTAAACCACATATGTGGTTGTGGATAAATGCACCCTTTATGAAGAAATGGACTTTAAAGTTTCACTTATGTGTTTTTGGCTTTTTTCTTTCACTTGTCTTAAAAAATTTAAATCTCAGGCCGGGCACGGTGGCTCACGCCTGTAATCCCAGCACTTTGGGAGGCCAAGGCAGGCGGATCATGAGGTCAGGAGATCGAGACCATCCTGGCTAACGCGGTGAAACCCCGTCTCTACTAAAAATAAAAAAAAAAATAGCCGGGCGTAGTGGCAGGCGCCTGTAGCCCCAGCTACTCAGGAGGCTGAGGCAGGAGAATGGCGTGAACCCGGGAGGCGGAGCTTGCAGTGAGCCGAGATTGCGCCATTGCACTCCAGCCTGGGTGACAGAGCGAGACTCCGTCTCAAAAAAAAAAAAAAAAAATTTAAATCCCAACAATTTTGTTTATATAGTAAAAAGGAAAATATTTTTGTTATGTATTCCTTTCCTGTCTCGTGGCACTGTGTGCTATTTGGATCTAGTGTGGTCCTAGACTAATCCTGTTCTCACATGGGAACAGTTAGAGCCCTTACAGCTCTTATTTTGCAAATAAATGTATGAAGTTTATCCAAGTATTTGAAAGGAAATTCTGAAGATAGTGGTGAATTGAGAAAAGACCATCTCATTATAATTAAAATAGTTTTAAAAGTATATTTATTATGAGTTTTTGTAAATCCTGTGTCTCTACAATACATACATACAATGCTGTCATGTATATTTAAGCTTAAAATGGTTAGACATAAATTATGTTTTAAAAAATTTATATCCACAAAGAATCTTAATGGAAAGCAAAATATGTAATAGAGACTGCTGAGTGAATAAAAGTAAGTAATAGTAAACAGTAAAAATGTAGAAAAGTGAGAGATGATAGTTAATTAAACTTACCTGAATGAATTGTAAGCATAGGACATGTAAAATATAATAAGCCTGAATGCATAGTGTGTTGTGGGAGAGAGCAGGATGTGGGACTGTTTCTGTGAAGAAAGCATGTATACAAGTTAGTCAAATTATTGTGTTATTTACATCCTAAAAATGAAAACTTCATTTTCGGATTTTTCAGATTGGCATCCTACTAATTTGACCCTTAGTGATGAGACTTGTCAGAGATCCAAGAATCTGAAAGTTGGTGATAAAAGTCCATCTGTATCACCATCAATGCCTGAAAATCAGTCAGCAACCAAAGAACTGGGACAGATGAACTTAACAGAACGAGAAAAAATGGACACTGGAGTTGTACTTCTCTCAGGGAATGATACTCTCCATGACCTGTGCCAATCACAGCTACCAGAAAACAAAGAGAGCAAAGAAGGTAACAAAGAAGCATAGAGAATTCAGTCCTAGAGTGCCTCTGCTTGGCTGCATAGAGCTATAGTTTTGACTTAAAACTTTTTCTGGTAAAATGTGCTTTGTGTTTACTCACCTTTTGCACTGAACAGAATACCTTTTGGCAGGATATTTGTGTTCTTCCTTTAACCAAAGCAACATCTAGATAACAGAGAATTAGGGGAAAGCATGATTTTCTTTAGGAAGTAGGATTATATTTAGAATATAGGGACTAAGTATGTTTAGGGACTAACATAGGATTATATTTAGGATAACTTAGTAGAGACCTAAAGATTGCTGACTCAAACACAATGTGGTTTCTTTGCTTTATTTTTACAGCTCTGAATTCACAGCTGTTAGTTATAACTATATGCACTATAATTTAAAAGACACCTTCCCACACCTGTAATCTCAGCACTTTAGGAGGCCAAGGTGGGTGGATCACGAGGTCAGTAGTTCGAGACCAGCCTGGCCAATATGGTGAAACCCCATCTCTACTAAAAATACAAAAAAAAACTAGCCGGGCATGGTGGTGAACGCCTGTAGTCCCAGCTACTCAGGAGGCTGAAGCAGGAGAATCGCTGGAACCCAGAAGGTGGAGGTTGCAGTGAGCCCAGATTGTGCCACTGCACTCCAACCTGGGCAATAGAGGAAGACTCCGTCTCAAAAAACAAAAACAAAAACGAAAAAACACCTTCCAAAAGCAAATATTAAGTGACTTCCTATCATTTCTATGACTTTATGTATTATAGAATTGACTTTCCAAGTCAGTAATTAATGAGACTTATTGAGAATTTGCTGCATAGTATCTCCTTGGCTGTGTCCACATGAGCTACCACCTTGCGTTAATAAATGTGTTTGCTAGGGATGTTGGTTTTGGCATTGACAGTGTTCTATCACCAATGCAAATAAGACCAGGGACCACTCTTGAGAACATTAATGTCCAAGCATCTTAAAGTTATACGTAAGGCTTTCATAATGTGATTCTGCTCAGCTCTCCATCTTTAGCCCTTTCCCCTGTGTGCCCTTTCTCTGGCCTTACTGAACTGCTGGTCCTGTCCTGCTGACCCATCCTTCGATTGCAGGCAAACTCATATACTCTTTCAGGCCTCTTTCTGCCTTTTGTTGCTGCCTGTCATGCTCTCACTCTTTCCTGTCCCCTACCCCTTCTAATTAGGCTAGCCTCACTCTTTAAGCCTCAGCTCGGGCAGGATCTCTAGAAAAGTCATCTCTGACATGCTTGCTTTTCACTCTTTAAATCCTAGTGCCTAGCACATAGCAAGACTCAATACATAATTGCTGAGTAAAATAGATAATGACTCTTTGTACAAAGATGATTTTCAAGATTGTTCCCTACAGTCAAGGAGCAGAGGGAATAGACATGTAAAGCAATAATTGACAGTTCAGGTGGTGGAGATGCAGTAGAAAAATCATTAAAGTTCTAGGGCAGCCCTAAGGAAGGAGATACCTAGATACCTGTTTACCCTGGGGAAAGATGAGGATGAGGGTCAACTTCACCTAGCAGTCTGTTTTTTATTTTATGTATTTTATTTATTTATTTTTAGCAGTCTTTTAAAAGATGAAAATATTAATACATTTGTCAGAATAATACAGGGAACCATTTCAGATGTTAGGAAGAGGTTGTACACCAATAAAGGTGTCCACAGTCATTTTGGAAATCATTAATAAGGTACTATTATGAAGTGGAGAACAGTATGCAGCATTGCCTGATAATATTGCTACTGCATTCCAAAGTTTTGTTTTGTTTGTGATGGCTTTGTTCATTGATGTTGGGTGGATGAATCTGTGAGTGAATCTTCAACATGATTGTATTTCTTTTACCTGGTGGCATCTAGTGTCTCCCAGAAAGTGGTTTGTTGAAGTTTTGGAGAATTAGAAGTATTTCTTAAAGAAGTAAGTATTCCACTAAAGATCAAGCTTCATTTAAACTCTCAATTTATGAAATAAAATGAAATGTAATTTAAAATCTATTTTTATAAAGACTATGTCTTTTATCTAACTGTTCTAAGTAGTTTAACTGAACGTTTGGATTTTGCAGCAGAACAAGACTTGGAGCTGACATCAGAGGAAGAGCAAGAAAGACTTAAAGGATGCGAAAATAAGCAGCCACAGGTGTGGAAACATTTAAACTAAAATCTAAATGTCTGGTTTAATACTTTTTTCTTTGCTTTAATAATATAAGCTAGCCCAAATGAAATTACCTCTCAGACTAGCCTTTGAGAATCAATAGATCCTTACTTAATATTTAATTTTAAATACATTTAAACTAGTTATAAAACACAATATTGTTAGAATCTATCATAACTTATAGTTAATCTTTACCCTTGGAGTAGAGGCAAACATTCCAGAATTTTGTTTGCTCTTCCATTCTTACAATATCCTTACAGGATAAAGAAGGTAATGTCAATTATTGACTTATATTATTAAGCAACAGAAATTATGAACAATTTAACAGTGATGGCCACTGAGTTGGATTCATGGTCTAAGAGTAATCATGGCCAGTGGCTCAAATTTTGCAGTTTTATATTGCCAGTTACTAATGCCTAGGTTAAAGATGTGGCCTTTCATTGACTTCACGGTCTACATTCAGTGAGAGTGGGGTTATGAAATCAACCCAACTGCCTATTAAGGGAATCGTACCTTGCAGAATGGGATCTTTGGTGTTAGGGTACAAACAATAAATTTCTAACTTTTTAGATGCAGAAACTTAGTAAGAATTATCTTTAAAGTTTTAGTTAGTGTTATTAGGGGACCGTAGTATATATTAGAACTGAACTGAAGAAGATAGTCTAGATATATAACCCTATGATGTTACAGTATATAATTTGAATTAAAACTTAAGAATTTGCTTTTCTTTCTGATTGGTGTTGATTCGGGCTCCTAATAATTTGAAGATTGCCTACCCTCCAGTTAGTAATCTATAGAACTTACATGTAGTAATATATAGTACTTACATGTAGTAATATGTAGTACTTACATGTAGTAATATGTAGTACTTACATGTACTGTAGGGGCTCACTTTCCAAGTGAGGAAGCCTTTGTAACACTAGAAATCATCTGCTAATTCATTTTTGGTAGAATTAACACATAATGAATTAAGTTTATTCCAAACAAACAGTGACAAAGTTAAGTTTGCTGGTTCATATTTTTCTCCTCCTTTCAGGTAAGACAATTGTTTTTAACTTCTTAGTTACAAGCCAGTGATTTGGGAGTAGCTAAACCTAGATGAAGAAGTTTAACAGTTAAATTTTCATTTTAATTATTTGTGAATTTTTCTTTGTTCATACCTGTTATTTAAGGACAAAGCTATTTTTAAAACATGTAGCCCAACAGAGAAGACACGCAAGAAACAAAACAAGCAAATTAATCTTCCACTTTTGCACCTGCAGAAAACGTCTCAAGAACCAGAAATGGCTAAGGATTGTGATAGAGAGGATATACCTATATATCCAGTACTTCCTCATGTGCAAAAATCTGAGGAAATGTGGATTGAACAAGGCAAATTAGAGTGGAAAAACCAATTAAAACTCGTCATAAATGAGTTAAAGCAGAGGTTTGGTGAAATTTATGAAAAATACAAAATTCCGGCTTGTCCTGAGGAAGAGCCACTACTTGATAACTCTACAAGAGGAACAGATGTGAAGGATATTCCCTTTAATTTGACAAATAACATACCTGGTTGTGAGGAAGAAGATGCATCTGAAATATCTGTCTCAGTGGTATTCGAGACATTTCCTGAACAAAAAGAACCCAGTCTCAAAAATATCATCCATCCATACTATCATCCGTACTCTGGGTCCCAGGAACATGTTTGCCAGTCATCTTCTAAGCTTCATTTACATGAAAATAAATTAGACTGCGACAATGATAACAAACTAGGCATTGGACATATTTTTAGTACAGATAACAACTTTCATAATGATGCAAGCACTAAGAAAGCAAGGAACCCAGAAGTGGTTACGGTTGAAATGAAAGAAGACCAAGAGTTTGATTTGCAAATGACAAAAAATATGAACCAAAATAGTGACAGTGGCAGTACAAATAACTATAAAAGCCTGAAACCTAAATTAGAAAATCTGAGTTCTTTACCACCAGATTCTGACAGAACATCAGAAGTATATCTACATGAAGAATTACAGCAAGACATGCAAAAGTTTAAGAATGAGGTCAACACATTAGAAGAAGAGTTCCTGGCTTTGAAGAAAGAAAATGTTCAACTTCATAAAGAGGTAGGGTTTTACTTGCTGCCACTCTTTGTTTTTTCTCTCAATTATCTGGTCCATTCTGATTTTCCACTTAGGAAAAGCATATGAAAAGCATACAGTTTGGTTGTCTAAATCTGTAATTGTGTGTAGAAACAGAGGATTTCTAAGTAATAGGAGTTTAGGAAAACTTTCTCATAATCTTTGTTTCTTAATTGACCTAAGTCTCTCTGTCAGTCTTCCAAGTGGCGTATGGATTGTGAAACTCATGTAGCCATATATCATGTGACCTTCAGAACCAGGAGAGGCATCAAGAAAATCGCTAAAGGAAATGTGATGAGCTTGAGGGCTTTTTCCTTTTACCGACTTAAAGATGAGTTGTGTCTAACAATAAGATGGGAATACAGTAGAAAGGAAGCAATGACTAAGAAGAGATATAAAAATGTATCTAGCAGGCGTGGTGGCAAACACCTGTAGTCTCAGCTACTAGGGAGCCTAAGGCAGGAGGATCGTTTGAGGCCAGGCATTCTGGGCCGTAGTGTGCTATGCCGATCAGGTGTTCACACTAAGTTCGGCATCAATATGGTGACCTCCTGGGAGCGGGGCACCACCAGATTTGCTAAGGAAGGGTGAACCAGCCCAGGTCGGAAATGGAGCAGGTCATAAGTAACTCCTGTGCTGATCAGTAGTGGGATCGTGCCTGTGAATAGCTGCTGCATTCCAGCCTGGGCAACATAGTGAGACCTCATCTCTTACTAAAAAAAAAAAAAAAAGAAAAGAAAAAAGAAGTATCCAGCCCTGAGAGCTGCAGCAAATATTCCTGGCCAATGAATCTGTTTATTGTGCTTTTCAGGTTTATCTGTTTAACTCAAACTGTTGGAACTTAGAATTGCATCATGACCACTTTAAATATTTTTCAACAACAAGTATATACACTTTAATATATTTGTTAATATAACTACTCTCCACTGTTTCTGTTGAATCAGACCTTTATGTTATGTTGCTTAATAAAGTACAGTAAGTTTTGGCATATATATTTTTTCCATGTAAGTAGCATAAATGCTCAGCCAAACACTTAGTATATGATGCCAAAGTAGAAAGCCGAGTCTTCTACATTGATTAGGGCAGGCCTCCCACCCTCTGCTAAGGCATTAAATTATTTTACCCAAGTCACACTTTTAACCTATCTGATTAATTTGCTGAATTTGTCTGATTCAGCATTATGGAATTGTACTGTCTCTTTTGGTGCCACAAAATGCTAGGTAATGGCACTTTAGGGGCTTTGGATCAATCATTTTAATCTTTTTTGGCTTTAGCCCAGTTATCAATAGAGAGTGAGCTAAAGTAGATTCTTATACTGTATATCCTCCAGCTATAAACTTTTATGGCTATTGAATGTGAAATTTGGGAAGCATCTCATTTCCAGAATTCCACCCTAGCTCAGCAGTTTCACTCTGCTTTTTGTGTTGTGGCAGACTTGTATTTCAGTAAGCACCTTCACCTTTTTGATATCTCAGGATTCAAATGAAAAAAAAAAAAAAAAAGACAAAAGTTAGTGGGGGAAAAGAATAGCTTAGTGCAGAAAAGGGAAAGCTTCCTTTCTTTTCCTGAAACCCCACAGTGTTGTATCCTCTCAATCTGGCTGTTTAATATGAAAGTCAAGTGGCAAAGACAGAAGAAGACACGCTTTGTGTCTTTATCTTCTTATTTCCATGTTTGTGCCAGTCAAATGAGGTAAAAATTCATAATACATAGTGAAGGGTGGTTGGGAATAAAAGCACAAAATTAAGAAGGGCCCTGGTTGAAATTTTGGAAAATTCTGTCTCATTCATTGAAACAGAAATGAAGCTGACTTTACAAAAATGTTGATGATAAAATTATAATAATTATAATTATATGATGATAGTTCCAGATGTGATAAAATTAAAGTAAGCACCAAATATTTTAATGACTAAAATTATAATTAAACTGAGTCAAGTGATGATGAAATCAATGCAAACAGAAAAAAGTTCTTTGTATTGAATAAAGCAATAAGAATCATCCTGAACATCAAACTCTCACTCAAGGTTGAAGAAGAAATGGAGAAGCACAGAAGTAATAGCACAGAATTATCAGGAACCCTAACTGATGGTACTACTGTTGGCAATGATGATGATGGACTAAATCAGCAGATTCCTAGGAAGGAAAATGAAGAGCATGACAGGTAAGCCTATAGCAGCGTTTAACAGGAGACAATTGGTCAAGCGTGGTGGCTCACGCCTGTAATCCAGCAATTTGGGAGGCCAAGGCGGGTGAATCACCTGAGGTCAGGAGTTCAAGACCAGCCTGACCAACATGGATAAATCCCATCTCTACTAAAAATACAAAATTAGCCAGGCGTAGTGGTGCATGCCTGTAATCCCAGTTACTCAGGAGGCTGAGGCAAGAGAATCGTTTGAACCTGGGAGGCGGGGGTTGTGGTGAGCCGTGATCATGCCATTGCACTCGAGCCTGGGCAACAAGAGTAAAACTCCATTTCAAAAAAAAAAAAAAAAAAGCAAAAACAGAAACGAAAACAAAAAACAGGAGACAATTATGTGCTATGAAATGAATCCTAATTTGGGCTAATATTCATGATGAACAGATTTTATACTTTTACTAGGATATTCAGCCTTCCTTGGTTATCAGAAAAATGCAAACTAACAATGAGACACCATGTTTTCCAATCATATTGATATTTTATTTAAAAAATAGGAAGTATTGGCAAATGTGAAGAAAAAGGCATTTTCATACACTTGTTAAATGAAATTGATGAATCCTTTTTGCAGGGTAATTTAGTAGCATGTATCAAAATTTCAAATATGTCACTTCTTTAACCTAACAACTTCACTTTTGGGACAAGATCCTACAGGAAAATATGACTTGTGTAAACACATACACATATGTGTTAAGGACATTTATTACATGTAGTATGTAACATACAATAGGCTAATAGGTTAAATATATATAATGTTAAGTATATATGATATATTTATGTCAAGGATATTTATATATGTTACATATATACTTATGTATAAGGATATTTATTATAGCATTGTAATATCAAGAAGTTGGAGATAGTCTAAATCCTTAGCAATAAGGAAATAGTACAATTGTCATACCCAGAAAATAATGTAGCATGCACTCATTTTAATAAAAGAAGTTGTTAGACCAGGAGTGTACTGATTATTTCACAATTAAAGTCTATTTAAAGCCTTTAGTTTGATGACACATCTTAAGCCAGTTTTGTTGGAATTCTCGTAATATCTGCTGAGTTACAAAAGGAAGCTAGCTACATGCTACATTGACACTGTACCTTGTTAGCAACAGAATTCTAGTTATTAAATTTTTGTTTTTTGCTGTCCATGTGTGAGTGCTGAAATACCAGATCCTCAAATTAATCTGAATATTGCCAAGGGATGGCACATGGGGATTCATGTTCCGTGTCAGCTTTTCAATATACTGGGTAAAACTTACTAAAATACAACAGAGGATCTTAGCTCTACTGAACCAAGAATTGGACAGCTCTTTTTGTAAAGAGCCAGTTAGTAAATATTTTAGGCCTTGTGAATTATAAAGGGCATAAGTGTGGATGCATTTCAAGGAAATTTCCTTATGAAAACAGGCAGTGGGCTGGATTTGCTCCACAAGCACCGATTTGTTGATCCTTGTGCTAAAACCAAGGTGCTGTTATGCAGTGAATCCTCTTTTTAAAGGTACCCTACATGCATGCCATTATCCTTTCTTTTAAAAGATAATGTATTTCAGTAGGAAACACACCATATTTTTCAACAGTAGCTTCATATAATTTAGACAAATTTGATTTACAAAATAAGATTATTTTCTGCCCTTGTCCCCTTTTATTCTTGTCATAGAATTCCATATTTTGACTATTACTTTGTATATTTGATGAGTATAAAATATTCTAGAGTTAGTTGATTTTTATCAAGCAAGAAATACTTCTCCTGAAACTTTTAGTCTTCTTTGGTCTTTATGCATAAGGATGAGCAAAATGATAATCAGCTTATATAATCTAGAAATGTTCAAGAGGTCTTTTGGTTTTATAAGTTAATGAATTTTTATTTAATACCTTCATCTGGCATTTCAAAAATGCCATATAGATATGATTTAAAAAAACTTTTAAAGGTTAAAAATATAGTATATAGTTATATAAGAATTGAAAAATACAGCTAAACAAGAAGAAAATTAGATCGTCTACAGTCATGCCCCTACGTATGCTGGCCTTGAAAGAATGGTTTATACTCATGGATTCAGATTTCTTGTCCATTCTCTCTTGAGCTGATACGAGTAATTTTCACTCCCACCACTCTTCCAAGATTGTTGTTCTCAAGTTTACCATTGATTTGTAAATCTAGACATTGTTTCTTAGACCTCATTTTATTTAACCTGTCAGCAATATTGGACCCAATGGAAAACTCTCTCCTCCATAACAGTGTCTTCACTTGGCTTTCAGGATCTCACTCACTCACCTGGCTTTTCTTCCTGCCTTTCCAGTCCATCTGTCATAGTCTGTTTTGCTTTCTTCTCATATCCCACCTTTTACACATTGATATGTCCCAGGACTGATATGTCCCAGGACTCAGTCCTCAATCTTCTTTCTCATGACTTTTACTACCTTGTGTGTGCTAATGATTTCCAAATGCGTGTCTCCAGCCTAGATCTCTCTCCTTAATTCCAGACTTCCATACCAACCTGCCTACTTGACATCTCTGTTTGATTGGTCACGAACTGTTGGGTATCACAAACTTACCAGGTCCAAGATTGGGGTACCGATATTCTTTCTCATACCTACCCCTCACATGGTCTTTCCTACTTGCATTAATGGCAACTCTTGCAGTTGCTCTGCTAGAAACTAAGGTGTCGTCATTGACTCCCCTCTCTCTCTGACACCTCACATCTAATCTGTCAGCAGATCTTGTCAGGAGTACCTGAAGAATATATCCAGAAGCCAGTCATATCTTCCATTTCCAAGCCACCACCATCTGCTCTCTAGACGCATGTAATAGACTGTTAATTGGTCTGTTTTTTTTTTTAAAGAAACCTCTTTTCATTAATCCTTAACTCAGTGGCCATACTTAAAACATAAGTCAGATGATGTCATTCTTCTGCTCAGATCCATCTGATTGCCTCCCATTTCACTCTGAGTATGTGTCAGGGTTCCTCCTCATACCTAGAAGGCAACACACAATATGCCCTGTTCTCTCTCTCACTTAAACTTCTGTTTCTTATTCCCTTTGCTGTGCTTCAGCTACACTAAACTTCTTGCTCTTCGTTATCTATCACAGTTGCTTAAACACCCCAGGCACACCTCTGTACTGGGCAGTTCCCTGTGTCTGGGATGCCTTTTCCTCAGATAGCCTCCTGGCTTTCTTTTTCCATTTCTTCAGTTCTTTACTTAAAAGCCCCTTTCTCAGTAAGGACTTTTCTGGCCATCCTAGAATTCCCACTATCCCTCCTCTCAAACCTGTAAACATTTCATTTTCCTGCTTTAGTTTTTCTCCTTTAACACTGTATATTTTGCCTAATCTATCTATGGTTATTGTGTTTATTTCACTCCCATGAGTAGGATGTTTGTGTGCCTAGAAAAGGGCCTAGCTTGCAATAAGTAGCTACTCAATAAATATTTATTAAATGAGCAACTGAAGTTTACCCTTCGGTGTATTGTTTTAAACATTAGATTGATTCTTAGGTAAAAAAAAAAAAAAAAGAAAAGAAAAAAAAAGGTTTCACATGGGTTCATTCTAACACTTTTGCCTGGAAATTATATGCGTTTTTGGATTTTTTGGCTCTTTGTAATAAGCTACATTCTTTGTATTAATAGTTTTCCATTTAGAGAGAAAAGCTCAATATTGTCGTTACTCACTATTTATTCTTTTACTAATAATCATGATAGTTTTACTTATGATAAAATGGATCAAAGGAATTACATAGTTCATTGGTGATTTATAAAGAAAATTAAAATATAAGGGTGGTAAATTTAATGGACTTAAAATTGTTTCCAATTGATTATGAACCTTCAGTATTTGAAGTTAAAAGACCAAGTTGGAATGTGTTGCTTTCTATAAGAGAGCTATGCTCATCAGGCACTCTGTATTCTGACAGAGCAGCTGTTGATCTTACATAGGGTTGCGGGAGGAGCGGACTTGAAGCATTGGCAGACTCTCAGCGGCATAGGAGGGTTAACATCATCTGGAGAAACATGGCTATCTGAGTGAGGCTGCTGTGGGTTGGTTAACACTCCCAGGCTTGTGGATTGGAGCGAGTTTGTGTTTAATTGGCTGTCTTTCCGAAGCAAGTGGCCCACATTGATATTGGTTGGTGAGAGAGGCCAATGGTCACTGATGATTGACTGTATTTACAACTGGCTGTGGGTGGTTGCTTGTTACAAATATAGCTACTAAGTTTGAGACAACTTTAAACTGCAGTTTTCTGTTTAAAAGTTGCCTTCCATCAACTATGTTTAAAATGAAAATGATTTCATATTCCAGAACTATAGACTTAATTTGGAAGTGTGGGTCAAGAGGAATTGTTTAATAATTGCTCTCAGGAAGATCTCTTTTTTTGATGCTTAGTCTTAACCAGAAGAATTCGCTACATAGTTAAAAAACAAGCAAACAAACAAACAAATGAAAAGCAATTATTAATTTTGTTTCAGTTTTTAGTATTTTCAGAGACTTCTGCTAAACTCCTAATCTCCAGTGGGAAATGTTTGTCTCTTTGTTAATGTATGTAGTTATATGATAGTGATATTCTTTTTTTATTCCTTAATCTTTTTTTGTTCACTTTCTCTTCCATGCAATGATAGTGATATAATGTGTGTTTACTTCATAAAAAAGTAATTACAATTTTCTGCTGGCAAATCCAGCTTTTTATATTAAGACTAAGTACTAGACTAAATATGTGGGAAATTTACCAAATTATTTTATTTTCAAACAAACATATAACTAATCAGAATAGTGCTATTTTTGAACAATATATAATGACTATACTGACATTTAGGAATTTTAACACTAAGATTTTTTTCTTCCCGAGACATTTCCTTGATTTCTTTCATGTAATATGTGCCTGTTATTTTTAAAACTTGGTTTAATCTGTTTAAACATTATTATATTTAAAAACAAAACCCAAAACATAGCACAGATCTAAATATGAGTTTCATGTGTGAGAGTCATTGCCTGTGTGCAGTGGATTCCAGCTGTTTTTTTTTTTTTTTTTTTGAGACGCGGTCTCGCTCTGTCGCCCAGGCTGGAGTGCAGTGGCGCCATCTCAGCTCACTGCAAGCTCTGCCTCCTGGGTTCCCGCCATTCTCCTGCCTCAGCCTCCCGAGTAGCTGGGACTACAGGCACCCGCCACCACACCCGGCTAATTTTTTGTATTTTTAGTAGAGACGGGGTTTCACTGTGGTCTCGATCTCCTGACCTCATGATCCGCCCGCCTCGGCCTCCCAAAGTGCTGGGATTACAGGCGTGAGACACCGCGCCCGGTCAGCTTTTTTTTTTTCTTTTCTTTTCTTTTTTCTTTGTGACAGAGTCTCTGTCACCAGGCTGGAGTGCAGTGGCAATCTCAGCTCACTGCAACCTCCAGCTCCTGGGTTCAAGCGATTCTTCTGCCTCAGCCTCCCGAATAGCTGGGACTACAGGTGTGCCACCATGCCCAGCTAATTTTTGTATTTTTAGTAGAGATGGGTTTCACCATGTTGGCCAGGATGGTCTTGATCTATTGACCTCATGATCTGCCCGCCTCAGCCTCCCAAAGTGCTGGGATTACAGGTGTGAGCCACCGCACCCAGCTGACTCCAGCTTTTTAGTGTGGCATTCATCTTCCATTCTTACTTTCTTTGTGTTTTACACTTTTCCTTTCAAGTTCCTAGGAAACACCTAGACTCCATGGGACTAATCTTTGTGCTGTCATTCCATTCTCCAAGGGGAGTAGTTTTCTCTATTTTTTCCCTGGTGAGCTCCTCTTATATTTTGCCTCTTCTGTAACGCCTTCCTTGTGCTAAAATATAACTTTCCATATATCAACTCTTAAACTACACATTGTATCATAATTGCATATTACCTGGTTTTTGAGGCAGGAAATATATATTTCTTTATATGTTGTTGATAATTCATAACTGTGTTTTTTGAATTAATGAATTGAGATGGAGAAGAGTTGGAATTTTACAAAATTTTTTTGTTATCAGTAGAATTATTATAAAACATTGGCCTTTTGTAGATTTTTTAAAGTTGTGGTTCTGCGTTACATATGCAGGAAGTAAAGAAAAATGAAAATAAAAAATGTACCTCAAAATAATCTCTGATTACGCCAGTGTTTGAGAAGGCTAATTTAGTAACTTGTGGTCTGCTACAAGGAGATGATGACAGCAGTTTAAGTGAAATAGATGAGGTTGAAAGAAGTTAAAATGTATAAGTTCTTTATTTCTCTGAGAAGGAATATTCCCAGTGGTTACTTTTTCTGGAAATAGAAAATAGTGTAGTCTGCCAAAGCTAGAGAATACTCAACTATATCAATGCTGAAAGACTGATTATGATGAGGGCTGGTAACTTTGACAAGGAGCAGTTTCAATAAATAATTGCTGTGGAATCCTGACTGTAGTGGATAAGCATAGATACCCCTTGAGGGAACCGTTATTGGGAAAGGCAACAGAGAAATGAGTGATAATTGAAGAAGAACGTGGGATTCAAGGGAATTTTCTTTCTTTTTTATTTCAAAATAGAAGCTTTTAGAGTGTGTTTGTATGCTGCTGGGAATGATAGGGACAAGGATAACATGTTTATGAGATTTAATTTTGTATGTCTAAGTGTTTGAAAGCTCGGTTCACTATCTTTTGTAGGTTTTTAGCAAACTAATTGTCCTTAAAGTGTTTATTCATGTAGAGTTTTATGGTAAGAGTTTGTTCCTTCAGCATTGGTTCAGAAATGTAACATATTAGCATAACTGAACCTGTGAATGGTGACCTAAAATTTAAACTATCATATGCAGATTGTTTTTAATTGTGAAATAATAAACATGCAAACACTTAGGCCATACTGAATAGAATTTAAACATCCCTGATGAATAGGTATGATCTGCTGAGGTACTCTAAAATGTCAGGAGTATCAACTTTATAGTTGTTTAGATTCTGGGGAGAAGGGGAGGGTTTTGTTTAAGTACTTTAGAAAAGCTAACTGTTGACAATCTATCAGATTATTACTTCTGGATTATAAAGTGTTTTTTTTTTTTTTTTTTTTTTTTGAGACAGAGTCTTGCT
This sequence comes from Homo sapiens, assembly GCF_000001405.40. Taxonomy (NCBI): domain Eukaryota; kingdom Metazoa; phylum Chordata; class Mammalia; order Primates; family Hominidae; genus Homo; species Homo sapiens. The sequence goes on along the minus strand of NC_000017.11, from coordinate 18,596,514 downwards.
CTTTCACCCAGGCTAGAGTGCAGTGGCACAATCTTAGCTCACTGCAACCTCCACTTCCCAGGTTCAAGCGATTCTCCTGTCTCAGCCTCCTGAGTAGCTGGGATTACAGGCGCCCGCCACCGTGCCCAGCTAATTTTTGTATTTTTAGTAGAGACGGGGTTTCATCATCTTGGGAAAGCTGGTCTTGAACTCCTGACCTCGTGATCCGTCCACCTCGGCCTCCCAAAGTGCTGAGATTACAGGCGTGAGCCACTGCACCTGGCCTATAAAGTTTTTTTAAAAAATATTTAATCAAGTTGACCTACAATGGATTATAAAGTTCTGAAGTATCAAAACCATGTTTCCCTGGACCAACATTGCCATCAGCATGTATTGTGTGCTCAATGAGTATTTATTTGTTGAACGCGTGAATGAATGGGTGAATACATGAATGAATACCTGTTGATGGATTTCATTAAAAATACTTTTTAGTTTTTTGAAAGTAGGTTTCTAAACTTGCCTCTGTATAAAGTTTTTTTATTAGAAAAAAATTGCAAGATTCTGACATTATTTATAGTTGTAGTCAGAAATGGAATGACAATGTGGGTTCATCTGCTATCATCTCTCTTTAAAACACTTGAAAATAAATGTTACCTTCACAGCATATCATGAAGCACATGTTTTTGAGGCAGAATTCTTGGGTTTGAGTTCTGGGTCTGCTACTGACCAGCTGTATGGGCTGAGGACAGTCACTTGGCCCTTCTGTGCCTATTTTCTTTCTTTATAAAATTCTTAATATGTTACTGACCTCACAGAATTGTTATGAGGATTATATGAGTTTGACACATGGACAGTGCTCAGAATGATGCACAGTACCTGCATAGTAAGTCCAGAAAAAGCTTACTAATATCATCATTAAAAAAGGGTTTCCCTTATATAAGAATGTGAGTAATATTTTCCAAATAGGTTTTAGTGCCCGTAAAAGCTTGTTTTTATTGAAAAGGACAACAATGAGAAGACCCTGGTATATTTATTTTTATCACATAATGCAGGTAACATGTTTTTTTCTTTTGGTTTTACTATGAGAAATCTTGACCTAAATTTAATTCTTTGTAATTATATTAGTAGTAGTAAATTTCTTTATCCCTTAATGTTGCTGTTTCTGTTTATAGTTTAATGTCCGTTGTAGAAAATTACTGCATTTTACATTACCTGTAAAAAAAATTACCTATACACTTGATGAATAGAAGTAACACAAATGCAGACATTTTATATGATAAAACAGTAGTGTTAGATATTCTTTGTATTTTACATCTTTGCTATTTTTCTAAAAGGAATTGTTTTTTTTTTTCAGGCCTGCAGATAAAACAGCTAATGAAAAGAACAAGGTATTGTAAAAAAGGAAATGATCTAAAATATTGTTTTTAAAAAACAAGTTCTAAAAGGTAAAAATGAAAAAAACAAGATGTTTTGTTGTAAGGCTGTTTGCTTAGAAAAAGTGATGAAGAAACAGTAACCGTTGATAATGGTACCTTTTAAGAACAATCTGTTGCTTTAAGAAGTACCTGTATTTTTGCTCATACAAAAAAAATGGAGAAATACCACTTCTGTACCTTTAGTATATGCTATAAATCTTTGAAGGACATTTTGAAACAGTATTATTTATCTTATAGGTCAAAAACCAAATATATCCTGAGGCTGACTTTGCTGACTCAATGGAGCCATCTGAAATAGCCTCAGAGGATTGTGAATTGTCTCACTCTGTTTATGAGAATTTTATGTTGCTGATTGAACAACTTAGAATGGAGTATAAAGGTAGGACCACTGCATAAATGCAAGGCCTTTTGATGTATCCTGCAGTAATGTGTGTATACATTGCTGAGAACTGACGCGTGATAGTGAAGCTCATCTCAGAAATACGCTCAGTGTTAAAATAGAGAACTAGCTTATACTCTACGCCAAAGAGCTATGATAACTCCACTGTACTTCTCTCAGTGTGAGTGGCATTCCCAGTCTTTTTGTTGACTCTTTCTCTCCTATTCCTTCCCCCAATGTCAGGTTACCATTTTTTTCTCCACCTGGAATGCTGCGAGAATCTTAGGAATCTTAGAACTGTTTTCCCAAATACCCCACCTCCTAAAACCATGGTCTACTCTGCAATCATAATGATAAATTTTTAAAAATTTGGATCTGATCATGTTACTCCTTTGCTTATAACTCAGCTACTACTTCTTATTGCTGTAAGGTTAGAGATCTGAATCCTCTAGCTTTATCCTGCATCGTTTTTACTCTTCTCTTTCTCTGTGTCCCACTCTGTGTCTTATATGTTTGTTCCAGCACTGATAGCTTCAGTGAGGTATAACTGATATGTGATAGACTGCACGTATATAAAATATACAATCGTGTGCACATTTGAAACCACCATAATCAAGAGAGCTAACATGTTCATCATCCATAAAAGTCTCTTCTTGTCCCTTTGTCTTTCTTTATTAAGAAACTGCTAAATTGTTTTCCAAAGTATTTGTATTGATTTTGCATTCCATCCAGAGGTATACGACATTTCTTGTTGTTCTGTATCATCACAAGCTCTTATTATTGCTGTTTTTAAATTTTGAAATTTTAGCCATTCTGATGGATGTGTATTATGCATATCATTATGGTTTTAATGTGCATTACCCTAAGGACTAATAATGTTGAGCATCTTGTATATGCTTATTTGCCACCTGTGAACTGTCTTTTCCAATCTGGGTAGCTTATGAACATTTAAAATTGAGATTCGATTCAATCAGCTTTTTTACATACACCAAAGATAGTCAAACCTTTTCATTTTCAAACTGTTATCTTACTAAACATAGTAAATATTTTAAACTTGTGACAAAATGGTCTCTGTCACAGCCAATCAACTCTGCCATTGTAGTATGAGACCAGCCATAGACAATACATATGTTAAAAAACACAGCTGCATTCCATTAAAACTTTATTTGCAAAAATAAGAAGCTGCTCCGCAGGTTGGATTTTACCCATCCCTATTATGTGATCATGATTGTGAATAAAGAGAGTTTTACTTCTTCTTTTCAACTCAGGTAGCTTTTATTTCCTTTTCTTTCCTAACTGCACTGGCTTCAGTGCAATGCTGACTAAAATAGTGAAAGGAGACATTCCTGTATTGTTCCTGATCTTACAGGGAAAGCATTCAGTTTTTCATCATGACACATGTTAGTTGTAGGTTTATCAGAGATGCTCTTTATCATGCTGATGGCGTTCCCTTGTATTCTTTGGTTACTGAGAGGGATTTTTTTTTTTTTAAATCAGGAATGAATGTTGTATTTTATCAAATGCCTCTATCTACTGAGATGATCATATGGTTCTTCTCTTTTAGTTTTTTAATGTGGTGAATACTTATATTTTACTGTCAAACAAACCGTGTATTTAGGGATAAACCCCACTTGTTTATGATGTATTATCCTTCTAATGTATCATTGGATTTGATTTGCCAAAGCTTTATTTAGAGCGTTTTAAAAGACTATTTTTTAGAGTAGTTTAGCTTCACAGCAAAATTGAAAGTAAGGCACAGAGATTATCCCTGTACTCCCTGCCCCCACACGTGCATAGCCTCCACAATTATCAATATCCTCACCAGAGTGCTACACTTGATCTCATTGATGTTCCTGAATTGATAATCATAATCACCCAAAGTCCATAGTTTATATTAGGGTTCAGTCTCGGTGTCTTATATTCTGTGAATTTGGACAAAAGTATAAGGACATGTATTTATCACTGTAGTATTATCCAAAGTAATTTCAGAGCTTTAAAACTCCTTTGTGCTTCATCTGTTCATCTTTTCCCACCTTCCCTCCCCAACTCTTGGCAACCACTGACTTTTTTTACTGTGTCTATAGTTTTGCCTTTTCCAAAATGTCATTTAGTTGGTATCAGACAGCGTGTAGCCTTTAGACTGGCATCTTTCACTTGGTAATATGCCTTTGTGGTTCCTTCATGTCTTCTCATGGCATGATAGCTCATTATCGCATGGCTGTACCAGAAGTTGTTCACTCACCTAAAGGAGGATATCTTGGTTTCTTGAGAAACTGGTTACATTTTTACGTCCGTGTTCATGAGGGAGTTTTCTCTTTTTGTAATATCATTGTCAGATTTTGGTTCAGGGTAATGCTAGAGTGACAGAATGAGTTGTATTTCTCCTCTATTTTTTTTTTTTTTTTTGAGGGCGGGGGACAGGTCATGTAAAATTGTTATATTGCTTCTTAAATATTTGGTAGAATTCACCAGCATAGCTATCTGGGCCTGGAGTTTTCTTTCTAGGAAGGCTTTACTTATGCTTTCTTTTATAGATATAGGACAGTTCATGTTATTCCTTCTTAAATTGGACCTTGGTAATTTTTGTTTTTCAGGGAAAGTGTCCATTTTATCAAAGTTGTCATGTTTAGTCACATAAAGCTTACCTTATTATATTTCTATTCTTTTAGTATCTGTAGAATCTATAAAAATGTCATATTACTATGTTTCTGAAATTAGTAATTTGCATCTTCTTTTTTATGATCAACCTGGCTAGAGTTTTATCACTTTTATTGACCTCCTCATAGTGTGTGGTTTTATTGATTTTTTTCCTATTGTTTTTCCATTTTATTGGTTTCATCTTTGATGTTTTGGTCTGTTCGGCCTGCTATAACAAAATACCATAGACTGGGTAGCTTATAAACAACAGAAATAGATTTCTCACAAAAGTCCAAGATCTAGGTGCTGGCAGATTTGGTGTCTGGTGAGGGACCAATTCCTGGTTCATAGATCTCTTTTTTCCCCCTGTGTCCTCACATGGCAGAACAGGTGAATGAGCCCTCTGGGGTCTATATATATAAGGGCACTAATCCCACTAATGAGGGCTTGGCTCCCATGAGCTAATTACCTCCACAAAGCCCCAGCTTCTGATAACATCACCTCTGTGATTAAGTTTCAGCATATGAGTTCTGGGAGGATGCAAATGTCAGACAATACCAGATGCTTATTGTATCATTTCCTCTGCTTGCTTTGAGTTTAATTTGTTCTTCTTTTTCAGTTTCTTCTCTTTTTTTAGTTTCTTAAGATAAAAGTCAAGACCATTGACTTGAGAGTCTTCTAATATAGACATTAAGTGCTAAAAAATTTTAAGTACTGTTGTAGCTGTGTTCCACAAATCCTGATATGTAGTATTTTCATTTTCATTCAGTTCAAAATACTCTCTAATTTCTCTTTGCATCGTGTCTTTGACCTAGGGTTATTTAGATGTGTATTACTTTGTTTTAAAATATTTGAATATTTTGATGAGATATTTTGTTACTAATTTGTGACTTGATTGCCATGTGGTCAGGGAACATACTTCGTATGACTTAAATCTTTCTGACTTAATTCTTTCATTAAGATTGATTGCAGGCCGGGTGCAGTGGCTCACGCCTGTAATCCCAGCACTTTGGGAGGCTGAGGCGGATGGATCACGAGGTCAGGAGATCGAGACCATCCTGACCAATACGGTGAAACTCTGTCTCTACTAAAAATACAAAAAATTAGCAGGGCGTGGTGGCAGGCTGAAGCAGGAGAATGGCGTGAACCTGGGAGGCGGAGCTTGCAGTGAGCCGAGATCCCGCCACTGCACTCCAGCCTGGGCGACAGAGCGAGACTCCGTCTCAAAAAAAAAAAAAAAGATTGATTGCAGAACCTAGAATGTGGTCTGTTTGGTAAGTGCTCACTGGGTACTTGAGAAGCATGGTGTTGTTCAAGTGTGCTCCATTCTTGCTGATTTGCAGCTCCCTTGTTTTATCACTTATTGAGTAAGTGATATTCAAATCTCAGATGTACTTGTGAATTTGTCTATTTCATCTATTGATTTTTGCCTCATATATTTTGAAGCTGTTATTAGGTGCACAAACATTTGAGATTACACGTTCTTGATTAACTGAATTTTTTTTTTTTTTTTTTTTGGTATTTTTAGTAGAGACGGGGTTTCACCATGTTAGCCAGGATGGTCTCAATCTCCTGACCTCGTGATCCACCTGCCTCGGCCTCCCAAAGTGCTAGGATTACAGGCATGAGCCACTGCGCCCAGCCGATTAACTGAACTTTTAAAAGTCATTAGGAAATGACTGTTTATAGCTGGTAATTTTTTTTTTTTTTTTTTTGGTGTGAAATCTACTTTGGTATTAACATAGCCATTTCTTCTCAGGCTTCTTTTGTCAACTCTTAGCCTGGTATATCTTTTTCCATTCTTTTGAACAATTTATGTTTTTACATTTAAAGTGCTTTTTTTAATAGGAAGCATGGAGTAGGTTCTTGCCTTTTTATCCAGTCTGACAATCTGCCTTTTAATTGAGACTTTTAGGCCAGTTCCATTTATAATGTGCTTATTGATACAGTGAAATTTGTCTGTCATCAAGCTGTTTGATTTCCACTGGTCCCCCCAGTTCTTTGTTCTCTTCTTTTTCTGCTTTCTTCTCAATTAGTCCAGTAATTTTTATGATTTATTTTTATCTCCCTTTTATGGCTTATTAGTGATAACTATTTTTTTCTATCTTAGCAGTTGCACTACAATTTATAGTATATGATTTTAACATCACAGTCCATCTTCAAAAAATATTATGGCATATCATATATGGCATAAGAAAATTATGAATGAAAACCCAAACATTGTATGTTCTCACTTGTAAGTGGGAGCTATGCTATGAGGATGCAGGGGCATAAAAATGATACAGGTTGGGGACTTGTGGGGAAAGAGTGGGAGGGGGGTGAGGGACAAAAGACTACGGATTGGATCCAGTGTATGCTGCTTGGGTGATGGGTGCGCCAAAATCTCAGAAACCACCACTAAAGAACTTATTCATGTAACCAAGGACCACCTGTTACCCCAAAAGCTATTGAAATTTTTTAAAAAAGAAAATTGGAATAGTATACTTTCATTTCCTCTCTCCCAGCCAGATACTTCTGGATTTGTAGGATTATAGTTTTCTTTACATTTAGAAAGTTTTGGCCATTCTTTTTTTATTTTTCTGTCTCTCTTTTTCCCTCTTTGGGGACTTATTCCTCCTTGAAGTTTTCTCATAGTTCACTGATGTCTCAAATTTATGAATCTTCTCTTTGGTGATGTCTAATCTGTGTTCACTTCCATCCATTTTAGCTTTCATTCCTGACACTGTAATTTGAATCTCTACAAGTGTAGTTTGCTTTAAAGAAAAATCTTCCGGCCGGGCGCGGTGGCTCAAGCCTGTAATCCCAGCACTTTGGGAGGCCGAGGTGGGCGGATCACGAGGTCAGGAGATGGAGACCATCCTGGCTAACACGGTGAAACACCATCTCTACTAAAAATACAAAAAAAATTAGCCGGGCGCGGTGGCAGGCGCCTGTAGTCCCAGCTATTCGGGAGCCTGAGGCAGGAGAATGGCGTGAACCCGGGAGGCGGAGCTTGCAGTGAGCCGAGATCAAGCCACTGCACTCCAGCCTGGGCGACACAGCGAAGACTCCGTCTCAAAAAAAAAAAAAAAAGAGAAAAAAAAAAAAAAGAAAAATCTTCCATGCCTCTGCCTGTCTGCTTGAGCTTAATTTTAATATACAGTTGAGTTCCATATGAACAGCTTGATCTTTCTGATCTTGCTTTTATGATTTGGTCTAATTTCCTGCTCCTGAGGCAAGATCTTTGTGATGACTCTATTCATTGCCATGCGAAGTCTGAGTTTTCCCAGCATCACTCATGGGAATGGACACTCTTTTTGGCACATCGTGAACACCAGACATGTTTCTTTCCAGTGTTTTTTAGATGTTTTTTTCCCCTTGATCTGGGGCGGTTTTTCTGGCACACATGTGCTGTTTGTTACTCTGCTAGATACCCAGGAGGTATTTTTGCAAATCTTCAGTGTTCTTTCCCTGTACTCTGTCTCCTTTCCGGTGTTCTGTTTCGTGATCTCTGTCTGCCTTGGCTTTACCAGACTCTCAGCTTCATCATCTCATCTCAGGGAATCTGGTGGACTCTATGTCAGTTTTTTCTCTCTGTGCGGTAGCCTGGAAACTCCGTGAAGGCAGGGAGCTGGAGTGTTGGATGAATTTCCTTTGTTTCCTGTCTTACGGGGATCATTGTCTTCATTACCTGAAGTCCACTGCCTGGTAAATCATTGTATAATATATTTTGTCTGTTTTCTTTTTGGTTGTTTCAGGCAAGAAGGTAAATCAGTACTTGCTGTCCATTGTGGCCAGAAGCAGATTCCAGCAGAGCTTCAGCACCTGCTGTCGACTGGCAAGAATGCTTTTCTACCCCTTTGCTTAACTGCTTCCTTCTCACCCTTCATTTCTCAGTGTAGCCATCTCTTCCTCAGGGAAATCTTCCCTGGGCCCATTATAGATCAAATTCTTCTGTGTGATCATAGAACTCTGTTTTCTTACACCATATATCTGAATTTATAATTGTCATTTTTGTTGTGTTTGTTCCTCACTTCACTTAAGGCTAAATGAGAGTAGAGGTCTTATCTGTTTTATCTGCAGAGCTTAGTAGAATGTCTCCCACTTTGTAGGCACTCAGTGCATATTTGTTCAATGTATGAAGGAGACAATGTTAAAAATGCACAGTTTTTTAATACCTAAAAGTACTCATATATTTTATTTCTACCTTTTCTCCCTGACACAGATTCTGCTAGCCTACCAAGAATCCAAGACACATTTTGTTTGTGTGAACACTTACTGAAACTTAAGAATAATCACTGTGACCAACTTACAGTAAAACTTAAACAAATGGAAAATATGGTCAGTGTACTACAAAATGAGCTATCTGAAACAAAAAAGACAAAATTACAGTTAGAACTTCAAAAAATTGAATGGGAGAAAGAGCTGTACGATTTGAGGTATGATGTTCTAGTTCTAAAGAAATATTTATACTAAAGACAATATATCAGAATTTTTGTAACTGCTGACTTACCTTCTGCAGATTAATGGGGGAGAAACCTTTTTGGTCTTGTGGAATATGAAATTCTTGGAAATAATAAAACAAATTATTAACTGTGAACTCTTCTAATAAATAAATGTATATTCTTTGCAATCTAAATGGCCATATAGAAGTCCACCATATAAAATCTTGTTATTCATTTAACAAATTGTAATTTGGGTTTTAAAATTATCTTGTATTTATAATTAATGATGTAAGGAACATCTTTTATCGTTACTATTATTTGTAGATACAGGGTCTCTGTGCCTGGGACTGGAGTTCACTGGTGTGATCATATCTCCCTGCAGCCTTGAACTCCATCCTCCTGCCTCAGCGTCCTAAGTAGTTGGGACTCCAGGTGCACATTCTCATGCTTGGCTAACTTTTTAAGTGTTTTGTAGAGACGGGGTATCACTATGTTGCTCAGGATGATCTCCAATTCCCAACCTCAAGCATTCCTTCTGCAAAATTGGCCTCCCAAATCATTAGTATGACAGACATGAGCCATCATGCCCAGCCCAGAACATTTTTTATATAAATGTTTTTCTACATTCCTAAACGGTTTGCTTTGAATAAATTCTCCAATATAGAATTATTGGTTGAAATATAGGAACTTTTTAAAAAGACCTTTGATCAATATTTCTTAATTTTTCACAAGAATGTTTGTGTTAATTTATAGTTCAAGCAACAGAGCATGAACTGGTCACTTTTCTAAACCCAAAGTAATTTTCAAAAAATTTATACAGTTTTATTGTTTTTGAAAACTTTTTTTTTAATTTCATAGCTTTAGGTATACAAGTGGTTTTCGGTTAAATGGATGAATTGTATGGTGGTGAAGTCTGGGATTTTAGTGTGCCTATCACCCGAGTAGTACACATTGTACCTCAGTAGGTAGTTTCTCATCCCTCATCCTCCTCCCACACTCTCCCACTTCTGATTCTCCGATGTCCATTATACTACTCTGTCTGCATTTGTGCACCCATAGCTTAACTCCCTATTATGAGTGAGAATGTGGTTTTATTTGGCTTTCCATTCCTGAGTTAGTTCACTTAGAATAATGGCCTCCAGTCCCTTCCAAGTTGCTGCAAAAGACATTTATTTCATTCTTCTTATGGCTGAGTAGTACTCCATGACATATATATACCACATATTATTTATTCCATTCATTGGTTGATGGACCCTTAGGTTGATTCCGTATCTTCGCAATTGTGAAATGTGCTGCAATAGACATACGTTTGCAGGTGTTTTTTTTTGATATAATGATTTCTTTTCCTTTGGGTAGATACCCAGTAGGGGATTGTTGGATTGAATGGTAGCTCTATTTTAGTTGTTTGAGAAATCTGTCTACTGTTTTTCACAGAGGTTGTACTAATTTACATTTCCACCAGCAGTGTATAAGCATTTCCTTTTCACCACAGCTGCACCAACATCTATTGTTTTTTGACTTTTTAATAATGAGCATTCTGGCTGGAGTAAGGTGATATCTCCTTGTTGTTTTAGTTTGTATTTCCGTGAATATTAGTGCTGTTGAGCATTTTTAAATATGTTTGTTGGCCATTTGTGCATCTTCTTTTGAAAAATGTTTGTTCATGTCATTTGTGTACTTTTTGATGGGATTATTTGCATTTTCTTGCTGATTTGTTTGTCCTTTGTCAGATGCATAGTTTGCAAATATTTTCTCCTATTCTGTAGGTTCTCTTACTCTGATGATTATTTCTTTTGCTGTGCAGAAGCCTTTTCTTTTCTTTTCTTTTCTTTTTTTTTTGAGGCAGAGTTTCACTCTTGTTGCCCAGGCTGGAATATAATGGCGTGATCACGGCTCATGGCTACCTCTGCCTCCCGGGTTCAAGCTATTCTCCTGCCTCAGCCTCCTGAGTAGCTGTGATTAAAGGCATTGCCACCACGCCTGGCTAATTTTGTATTTTTAGTAAGACAAGGTTTCTCCATGTTGGTCAGGCTGGTCTTGAACTCCCGACCTCAGGTGATTCTCCCACCTTGGCCTCCGTGTCACTGCACTCCAGCCTGGGTGACAGAGCGAGACTCTGTCTCAAAAAAAAAAAAAAAAAAAAAAAAAAAAAAATATATATATATATATATATATATATATATATATATATATATATATATTTTGGTTTTTGGTTAAATGGATGAATTGTATGGTGGTGAACTCTGGGATTTTAGTGCGCCCATCACCTGAGTAGTACATATTGTACCTCAGTAGGTAATTTCTCATATATATATATATATATATATATATATATATATATATGTACATTTTTTTTTTTTTTTGGTAGAGATGAGGTCTCATTATGTTGCCCAGGCTGGTCTCAAACTTCTGGGCTCAAGTCATTCTCCTGCCTTGGCCTCCCAAAGTACCGGGATTACAGATGTGAGCCACATGTTAGGCCTAATCCATCTTGAGTTAATTTTTATATATGGTGAGAGATAGGGATCCAGTTTCATTCTTCTACATGTGGCTATTCAATTTTCCCAACACCATTTATTGAATAGGGTGTTCTTTGCCCAGTTTATGTCTTTGTACGCTTTGTGAAAGGTCAGTTGGTTATACATATTTGGCTTTATTTCTAGGTTCTCTATTCTGTTCCATTGGTCTACGTATGTACTTTTATACAAGTACCATGCTGTTTTGGTTACTTTAGCCTTGTCATATGGTTTTAGATCTGGTAATGTGATGTCTCTGGCTTCGTTCTTTTTGCTTGGGATTGCTTTGGCTATTCAGGCTCGTTTTTGATTCCCTGTGAATTTTAGGGGTACTTTCTCTAATTCTGTGAAGAATGACAGTGGTATGTTAATAGGAATTGCATGGAATCTGTAGATTGCTTTGGTTAATATGATCATTTTCACTATATTGATTCTTCTAATCTATGAACATAGGGCATATTTCCATTTGTTTGTGTCATCTATGATTTCCTTCAGCAGTGCTTTCTAATTCTCCTTTTAGAGATCTTTCACCTCCTTGGTTAAGTATATTCCTAGGTTTTTGTTGTTGTTGTTGTTGTTGCAGCTGTTGTAAAAGGGATTAGGTTCTTGATTAGATTCTCACCTTGGTCATTCTTGATGTTTACTAGTGCTCCTGATTTGTGTACATTGATTTTGTAACATGAGACTTTTACTGATTTCATTGATTAAATCTAGGAGTCTTTAGGGTTTTCTAAGCTAAAACAGAGATAGTTTGACTTTGTCTTTTCCAATTTGGATGCCCTTTATTTCTCTTACCTGATTGCTCTGGCTAGGACTTCCCAGTTTTATTCTAAATATGCACGAACTAAGTAAAATGGACAGTAATTGATGATTATTTTATTACATATCTCTCATATGCAGATAAAATTAATTCCAAACTCATTGTTGAAACACATATTATCCTTTACTTTTAAATTAAATATTAGATCCTGTCTTGTTCCAAAAAGGGATTTTAAAATTGGTGATGAAATACTTAAGAATCAAGAAGATAAGTTGAAAGTGTTACCCAGAAGAGAAACATAAAAAGGATGGGGTAACAGTTATAGACAGCTTAGCCTAGTCTTGGATTGTAGTAATCTGCAGATACATGGTGTGTGAATGACATCTGAAGGTGTTATCTTACACTGTAAATCATTTTTATGACTACACATACACTATTTCATGAAGATGAAAATGCATTTCTAGTGAATTTCTAAACTTGTTTGTAAACAGTAACTTCTTTTAAATTAACTCTAAATGATCTAATTAATTTTCAACTTGCATAACGTGAAAAAGAAGTAATTTTCAACTTGTAACTTTACTGAAAAATTTCAAATATGCTTTTCCATAATATTTACCAGGGTTACTAGTAACAGAAACTTACCAGTTAATGGAATATTTCTTTCCTCACTACCTCTCAAATATATATGTCCCTTGGAAGAGATCAAAGTGAGAAATTAAAAACATGAGAACTAGAAAGGAAACAAGAGCATAGGAGTTTTTATGAGGATAATAAACCCACATGGGAAGAGCCAGATCACAGAATAAACTTTTTTATTTTTTAACAAAACACATTTTAATGTAATCCATGTTTAACTGCAGACTTGCCTTAAAACAAGAAAATGGGAGAAAAGAAATGCCGATATGTTGTATAATAAAGATAGTGAACAGTTAAGAATAAAAGAAGAGGAGTGTGGGAAAGTGGTTGAAACAAAGCAACAACTTAAATGGAATCTGAGAAGACTTGTTAAGGAATTGAGGACAGTAAGAAATAACTTGGATCTGGTAAATTAATCTTTGGTGTAAACTTCATTTTTCTAACTTTATGTTTCATCGGTATTACTTATAATTTTTTGCCTTCATGTATATCATTTAGGTTTAAAATAAACCAAAACTGTTATTTCCTCTTAAGAATGAACTATGACATTTATAGATAAAATTATTTACTGTAAACCTTGTCATCTAATAGATGCTCAGTCTGTGTTTTTAGAGTGGAGGATAAGTTGAGTTTAATCACTAATATAGCTGTTCATTTACACATTTTTTATGTTAAAATACAGGCTAAATAGCTTTGAAACTATAAGGACACTAGTTAAATGTTTTGAAAGAAATTTTATTTCACAATGCTGTATCTTCCTGTAGTTAAGAACTGTTTTTCCTCTTTGACAGATTGAGCTGTCATGTATGCAATTAAGATTTGAGTGATTCTTGAGGGATAAAAGTTCTTGTGTTTTAACAGGCTACTTCTTTTTAACCGTTTTATAAGAGAGGCTCTGCTCTTAACCTTTTAGATTTTCTTTTTCAGTGCTATTAGACCAAAACCTCCATGTTATCTCTAGGTTGTGCAGGAGAGAAACGATGCCCAGAAGCAACTTTCTGAAGAACAGGATGCCAGAATATTACAAGATCAGATTCTGACAAGTAAACAAAAGGAACTAGAAATGGCTCAAAAGAAAATGAATTCTGAGGTATTTTCTTTAGTCATTTTCAAATATATTTTTGTATGTGAATATATTTTTAAGAAACAACTCTGTGCAACTTGGAAAGTACAATGGATTTTTTAACTACACACACACACACACACACACACACACACACACACACATATACATTTGGGGGTGGTGATGGTGGTTCTGGCATTTTTGGCTCATTGAATAAAGTCATGTTCTTAATTCAACTCCATTTGTTTGCAAGAGTCAAGTAGTGACATTCACAATGGCCTTATCCAAAGGAGAAACATTTGTTATTTTTCATAGAATTAATGATCTTTCCACAATCTCAAAATCCTTGCTACTAACAACAGACGTTCTAGTTTTCAGACATTATTTCATTTTCCTAATATATTAATGGAGAGGTTAGATTATTATTTCCACTTGCAGTAAGGATGAAATGTATAGCCAGTTCAGAGGCCGTACTTCAGATGCCGTTTCCCTTACTTTTGAGGAGAGTAACAGTTTGCTCCAAGTAGCGTCTCATTTCAGTGCAAAGAGCTTTGAAAACAATGATATGCCATAATATAAACTTGGTGATAATTTATTGGTAAGTGTTTTTTCTTAGAAAAATAGTTCAGTGTGTGGGAGACTGAGGCGGGTGGATCACGAGGTCAGGAGATCAAGACCATCCTGGCTAACGCGGTGAAACCCCATCTCTACTAAAAATACAAAAAAAATTAGCCAGGCGTGGTGGCGGGAACCTGTAGTCCCAGCTACTCGGGAGGCTGAGGCAGGAGAATGGCGTGAACCCTGGGTGGCGGAGCTTGCAGGCAGCCAAAATTGGGCCACTGCCCTCCAGCCTGGGTAACAGTGTGAGACTCCGTCTCAAAAAAAAAAAAAAAAAAAGAAAAGAAAAATAGTTCAGTGTATTTCACCCTGTTTCATGCTTATTTCTGTTTCAGACATTATAAAGAGGAAACTTAAGTTATTGTAATAACAGATAATCTCATGATTTTCTAAGAAAAGCTCTGTAACTTCTTTTTTTACCACTGGTGTTTTGAAATAAGCCTCTTTTATATTTATATATACACAACACAGAAGTAATTGTGGTTTGGTGGAAGAGCACTAGAAGTAAAGTAAGGGGACCTAGGGAAAATCCTGCAACTTGCATATTTTTTGACCTCTCCTTTCAGAATTGTGATATAAATGAGTTCAGTGATACATGTACAAGTGCTTGGTACAAGGCCAGGTGCAGCGGCTCACGCCTGTAATCCCAGCACTTTGGGAGGCCGAGGTGGGTGGATCACTTGAGCCCAGGAGTTCCAGACCAGCCTGGGCAGCATGGCGAAACCCCATCTCTACAAAAAGTACAAATAAATTTAGCTGCGTGTGGGGGTGTGTGCCTCTAGTTCAGCTACCCAGGAGGCTGAAGTGGGAGGATCACCTGAGCCCAGGAGGCCAAGGCTACAGTGAGTCTTGATTGCGTCACTGCCCTCTAACCTGAGTGATGGAGTGGAGACCCTATCTCGAAAAAAAAAAAAAAAGCCTAATATAATGCTTAGATTTAGCATTTATGAATAAATGTAATTCTTATATAACTGATGATAAAAATGTTAGAAAAATAAATAGCTATAGAATATTCTCAGGAAAAAAAGAACTTCAAGAACGTTGGAACATTTCCTCTGTCCAGATATATGCAAAGCTACAGCTTTTACTATAGGGTGGTGTATAGGTTAGATGTCAGAGTGTAAAGCCAATTTTTTAATGTAGTCAAATTTATTAGTCTTTAATGCCTTTGAGTTTGTTGTAATTTGGAGACCGTCTTTTCCAATTCTGAGATGCTTAAAATTTCTCTAGTTATTTATGTTCTACATTCATGGATTCATTGTCTTCAAATAAACTTATGAAGTTTTGGGAATTTATGCTCTATGAGGTTTGAAGTTTCGATAGAATATTTTTTTCCAGTTGGATATCCACTTATGGCAATCTTTTCATTGTATACATGTATAGGTTATTTAATTTCAGAGAAAATCATAATCTGTCATTTTATTGAGTGCTACTGAATGTTTCCTTTCTCACTTAGATTTCTCATAGGCATCAGAAAGAAAAGCATCTCTTTCATGAAAATTGCATGTTGCAGGAAGAAATTGCCTTGCTGAGACTGGAAATAGATACAATAAAAAATCAGAACAAGCAAAAGGAAAAGAAATATTTTGAGGACATTGAGGCTGTGAAAGAAAAGAATGATAACCTTCAAAAAATTATAAAACTAAATGAGGAAACATTAACAGAAACAATACTCCAGTACAGTGGACAGCTGAACAATCTGACAGCTGAGAACAAAATACTCAATTCTGAACTGGAGAATGGGAAACAGAACCAAGAAAGACTAGAAATAGAAATGGAATCATACCGTTGTAGACTGGCTGCTGCTGTACGTGACTGTGATCAAAGTCAGACAGCAAGAGACCTAAAACTTGATTTCCAGAGAACAAGACAAGAGTGGGTTCGTTTACATGACAAAATGAAGGTTGATATGTCTGGCCTACAAGCTAAGAATGAGATTCTTTCTGAAAAACTTTCTAATGCTGAAAGTAAAATTAACAGCCTACAAATTCAGCTCCATAACACAAGAGATGCTCTTGGAAGAGAGAGTTTGATTTTGGAACGTGTGCAAAGAGACCTCAGCCAAACACAGTGTCAGAAGAAAGAAACTGAACAAATGTACCAAATTGAACAAAGCAAACTGAAGAAATACATTGCCAAGCAGGAATCTGTAGAGGAGAGATTATCTCAACTACAAAGTGAAAATACGTTGCTTCGACAGCAACTGGATGATGCTCACAAGAAAGCTAACAGTCAAGAAAAGACAAGCAGTACTATCCAAGACCAGTTTCATTCTGCTGCCAAAAATCTTCAAGCTGAGAGTGAAAAGCAGATTCTTTCACTACAAGAGAAGAACAAGGAGCTGATGGATGAATATAATCATTTAAAAGAAAGAATGGATCAATGTGAGAAAGAGAAAGCAGGAAGAAAAGTAAGTATTAAGAAAGATAAAATATTTTTCAACCTTCCTGAAAGAAAATGTAAAGTAATATTTGGTTATGGCTAAATGTTGTATCTAGTTGAATATAAAATGTATAGATCATAAATGTATTTGCTGTATCAGCCTAGAAATGTACCAGTGAAAAAGAAGTTAAACCTGAAAGATGCTTTACTTTGCATAAAGAAATTGTGTCACCTATGAAATTTCAAGTTCAGTTACAGTGTTAATAGGTACAGACTAATACTCATGATGTAGTCTTATGCTGCTGAAATGATCATTGCAATGCCTTTATGTGGCCATGTTTTAATACCATGATGAAGCAGATAAACAGAAATGCTCATACCTGACATGAGTATTTTGAAATTAAGATTCAGTGGGGAGGGTTGCTTTGACCGTTAATTCCAGATTTCCCAGGTGAACTGAAGTATACTGCTGTATCTCATAATACTTTTCCTTCAGTAATTTTGTAATGTATTTAAGTTGGTATAATTTTATTTTTATTCATATCAATTTGTCTTAAATCTGAGACGATTTCAGTCTCAAATTACTTGTTATGACCTCTCAATTCTTTAAAGGCATTTACTTTTTTTTTTTTTTTTTTTTGAGATGGAATCTTGCTCTGTAAGTTTTGTATTTTTAGTAGAGACGGAGTTTTGCCATGTTGGCAAGGCTGGTCTCGAACTCCTGACCTCAGGTGATCCGCCCGCCTTGGCCTCCCAAAGTGCTGGGATTAGAGGCGTGAGCCACTGTGCCCGGCCTAAAGGCATTTACTTTTTATTAAATCATAATTTGGGACAGATGTGAATTTCAGCAAAGCCATGTTACATTTAATCTTACCACTGGTATTTATAATTTACTTTGAATGTTTTTACAAAGAATTTGCTCATAATTTTCATTTCAAGGCTCACTGCCTATCATTCGGATATAACTTTGATAGTACAAAGGTAACTGTGGCTATCTGTGATTTATTTGTTTGGCATTGAGTCCCATTTTCAAACTAATCAGAAGTGGCAGGATTCACATATAGCAGGAATGGACTGAATCGGTGAGACAGTTGTAGGAGCTGAGATCAGGAGGGAGGTAGAGGCCAGGTTACCTAGGGCCTCAAAGGCCATTGGAATTTTACTTGTATTGTGAGATAGGAATCTTTTAGAAGGATCTGAGCAGGCAATTGAATATGCAAGGAACTCTGAGGTTGATTTGAGCTTCTAATAAAAAACAGGGAAAACATTTTACCAGTGTGGGATGTACCACCAGCAGCCCCACCCACGTATCAAATTCTTTTTGAGACTTCAGTAGGTTGTTAAGCACTGCAGATGTTTCAGGGAAGAGTGAGTAGTGGGCTGAATCTATTGCCTAAGTTAACAGAAAACCGATTTGGCAGGAAGATAACACCTTCTTTGTCCTTAACTAAATTCAGTAATAAACAAGAATGTGTGCACATGAGGAAAAGAAGGCGAATCATATATGTGTTGATGTTTTTCAAAGTATATGAGTTAGAGTTAAATCTTACTACCATAATTTAATAATAAGGTGATTTATAAATCAGTAACAAAAAATACCTTCACAGGTAGTTATGAGAGAATTCCAACAAGAATGGACCGATCTCCTAAAACAACAACCTACGTCAGAGGCTACCTCACGTTGTCACATTAATTTAGATGAGACACAGGATTCAAAGAAGAAATTGGGTCAAATCAGAAATGAAGTTTGTATGAAACATAACATGTCAACAGTTAATCTATAGGTGGTGAAATAATGTCAGATGTTTTAGGATACTGATTGCAGTGGATAGCTTTCTTTTGTATTTTTATTATAATTCATTTTATTACAATTTAATTATCTTTATAATACACTTGTTTCTTAACCTCTGGCTTTCATTCTGTCCTTTTCTCCTCATAAGTACATACATTTTAAAAATAAGGATCATTTCCAAAGATCCTTAGGAAAATTGGGAATTATTCAGTATTCCTCACAGAAGTTGAGAGGCTTTTTTTTTTCCTGTGAAGTAGTATTTTTTTAGTGATTTCTCTATTGCCATGGTGAGGCAAGCCAGATTAAATTATAGGATAATGTTTAATAGAATGTTCCAGAAAATTGTCTTATTTCTTATCTTTACTTTTGTGAATGGGTACAGAATCTGTGTATATTTATTTCATGAATTTCAGGATAACTGGTACAGAAAGGCCATAGTACTGTTCTCCAAAATGCAAATGTTTTAATTTACAAACTACTTGAAATGTTAGTTACTTCCTTTATTTTCCTTTCATTTTAAATATATTGTGCTTTTTTACAAATCATGTACAGTATGTACATCCAAAGTAGAGAATTAAGAGATATATCTAGATTCTACCACTGAATTTTTAAAAACAAGTTTACTGAGAGAGAATTCTCATACCATACAGTTTACCCATTGAACGTGTACAATTCATGGTCTCTTAATATATTCACAGAGTTGCATAACCATCACCATCATCAATTGTAGGACATTTTCATGACCCTGACAAGAATCAGCAATCTATTTTGTTTCCATAGATCAGCCCATTCTGGACACCACGTATCAATTGGATCACACAATGTGTGGTGGTCTTTTGTGACTGGCTTCTTCTACTTAGCATAACATTTTTAAGGTTCATTGTGTTGTAACATGTATCAGTATTTAATTTCATCTTATTGCTGAGTAATTTTCCACTGTATGGACATACCACTAATTTATTTAGCCATTCATCAGTTGATGGACCTTTGGGTTGTTTCCATGTTTTGGCTATTATTAATCATGCTGCTGTGAACTTTTATTTACAAGTTTTTGTGTTTGTATATGTATTCCTTTCTCTTGGGTATATACATATGAGTTGAATTTCTGGGTCATATGGTAACACTATGCTTAACCTTTTGAGGAACTGCCAGTCTGCTTTCCAAAGTGGTTGCACCATTTTACGTTCCCATCAGCATTGTATGAGGGTTCTAATTTCTCCACATCCTTGCCAACATTTTTCATATTTTTGATTGAAAAAGGATTCCAACCTAGAGGTATGAAGTGGTACCTCATTGTGGTTTTGATTCACATTTCCCTAATGATGAATGACTTTAAGCCTCTTTTTATGTGCTTATGAGCCACTTGTATATCTTCTTTGGAGAAATATCTGTTCAAATCTTTTGCCCACATTAAAATTGGGTTGTCCTAAATTTCTGAATTTTAAGAGTTCTTTATATACCCTAGGTGTAAGTCCCTTATCAGATATGTTTCCAAATATTTTCAATGGCTTTCCTTTTTATTTTCTTTTTTATGATTTATTATGTTTTTAAAATTTATATAATTTTAAATTGTAGAGAGAAGGTCTCACTATGTTGTCCAGGCTGGTTTTGAACTCCTGAGCTCAAGCAATCCTCCCACCTCGGCCTCCCAAGTGTTGGGATTATAGGTGTAAGCCACCATGCCCAGCCTCCTTTTCACTTTCTTGATGGTCTCTGTTCAAGCACAGAAGTTTCACATTTTGATGAAGTCCAGTTAATTTTTTTTTGTTTGTTTTGCGGTCACAAAGATTTATGGCTATGTTTTCTTCTAGGAATTTTATAGTTTTAGTTCTTACATTTAGCGGTTCTATTTTGTTACTTTTAGGTATGACATTTGGTGAAGTCCACCTTTATTCTTTTGCATGTGGATATACCGTTTTCCCAGAACCATTTGTTGAAAAATCTATTCATTTCTCATTTAATTTTTTTTACACCCTTGTTGAAAATCAGTTGACCATAAAAGTGTGTGTTTGTTTTTGGATTCTCAGTTCTAATATATTGAGCTATGTCTATCCTTATGCCAGTAGCAAATCACATTTTAGGAAAATTCATTTTCAGTCCTGTTGCTTATTACCAGTTGTCTTATGTAAGAATAGAAATTCAAGTAGTAGAATGTCTTTAATTTCACTTTTTGCTTCTTGAAGGAGTGTATGGCCAGCTTATGCCTTGCTGACTCCATGACATGATGAGAGTCAGGCTTATGAAGACAGATCCCATTAATTTTTTTTCTCCAGTCATACCTTTTGTCTCTCACCCAGTGCCTCTCTCTTCATTCCCATTTCCATCAAATCTTGGTCACAGGATATGCTGACTCCTACTATTTACTGCATTATGTTTTTATTAACTCATTGTAAGTCATAGAGTCATGTGTAGATTTTAACTATCTATGAAGGGCAAGATTAAGTCTAGGCTGTCCTCTTTCCTCATTGGAAATTGAGCTAATTCATCATGTTGCAGTTTACAGTTAGATACTCTTTTGACCCAGCACCTGGTTCTCTTGTACACTCCCGGAGCTGAATCCTCTTCTTGGCACAGATACTACATTCTCAGAAACCAGAGTTCCCTGCATTTACCTCTTTTTGCTTAAATAGAGATGCATAGCTATGCTTTTATAGTTCAATACATAATTCATTGAATAAATACTTCAACCCATTCAAAGAACAACTTCCAGGAGTGCAGCAACTGGAAATCAGGTCATGTCCAGGCATTTATCAGAAACAAATGGTTGAATTAGTTGTATGAATTTCAAAATTTCAGAGCCAATTTGTATGATATGGAGAAGCATTTTGATACAACATAAAGATGAGATGCTCTTCCCTTCTCCATACAAATGAGCTTGAAGTAAGGTAAAGGGGAAATTGCATTTAATAGCTTAACACTCAAAGGACACTACATTTTTACTTCTGAGATTGTTAAAACTGATTCCATAATATTTTGTTAATTTTCTCACTGAGGAAATGGAAATGAAGATTGAATCCTAGATTGATTAATAAATATCCAAAGCTGCTTATCACTTTTAGAATTTCAGTTCATTGAAATCAGGTACAATGTCTGATTTTTGGTAATTAATCAAATATTTCTGGTTTTTTCAACTTTATACTTCAAATTATATATCTCCTTCCTTCTTCATCTTCCTTATTTCATAACTCGGGGGACAAATTCTAAAAGCCTCACTGGCTTAGTCATCAGAATTTGTAATCGAAAGGAACTTTTTCTAAACTTCCTCTGCAGTAGTTCTTACATCCTTCTCCTGGTTGTCTGCTGCTTCCCATTAGAGTTGTTTGTCATTAATAAATTAACCTCAACATTTTTTAGATCTTACTTTAAAGGAGACTAATTTCTACTGGTATGTTATTCTATTTCTTGTTGTCTCCTTGTTTAAATTTATTTTTCTGGTTATTTTTTCCTAACAAATTACCCAAAGTTGAGTGGCTAAGAACAACATTCGTTTAGTTCACCAATCTGTGGCTTGGGAAAACCTTGGCTGGGGCAGCTTGCCCAGATATCTACATTGGAACTCCTAGGCTCTCTTTGTGGCCTAAGCTTCCTCACAGCATGGGGGCTGGGGTCCATGGGTGAGCAGTCTGCGGTAGAGAGCCTCTTCTAACTTAATGTTGGAAGCCACATGGTTATCACTTTTAACACTTTCTGTTCATTAGAAGCAAGTCACTAAGTTTCACCCATAGTCTGTATATAGGATGAATGATTTTGCTTTTATTTTTATTGATGTATTTTTTTTTTAGACATGGTGTCTTATTATGTTACCCAGGCCGGCCTTGACCTCCATGGCTCAAGAATTCTTCCTGCCTCTGCCTTCCAAGTAGCTGAGACCACAGGAATGTGACACCACACCTGGCTTCTTTTGATTTTTTGTGGACCTGTATAATTGTACATATTTATGGTATACACAGTGATATTTTGATATGTGTAAACAATGTATAATGGTCAAATCAGGCTAATTAATATATTCCATCACCTCAAACATTTACCATTTGTGTTGTGAACTTTCAAAATCCTCTCCTCTAGCTTTTTAAATATTAGCTAGCCAAACCAGGTGTAGTGGCACACACCTGTAATCCCAGCTGTTTGGGAGGCTGAGGCAGGAGAATGGCTTGAACCCCCGAGGCAGAGATTGCAGTGAGCTGAGATTGCACCACTGCACGCCAAGCCTGGGTGACAGAGCAAGACTCCGTCTCAAAAAAAAAAAAAATATTAGTTAACCATATTCACCCTACAATGCAACAGAACACTAGAATTCATTCCTCCTATGTAACTGTAATCTTGTATCCATTAACCAGCCTCTCCCCATCTTCTACTCCCCTTTACCTTTCTCAGTCTCAGCCTCTAATACCCACAGTTCTACTCTCTACTTCCGTGAACGTTTTTTTAAATTTTAGCTCCCACATGAGTGAAAACATACAGTAGTTATTTTTCTGTGCTTGAATTATTTCACTTAGTGTCACTTAATGTCCTCATCCATGCTGTAAATGACATGATTTTATTCTTTTTTTATGGCTGAATAGTATTCCACTGTGGACATATACCACATTTTCTTTACTCATCAACCACATTGATCTGTTGATGAACATTTAGGTTGATTCTGTATCTTGGTTGTTGTGAATAGTGCTGCAATCAACATGGGAATACTGGTATCCCTTTGATATGCTGATTTTCTTTCTTTTGGATAAATACTTAGTAGTGGGATTGTTGGATCATATGACACTTCTATTTTTAGCTTTTTTTTTTTTTTTTAACTTGAAACACAAACGCTTTATTTAAAGGAGCATCTCAATTCCGTGTGGCGGACCAAAAAAAAGGAGCAGACTGTGACAGACCATTCCCATCGGCCAAGTGGTCGAACCCCACATCCAAGACCCAGCGAGCAGCCAAGCTCAGCGCAACCTCCGGGCTTCTCGCTCTGACTCCAAAAGGGTGAGCACGTCGCCCTCGCGCACGGGGCCTTTTACATTGCGGATGATGGATCGGCTCGTGTCGTCCATGAATTCCACGCGCACCTGCGTGCACTGTCCCTGAGAGCCGGTCCTGCCCAGGACCTTGGTGACCCTGGCCAGCTTGATAGGCTGCACACGGCTGGTGTCCAAGATGGCGGCGCGGCGGCGATCTGGCGGAGAGCTATTTTTAGCTTTTTAAGAAACTTCCATGGTTTTACTAGTTTACATTCCCTCCACGAGTGCATAAGAGTTTTCTTTTTCTTTCCAACCTCGCCAGGATTTTTTACTTCTGGTTTTTTTGTTTTTTGTTTTTTGATTTTTTTGATGGTAGCCATTCTGTGGTGAGACGATATCTTATTTAGGATTTTGTTTTCATTTTCCTGTTAGTGATGTTGAGTACTTTTCCATACATTTGTGGACATTCGTATGTCTTCTTTTTAGAAATGTCTATTTAAATTCTTTGTCCACATTTCAGGGGGGATTATTAACAATTTTTACTGTTGAGTTGTTTGAGTTCCTGGCATATTCTAGATATTAGACCTTTCTCAGATGAATAGATTTGTAAATATTTTCTCCCAGTCTACAATTGTTGGTTGTTTGCTTCACTTTGTTGATTGTTTCCTTTGCTGTGAAGAAACCTAATTTTAATATAGCTTTACTTATGTATTTTTGTTTTTATACCTGTGCTTTTTTTTGCATATGCCCGTGATAACTTAGCTATAAAATCTTTGCCTTGACCAATGTCCTGAAGCATTTTCCATATATTTTCTTGTAGTAGTTTTATAATTTTGGATCTCATGTTTAAGTCTTTAATCTATTTTGAGTTGATTTTTGTATATGGTGAAAGATAGGGACCTGGTTTCATTCTTCTTTTTACAGATACCCACTTTTCCCAGCCCCATTTGTTGAAGAGAGGGTTCTTTCCCCAATGTATGTTTTTGATACTTTTGTTGAAAATCAGGTGTCTGTAAATATGTGGATTTATTTCTGCGTTCTCTATTCTGTTCCATTGGTTTAATTTTCTATTTTTATACCAAGACCTTGCTCTTTTGGTTACTGTAACCTTGTAATATATTTTGAAGTCAGGTGGAGTGATGCCTCCAGCTCTGTTCTTTTCCCTCAGGCTTGGCTTGTATAGTCTAGCTTTTTTGCAGTTCCATATGAATTTTAGGATTGTTTTTTCCATTTCTGTGAAGAATGTTATTGGTGTTTTTTTATTGCAAGTTAAAAAGGGCATTTTATTTTTATCTTATTCTTTCTCTTTCTTAACTTTCAGATTCAGGGAGTACATGTGCAGGTTTGTTACACAGGTATATTGCATAATGCTTAGGTTTAGGGTGCAGTTGAACCTGGCACCCAGGTAATGAGCATAGTACCTGGCATGTCATTTTTCAACCGTTGTCCAACCCAGTTCCCCTTCTTATAGTCCCCACTGTCTATTGCTCCCATCTTTATGTCCATGTGTACCCAGTGTTTAGCTCCCACTTACAAGTGAGAACATGTAGTATTTGGTTTTCTGTTTCTGCATCAGTTTGCTTAGGATAATGGCCTCCAGCTGCATCGATGTTGCTGCAAAGGGCAGTATTTTGTTCTTTTTATAGTTGCATAGTATTCCATATTGTATATGTGCTGCATTTTCTTAATCCAGTGCATCATTGATGAGCTTCTGGTTTTAGTCCATATCTTTGCTATTGTGAATAGTGCTGCAGTGAACATTGGGTGCATGTGTCTTTTTGGTAGAATGATTTTTTGGTGGTGGGAAGTGGATATTTAACCAACTAATGGGATTGCTGGGTTGAATGGCAGTTCTACTTTTAGTTCCGTGAGAGAAACCTCCAAACTGCTTTCCACAGTGGCTGAACGAATTTACCATTTTCTCCAATAGTGTATTAGAATTCCCTTTTCGCTGTAGCAGCTCTGCCAAAATCTGGGTTGTTGTTGCTTATTTTTTGACTTTTTAGTAATAGCCATTATGTCTGGTGTGAGATGGTATGTCATTGTGGCTTTGATTTGCTTTTCTCTGATGATCAGTGATGATGAGCATTTTTTCATATGTTTGCTCTCCACTTTTATGTCTTTTTTTGAGAAGTGTCTGTTAATGTATTTTGCCCGCTTTTATATATTTTTTTAAATTCTTGTTTGTTGATTTAAGTTCCTTATAGGTTCTGGATAGTAGAACTTTGTTCAATGCATAGCTTGTAAATACATTCTTTCATTGTTTAGGTTGCCTATTTAGTCTCTTGAATGGTTCCTTTTCCTATGCAGAAGCTCCTTTGTTTAACTAGGTCCCAATTTTTCATTTTGACTTTTGTTGCAATTGCTTTTGAGGGCTTATTCATAAATTACTTTCAGAGGCTGATTTCTAATAGTGCATTTCTTAGGTTTTCTTGTAGGATTTTTATAGTTAGAGGTCTTACTTTTAAGAATGTAATTCAGCTTTCATTAATTTTTGTATGTTGTTATAGCTAGGGGTCAAGTTTCATTCTTCTGTGTATGGATAACCAGTCATCCCAGCACCATTTATTGAATAGGGAGTCCTTTCCCCATTGCATATTTGTGTCGGCTTTGTCAAAGACCCAGTGGTTGTAGGCATGTGGCTTTATTTCTGGGCTCTCTGTTCTGTTCCATTGGTCTATGTGTCTGTTTTTGTGCCAGTACCGTGCTGATTTGTTTAGTGTAGCATTTGTTTACTGTAGTATAGTTTGAAGTTGGGTAATGTGATGCATCAGGCTTGGTTCTCTTTGCTTAGGATGGCTCTGGGTGTTTGGGCTCTTTTCTGGTTCCATATGAAATTTTAGAATAGTTTTTTCTAATGCTGTGAAAAATGACGTTAGTAGTTTGATAGGAATGGTATTGAATCTGTAGATTGCTTTGGGCAGTATGGCCTTTTTTTTTTTTTTTTTTTTTTTTTGACTTAGTTCTTTTCCTTTTAATAGCAACCTAGCACCTCTGAGAATCAGAAAGATAGGGGAGGGCGCTTGGAGCACCAGCTGCACCAACGCTGGCAGGATGAAAATATTTATGCACCAATGAGGCACTAGCTGCTTTCAGAGACCTCCTTTGAACTGTTAATCAAGCCCAATCTTTCAGAATAATAGCCTGATTATTACCGCCCTGTTTGCATAACAAAGAAGCCCAATAAGACTTACTTTGCAGTGCACGAGGAGGTGTGAAGGATCGACCCTTAGAAAGGAGTCCTAGGAATGCAGTGAGCCGCTGCAGAGCCTGAACCCAGGAATAAAGACAATGCAATTTGCCACCAAGAAAAGCTCAACAGACCAATAAATTACCCGCGTGCAAAGGGATTAGATCAGGTTTCAGTTACTGTGTAGGAGGGGTGGGGTGAGCCGGAGAGGGAAAAGACCTGCCCTCTCTTAAAGGGGTAAGGCTCATTTTGAGTGCAAGCCCCAGGGTCAAGCTGTTTTTGTCCAACTCTGTGGCCTGCGTGGGAACTGCCTGAGTTCAGTTACTTGCTCCAAGTTCTGGACCCTTCTATGTGCCGGGCACTGTGATTAATGCTGTTTCTGGAACAAACCCCAGTTAATCTCTGCGCTCAGGTATGGTCAATCACAGAAACTTCTAGAATACAAAGCAAACATGTTTCATCTCAACACTTAACAGCAACAAAGGTTTAAGAATGGAAGTACGAGAAGGTATCAGGGAAGTAGCATTTCAACGAAGTCCTGAATTTGACGGGTGATGAAGGGCAAAGATCTGACGACAGGGACCTCCAGAACAACTGAGCTTGGCAGGAGGTGACATGCTGGCTGGTCAGAGTGTAGCCAGGAGTTTGGGGCCAGACACGGAAACCTAGAGTGCCACCTGTGCCCATTAGGAAGCAAATGTCGCTCAGCTTCAAACCACTTTGCTCTCTGGTGCAGGGATTCTGCAAACCCCATCTCTTTCGTCTCTGGGTTCCCTGTTAAATTTCCCCACAAGGGGACACTAGATGGAGAAGGGAAGGTGGGAGGCAGGAGACAGGTTTACCTGCCATCCCCAAGGCTGTTTCTCCCACCACTTACCAGCAGCGGCCCTTCTTCCCCATCAGAGACCCGGGCCCTCCTCCAAACCTGCCTTCCTTCTGTCCCTCTGGCTGCAGGGGTGGAAGCTGCTTCTGCCACTCTCTGTCCCAGCGGTCTCTCTTTGCCCTTTCAGTCTTCCCACGCCCATAACAATGCCCTACACGAAGTTCCCTCTGCGGAAACATCCCAGGTGGGTTTCGCTTTTCTGATTGGACCCTGGCACGCCAGCCTAAGGATTTCTGCCTTTTTCCAATAGATGGCAGGGAGCCCCTGAAGCATTTTCAGTGAGCACCCAGGGCGTGATCAGAACACTATTTTAGGAAGCAGTGTAACTGAAGAGGCGATGGCTTCAATTAGGATGGAGGCAGGCGGAGGGAAGGGAGGGAGAGCAGCTTAAAAAAGAAATCACTGCCAGCGCCTGTGGAGACACTAGCCTTGAAGCCTCAGACCTCCCATGTCCCCTTCCTCACTGTCCACCTAGCCTGAGCGGCAGATGCTGAGTTGCCCTTCTTAGCCACATGGTATGTCCCCCGTTCAAAGGAGGTGGAGGAGGGAGCACTGAGCCAGGGGGCTGGCCAGCTCACACCCAGTGAGACTCACGCTGCCACCCCTCCCCACCCTCTCCTGTCCTTTGTGCCTCAGTGCTGGATCTCACAGGGGACAGGAACAGACGGACCACCCATATGTGGCAAACTCTGGAGTATGGCCATTTTAATGCGATTGATTTTTCCAATTCATGAGCATGGAATGTTTTGCCATTTTTTTGGTGTCATCTATTTGGTGTCATGATTTTTTTTCAGCAGTGTTTTGTAGTTCTCCTTGTAACCACCTTTCATCTCTGTAGTTAGATGCATTCCTAAGTATTTTGCTTTTTTGTGTGTGGCTATTATAAATTGGATTACATTCTTGATTTGTCTCTCAGCTTGAACTTTATTGGTATATAGAAATGCTATGGATATTTTTACATTGATTTTTGTGTCCTGACTGAAGTCATTTATCAGTTCCAGGATAAATTGGCAAACTCTTTAGAGTTTTTTAGGTACAGAATCATATCATCAGCAAAGAGAGATAGTTTGGCTTCTTTTCCTTTTTGGATGGCTTTTCTTTCTTTCTTTTTCCTGATTGCTCTGGCTAGGAGTTCCAGTACTATGTTGAATACATACGGTGAGAGTGGGCATCTTTGTCTTGTTCCAGTTGGCAAGGGGAATGCTTCCAACTGTTTTTGTTCTTTTTTCTTTAATTTTTTTCTTTACTACTTTACAGAGACAAGGTCTCACTGTGTTGCCCAGCCTGGTCTCAGACTCCTGGCCTCAAGTGATTCTCCTGTCTTTGCCTCCCAGCATGCTGGGGTTACAAGCATGAGCCACTGCACTTAGCCCCCACTTCCAGCTTTTGCCCATTCTGTATGGTTTCAGCTGTGGGTTTGTCATAGAGTGGCCTTTATTATTTTGAGGTCTGTTTCTTTGATGCCTAATTTGTTGGGTGTTTTTTTCATGAAGGGATGATGGACGTTATTGAAAGCTTTTTTGCATCTTTTGAGTTGATCATATGGTTTTTCGTTTTCATTTTGTTTATGTGGTGAAACACATTTATTGATTTGTGTACTTTGAACCAATTGCATCACAAAAATAAAGCTGACTTGATTGTGGTGAAGTAAGTTTTTGATGTGTTGCTGGATTTTGTTTGCTGATATTTTATTGAGGACTTTGGTGTCTACATTCATTGGGAATATTGGGCTGTAGTTTTCTTTATTCATTGTGTCTTTGCTGGCTTTTAGTATCAAGATGATGCTGGCATCATACAATGAGTTAGGGAGAAGTATCTCCTCAATATTTTGGAATAGTTTCATTAGGTTTGTTAACAGCTCTTCTTTGTATGTCTGGTAGAAATTGACTATGAGTCAGTCTGATCT
Organism: Homo sapiens; assembly: GCF_000001405.40. Classification (NCBI taxonomy): domain Eukaryota; kingdom Metazoa; phylum Chordata; class Mammalia; order Primates; family Hominidae; genus Homo; species Homo sapiens. The sequence continues at coordinate 18,566,967 of NC_000017.11, read as the reverse complement.
GAATCTGTTTTTGGCTAGTAGGTTTTTTATTACTGATTCAATTTCAGAGCTTGTTATTTGTCTGTTCATGATTTTAGTTTCCTCGTGGTTCAATCTTTGTTGGTTTCCAAGGATTTATCCATTTCTCCTAGATATTCTAGTTTGTGTGTATACAGTGGTGTTCATTGTAGTCTCTGAGGATCTTTTGTATTACTATGGGATTGGTTGTAATGTCATCTTTGTTGTTTCTGATTGTGCTTATTTAGATGTTCTCTGTTATTTATTTATTTATTTATTTATCTAGCTAGTAGCCTATCAGTATTTTTATCCCTTCAAAAAGCCAACTTTTGGTTTCACTGATCCTTTGTATGGATTTTTGGGCCTCAAGTTTTCTCAGTTATGCTCTAATTTTAGTTATTTCTTTTCTGTTGCCAGCTTTGGGGTTATTTTGTCCTTGTTTTTTAGTTCCTCTCGGCACAGTGTCAGATTGTTAATTACAGATCTGTCTAACTTTTCAACATATTTGTTTTGCACTATAAGCTTTCCTCTTATGCTGCTTTTGCTGTATCCCAGAAGTTTTGGTATGATGTTTCTTTTTGCTTATTACAAATCATTGTTTGATTTCTGCCTTAAATTCTTTCTTTTCCCAAAGTCATTTAGGAGCCAGTTGTTTGATTTCCATGTAATTGTGTGGTTTTCAGAGATCTTCTTGGTATTCATTTCTATTTTTATTGCACTGTGGTCCAAGAGAATGGTGTTGTGTGATTTCATTTTTTAAAAATGTATCATGACTTGCTTTATGGGCAAACATGTTGTTGATCTTGGAGTATGTTCTTTGTGCAGATGAGAAAAAGGTGTATTCTGTAGTTGTTTGGTGGAGTATTCTGTAGATGTCTGTTAGGTCCAATTAGTCAAGTGTTAAATTTAAGCCCAGAATTTCTTTGTTAGTTTTTTGTCTCAATGATTTGCCTTAACACTATCAATGAGATGTTGAAGATCCCCACTGTTATTGTGTGACTGAGTCTTTTGGTAGGTCTGGAAGTACTTGGTTGTTTTTGAATGTGGGTGCTCCAGTGTTGGGTGGGTATATATTTAGGTTAGGGATGTCTTCTTGGCGAAGTGAGTCCTTTATCATTGTGTAATGCCCTTCTTCATCCTTTTTTGGCTGTTGTTGGTTTAAAGTCTGTTTTATCTAAGAATAACAACCCCTTGCTTTTTGCATTTTATTTGCATGACAGATCTTTGTCCATCTCTTTACTCAGAGCCTGTGGGTGCCATTACATGTGAGATATGTCTTTTGAATATAGCAGACTGTTGATTCTTATTGGTTTGTTTTATTTTAATTCAACTTGCCACTCTGTGCCTTTTAAGTGAGGCATTTAGACCATTGAATTCAGTATTAATATTTATATGTGAGATTTTGATTCCGCCATGATGTTTTTAGCTGTTTGCTTTGTACTCTCGATTGTGTAGTTGTGTAATAGGGTCTGTGGGCTATGTACTTAGGTGTGTTTTTGTGGTAGTGGGTATTGTTCTTTCTTTTCCATATTTAGAACTCCTTAAGAATCTCTTGTAAGTCTGGTCTAGCGGTAACGAATTTCTTTAGTGTTTGTCTGGAAAAGATTGTATTTCTCTGTCACTGATGAGGCTTAGATTGGAGTGGTATGAAGTTCTTGGCTGAAATTTCTTTAAGGATGCTGACAACAGGCCCCACTTTCTGGCTTATAAGGTTTTTGCCGGAAAGAGGTCAGCTTTTCACCTGATGCAGCTGTTATAGCTGCCTGTGAGATTTTTCCTTTCGTGTTGACCTTGGAAAGTCTGATGGGCTGTGTATCTTGGGGATGGTTGTAGAGGTTCTCTGAATTTCTTGAATTTTTCCATCAACCTCTGTAATGAGATTGGGGAAATTTCATGGACTATATCCTCAGACATGTTTTCCATGTTGCTTCCTCTCTCTCCTTCTCTTTCAGCCATGCCAATGAGTCATAGATTAGTGTCTTTACAAAATCCCACATTCCTCAGATGTTTTGTTCATTTTTAAAATGGTTTTTTCTTTATTTTTGTCTGACTGGGCTGACTCAAAAGACTGGTCTTTGAGCTCTGTAATCCTTCCCTCCGCTTGGTCTCATCTGGTTTTGAAGGTCCCTCCTGTGTTGAATTTTGCAGCTCCAGAGGTTCAGTTTGATTCTTTTTAAAAATGGCTCTGTCGTGTTTCAACTTTTGGATGGTTATACTGGCTTCCTTGGAGTGGATTTCAACTTTCTTTTTAATCTCATTGAGCTTTGTTGCCATTGAGATTCTGAATCACATGTCTGTGATAAAGCATGTCATTACACTTTAATCTGGTGAGAATTTATAGCTGGGGAGCTAGTGTGATTTTTTGGAGGTAATGAAATGCTCTGATTTGTTGAGTTGCTAGAGTTCTTGTGCTGATTATTCCTCCTCTGAAAATGCTGATGTTTCTTTATCGTTTTGAAATTCCTGTCATTTGGATGGGGATTTTTGTTTTTATGTTCTTTTTTTTCTCTTGAGGATTTGTGGTGTGTATTGTGTATAGTTGATTGGCCTTTGTTTCTGGGTGGTTTCAGATGGCCAGGACTCTACACAGGTTCCTTCCTTGTGGCTACTTTCCTGCATTGGGTTTCACAGATGTGTGTTGAAGGTATATAATTTTTGTTTGGTGATGTAATTCAGTCTGCAATCCAGGAGATGGTGCTCTAGAGTACGGGCTGGCATGCCTCTTCTATTTCAGCGTGTTGGCGGCAGTGCTCTGGGGAAGGGGGAGAAGTAGGATTGGGAAGGTGAGAGATAACCCCCTCACCAAATCAGTTCCTGGAACTTGGGAGAGCCCCCTCCAATCACTGGTGCCACACCTGAATTTTGAGGGCTGCACACCTCCCACCCTTAGGGCAGCGGCCCAAGCCAAAAGTTAGGTTGCCGAGAGACCTACAACTCTCTGGGGACGTGCTGGTTGTCTGGGCTTGGTAGAGTCAGAGCAGGTTGTAGAGTATGTCTGCGGATCTGCGGGTTGTCTGTTGATATAATGTGGGTCAAGGGGGGAGGATCCCCGGGCAGGGCTGTGGTTCTGTGGGTGTGCACCTGGTGTGGTGCCTGCAGCCCAGAGTTTTTTGCCTAGCAGATGGCTGTGGGGAGCACTTAGCTGGCACTCACCCAACCAGGCCTCCCTCCAGTGTCTGCCCCCAGGGCAGGCCCAACTAGGTAGTTTTGTCCCCCAGCCTTCCGTGCCCAGATCAACTGGACTGTTAGCTGTTTCAGGCAGTGGTGCTCCCTCAGGCAGAGGCTGTGGACAGACAGGTTACATACACCCTTCCTGGACAGATCTTGTAGAACAGGGTCCCCAACCTCCAGGTGGCAGACCAGTACTGGTCTGTGGCCTGTTAGGAACTGGGCCGCACAGCAGGAGGTGAGGGGAGGGCTGGTGAGTGAGCATTACCACGTGAGCTTCTCCTCTTGTCACATCAGCAGCGGCATTAGATTCTCATAGGAGCGCGAGCCCTATTGTGAACTGTGCACGTGAGGGATCTAGGTTGCGTGCTCCTTATGAGAATCTAATGCCTGACGATCTGAGGTGGAACAGTTCCATCGCAAAACTATCCCCACCCCACCGTCTGTGGAAAAATTGTTTTCCACAATGCCAGCACCTGGTGCCAAAAAGGTTGGGGACTGCTGTTGCAGAGGGAGCACACCTGGCTCCCACACTGGCATATGAACTTGGGCCCTCTCTTCTCGGCATTGTGAGAGAGAAAGCTACTCCTCTTCTTGAGCTCAGGCCACAGACACCAGCTCAGTATACTTGAGCAGTGTGCTTGAATCCGGGGGGTATTGAGACCAGGTTCATGACTTTGTCTTCTGGTCTCATGGGGTTGAGCTTTGGCTGTGCTGAGGGTGGGGGCTGAACTGCTCCCAGGCCTCCGGCAAAGCACTCAGATGGGGCAGTGGAGGCTGTGCTGTGTGCTTACCCTTGCGTGAGTAGCTAGGCAGGGGCCTTGGGAGGGGCTGGTGGACAAGAAGGTACACAGACCAGATATGCTGCAGTCCCATGGTAAATGCAGCCCTACTGTCTTCTGGCCTGGCAGTAAGCAGGAGCTAGAGTCACTCAGAGCAAGATGGAGAGCCTTGGGGGATGGGTGCCTATGGTCATGTTTTGCTGCAGCCGTACCAGGTGCGAAACCTTCTGGGCTGTATGCGGGTTTGAGCTGTGCCTCTGCCTATTCGCCAGCCGGTTCCTCTTGCCAGTTCAGATGTCTGTGTGGGTCCAGGGATCTCCGGGAGCTAGTATCCCAGAGTTCGTTGGTGGGAGTGTGGTGCTGCACAGTTCCTTCACCCACCCCTTCCTTAGTTTCTGGATTGGGAGGTAATCCTAGTGCTTGGTGACTCTGTGCAGGCTTCCCAGATTTATTCCTCTTCAGCCTTGATGCCTGCATTACCTATCAAATTTCAGTGTTTTCTCTCCAAAGACCTACTCCAAGTGTGATAATTTACTTGATATTTTGGTTTCTCTCTCGCAGAGAGGCATCTCCTGGCTGCATGTGGTGACCATCTTGTCTTCCCCTAAAAACATCAAAATTGGTATTTAATAGAGCTTGCGTTCAATCTGTAGACTGCTTTCAGTAATAAGGTCATTTAACCAATATTCTTCCAGTCCGTGAGCATGCAATATCTTTCCATGTTTGTGTCCTCTACAATTTCTTTTGTCGGTGTTTTGTAGTTTTTTTTTTTTTTTTATAAAGCTCTTTACAAAATCTCTCTGGTTAACTTTATTCTGAGCCATTTTATTATTTTGTAGCTAGAATAGTGGGACGGCCTTCTTGATGTCTTTTTATGCTAGTTGATTATTAGTGTATAGAAATGTTACACATGCTATTGGCATTATTTTTGTATGCTGATTTTGTGGCCTGCACCTTTGCTGAATTCTTTAGTTCTAACAGGCTTTTTTGGTGGCGTGTTTATGGTTTTCTGTATATGAGATCAGGTCATGTGCACAGGGAGACAATTTGACTTTCTGTTTTCCAATCTGGATCCCCTTTATTTCTCTGACAATTTTTGTATCTGCATCCTTCAGGGATACTGGCATGTAGTTTTCTTTTGTTGTTGTGTCTTTGTCTGGGTTTGGCCTTAGAGTAATACTGACCTTTAGAATAAACTAGGAAGATTTTGGAATAATTTATAAAAAATTGGTGTTAGTTTTTCCTTAAAAGTTTAGTAGAATTCAGAGTAACTTACCCAGTTTTAGACCTTTCTTTGTTGGTAAACTTTATTACTGATTCAATTACATTACCGTTATTGGTCTGTCCAGGTTTCCTTTTCTTCTTGGTTCATTCTTGCTGGTTATGCACTTCCAGGAATGTATCCATTTTCCATACGTTTCCAGTTTGTTGGCATATAGTTGTTCATAATAGTCTCTCATGACTCCATGTATTTCTTTGCTATCTCCTTTTATGTTTCCCTCTTTATTTACTTGAGTTTTCTCTTTTTTCATGTTTAATATAGTTTTCAGTTTTGCTTTATTAGTCTACCTCATTCAGTTCTGCCCTGCCTTTATCATTTCTTTCCTTCTACTACATTTGAGTTTTGGGTCTGTTCTTGCTTTTTTGGTTTCTTCAAGTGTATTGTTAGGTTGTTTATTTGAAGTCTTTCTCTTTTTTGGATGTAGCTGTTAATTGCTATAAATTGCCCTCTTAGTGCTTCTTCTGTCACTTTCTATAGGGATTGATTTTTTTCCCCATTTTCATTTGTTTCAAGATATTTTAAATTTTTTTTCTTAATTTATTGATTGGCCCAGTTGTTCATTCAGGAGCATGCTGTTTAATTTCCATGCATTTGTACAGTTTACAAAGTTTTTGTCGTTACTGATTTCCATTTTTATTCCATTGTGGTTTGAGAAGATATTTGATATGAGCTTTTAAACTCAATATATGGTCTATTCTGGAGAATGTTCTATGTGCTAATGAGAAGGATGTGTATTCTGCAGCTTCTTAATACAGTGTTCTGTAAGTGTCTGCTAGGTCCATGTGGTCTATAGTGCAGGTTCATTTCGATGTTTCTTTGTTGATTTTCTGTTTAGATAATCCCTTCAATGCTGAAAGTCAGACTATGGAGTCCCCATCTATTATTGTACTGGAGGCTATCTGTCTCTTTAGTTTCAGTGATGTTTGCCTTATATATCTGTGTGCTCAGGTATTGAGTATATATACCTTTATGACTGCTGTATCCTCTTGCTGAATTGATCCTGTTATTATTATATAATGCCCTTCTCTTTCTCTTTTATGTTTTTTTTTTTTTTTTTTACTTAAGATCTATTTTGTCTCATATAAATATAGCTACTCCTGTGTGCTTTTGGTTTCCATTTGCATGGAATATCCTTCCATCCTTTCACTTGCAGTCTATGTGTCTTTACAGGTAAAATGAGTTTCTTGTAGGCAGCGTATTATTTGGTCTTTTTTTGTAATCCATTCATTCTATCTATATCTTTAATTGGGGAATTTAAATCACATATATTCAAAGTTTTTATGATAGGTGAGGACTTACTCCTTTCATTTATTAATTGTTTAGTGATTGTTTTGTCTATCATTTGTTCCTATCTTCCTCTTTTATTGTTTACCTCTACAATTTGCTGATTTTCTGTAGTGATAATGTTTGATTCCTTTCTCTTTTTCAGTTCTGTAACTGCTCTACCAGTGAGTCTTACAGTTTTTTGATTTTCATGGTGGTAGACATTGTCTTTTTGCTTCCAGATTGAGGACTCCTGTAAGCATTTCTTGTAGGATCAGTCTAGTGGTGATGCATTCCTTCAGGTTTTGCTTGTCTGAGACGTTATTTCTTTTTCAGTTTTATTTATTTATTTATTGGAGACAGAGTCTCACTCTGTTGCCCTGGCTGGAGTTCAGTGGCATGATCTCAGCTTACTGCCACCTCTGCCTCCCAGGTTCAAGCAATTCTTGTGCCTCAGCCTCCTGAGTAGCTGGGACCACAGGCATGAGCCACCATGCCTGGCTAATTTTGTATATTTTTCGTAGAGACAGGGTTTTGCCAAATTGGCCAGGCTGGTCTTGAACTCCTGAGCTCAAGCAATCCCCCCACCTTGGCCTCCCAAAGTGCTAGGATTACAGGGATGAACCACTGCACCTGGCCCCTCTTTTTCAGTTTTAAAGGATAGCTTTGCTAGGTATAATATTCTTGACAGGCAGTCTTTTTCTTCCCGCATATTAAATATATCATGTCATTCTCTCCTATCCTCTAAGGTTTCTGCTGACAAATATGCTATTTGATATGGATTCCCTTGTATGTGACTTGGTGTTTTTCTCTTGCTCTTTGTCTTTGACTTTTGACATTTGACTCTGATGTGCCGCAGAGAAGACATTTTTTATTGTATTTCTTTGGGGATCTTTGAGACATCTGTATCCAGATGTTTACATCTCTCACAAGACTTGGTAGTTTTTCAGCTATTATTTCATTAGATAGGTTTTCTGTGCCTTTTCCCATCTCTTCTATTTCTGCAACTCCCAATATCCGAAAAAATTTTGGCTCATGATGGCCCATATATCACATACACTGTCTTCATTCTTTTTATTTTCTTTTTTTTTCTTTTTGCTTTTTGTTTGCCTGGCCTCATATAAAGACCTCTCTTCAAGTTCAGAAATTCATTCTTCTCCTTGATCTAGTCTATTGCCAACATTCTCAGTTGTTTTTATTTTATGTATTGAATTCTCAGTTCCAGGATTTCTGCTTGGTTCCTTTTAATGCTATCTTTTTCATTGTTGAATTTCTTATTTAGATCATAAATTGTTTTCCTGATTCATTTGTATTACCTATCTTTCCTATCAGGAATCTTTCCTGATTCCTTTGTATTATTGTGTATCTCACTATGTTTCCTTAAGATCATTATTTTGAATTTTATAGGTTTTGTTTTCTTTGGGATCTGTTACTGGAGAATTACTCTGTTCCTTTGGAGGTGTCATGTTTCTTTGATTTTTCGTACTTCTTGTGTCCTTAATGTTGATACCTGTGCAGCTGGTGTAACAGTCACTTCATCTAGTTTTAGGGGTTGACTTTTTTCTGTAGATGTATCTATGTTGTTGGTTGAATATGGTGCTCTGGCATTGATGATGGGTGGGTGCATTGGTGTGGTCTCCATATACTTATGCTTTCTTCTGCTGTAATCAACATCAGCGTCTGTAAGTTCCTCAGTGGCTTACGGTGTGGTTGTTAGTAGCAGGGGATGCTGTGGTGAGGCCTTGATGTTGATGGGGAGGACAGCAGGCCAGTCCTCAGGCACATTGATGGCATACACAAGGATGTATGTGTGATTGGCAGCACCAGGCCATGCTTCCCAGTTTTTGGTGGCAGTGGGTTACCTGAGTGGGCTGGCCCTTGGGCCTCCAGGTGGTGTGTGCTGGGATCAGAGGTGGCAATAGCAGGCCAGGCCAAAGGACCTTGGTGACACTTGTGGCACTGGAGATGACAGTAGCAGCTGGGGGCCGGACCTTGGATCCCTTGGTAGCATGCATGGGCACTGATAGTGGTGAAAGCAGGCTGCATGGGCATTTCTCTGGCCCCCTGTGAGGAACATTTAGGTGGGTACCTAAGGCAGTGTGTGGAGCAGGCTTGTCCACAGGTTAACTGAAGACACGTGCAGGAGCCTTTGCCAGTGGCTGGTGAGGCAGCCCTGTCTTTATGCTCCTGGATGCCATGTGCAGGTGCCGGTGGGGCAGTAGGACTCTCCTTGGTATTAGTGGTAGACGGGGCCTGGGTAAAGGCACAGAGGCCTGGGTGGGGTGGGCTGCTCCTCAGGGTCCTGGACAGTGTATGTGAGCACTGATAGCAACAATAGCAGCAGCAAGCAAAGTGGCCTTGTCTTCAGGCTCTCATATGGCTCACATGGGCGCCAACCCTGGTGGGTTTGACAGGCTTGTTCTCAGGCTCCTGCATGGTACACTTGAGTGGGCCAGTCCTCCGGCCTCCTAAAGGTATGTACAGGTATGCACAGCACTGCCCCTGAAGGGGGTAGGGCTGCTGGTGGTGGCAGTGGTGTCAGTCAGGTGGCTCCTAGGCTCTAGACAGCACACACTTAGGATCCCTTTGACCTAGAGTAGTTTCCCTGGTGGGCTATTAGGTGACCACCTATTTCCACAGGTATATGGTTCTGTGGGGCTAGGGATTTGGGGGAATCGGTCCTGGTTTTGAGATGATCCTGGCTGGGCTGGCTACCTCAGTTCCCTTTCCTTCTGTCATCAGAGGATCCCTATCAATTTCCTGCTGAATTCCAGTATACTCTCTTTGATGTTTTCCTCAAGGTGTGGTTACCTGCTTGCTGTTTTGGTTTTTCTTTTTGAAAGAGGTGAGTGCTGGGTATTCCCAGTCAGCCATCTCGATGATGTCTCTGTCTATGCTGTGCATATTAAGGAATGTATAGACATGTTTTAAAACCTGCACAATTGACCCTATAACTATAATTTAAAAGATTTCTACAACTTGAAAAACACACTAATTTCTAATTATTACCTCTCACCCCACACACAGGTTTTATTTAATATGGCAGCAGACTCAGGCTTAAAGTGCAAGATCCTAACCTCCCACCACACACACACAAGTTTCATTTAATATGGCAGCAAGCTCAGGCTTGAAGTGCAAGATCCTACCATCTTTATCACAGCCGGTAGGGATGCACCCTGGGTTGTGGTTTCTGCGGTATAACCCCTTGAGTGCATTTCTTGTCAACACAAAGACGTAAGAACTAAAGGGACAACTTGTCTACCACTCACCCACCCAGCGTTCTCCTAAACTGCCAGAGACCCTCCTATTGAACAGAGAGAAAATGGGAGTCACAAAGGGAATATTAGACCATAGAAATTCTGAAATACAGCCTGATGTGTGCTTCCACTTACTTGATTTGGACTTCATGGGAACCATACTCTGTGGCTTTTTGTGGTACCTTCTTGGCTCTTTGTTGTATCCTTTTCATAAGCAATGACCTGTGTTTTCAGCTAAGTAGTTTCTTCAGCCAGCTTCCTCCCTGTAGAAGCTCTTAGGTCCTAAGGCCTCTTTTCATTTTTACTGTCTTGTTGTCTTTTAAGCCAAGCTAGCAAGCAGTGCTATTGTTACTATAATTCTCTTAGAGTCTCTTGTGAATTTTACTTGAGTTCTTGTCATTGGAAAAACCACTTGTCCCAATCTCTTTGAGATAAGCACTTCACCTTGTGCTTCCTGTGAAGGAAGCACACTGTTCTGTGTAGTAGGACAGTGCCTTAAGATGCGTATACCCTTAAGATCTTTAAGGGAATTTGAGGCACCGCCTTAAATCTTTCTAAGGTCTTAAAATAGAGCCTTACACTGACAGTCTTGGCTTCACCTTCAGACTTTCTCCTGGCAGCACCCTGGATTTGATCTTATCTCAGAGGCCATTTATCTCAGCAATACAGATGCTCCTCAGATTAGGATGGGTTTATGTCTGGATGGCATTTGCATTTGTTATGTCTGATATTTGCAATTTATAGGCCATCATAAATTGCAAATATCAGAAGTTATGGGTGGGTTTTCCATTTACGATAATTTCCATTTACAGTGACTTTATCCTGATGTAACCACCCCTGTAAGCCAAAAGGCTTACACATATCATTTCATTACTCAACACATATCATTTTCACAGTATTATAAAAAGTCAGAAAATGGTGAGTCGAACCATGCTAAGTCAAGGACTGTCTATATTTGGGAATCTGACATGTGGAGAGGCTATAAAAAGGATACTGAACCTAGAAAGTCCTGGTTCTTTTATATGTAGTAGTCTTTCTTTAGCTTATCTCTTGCATTGGTTTTACTTTCAGCGGCTGTGTAGTAACAGTGCCCTTTCCTTCAGGTTCCCGTATCGTTTTCTTCACTATCCTTGAAGCCCTTCCTACCAGCTTCTTCGAGGACCATCAGGCTTCCACTAACAGTCTCTTTAAAACTCTTCTTGTTTTTGTGCTTATTCTTCTGTAGGTCCTTTTAGCTTCTGATTAGCTCCTGGTCCAATGGTAGTCCTACATGTTTTAGTAGTTTTTGTTGTGTTGTTGTTGTGCAATCTATATGTAGTGTCAATATCTGTATCAGTTATTTCTTGGTATATAAAAAAATGCAGTGTCTCAAAACAACATCTATTTTGTTCACAATCTGCAGTTTTAGGCAAGGCTCAGTGGGGCCAACTCACTTTCTCTTTACTTGGCATCAGCTGAGGTGACTTAAAGCTGGGGACTAGAATCATCTAAAGGCTTGTTTATTTACCTGTGCGGCATTCGAAGCTGGCTTTTGGCTGGGACGTTAGGTAGGGAAGTCAGCTCGAACACCTACCTACATGAGGGTTCACGGTGTGGTTTGGGCTTCCCCACAGCATGTTGGCTGCATTTTAAGGACAAGCGTCCCTAGAGAGAGAGTCAGGTAGAAGCTGTGTGACTTTTTGTAACCAACTTTAGAAGTCACACAGCAGTTCTGCCACATTGTGTTCCGGAGAAACCGGTTGTCAATGCCAGCTTGTATTCAGGAGAGGGAATGTCATGGGAGAAGTGGCAAGCAATTTGTAGATGTTTTAAAACCACCACTTCACTTACCTTTATAAAATAAAAAACAATCATAATTATGTCCTCTAAAGGAAAGCAGTTATTTCCAACTCAGCACCACTGAAATTTCAGTGCAATTTTTTGTTGTCATTCTTTAATGTGCTCCCTTATTTTGTGTAAAGTAACAATGAATTACAAGATTGTGCTACTGAATTAAGGCATTTTTCTTCAGAAAAATGGTATGGATCATGCCACTGAACTTTTATACTGGGAGATGTGATTGCTTCTTAACTCCAAGTATCATTACTCTTTGAAATGTAACTCAAATTAGCGTAAGACATTTGCAGTTCAGCAAAAGGCTTATGGTATTGGAATCCTTTTTTTTTTTTCAAAATGTATTAATTAGAGTCTTATTTTCAGAGTCTTATTATGGGAGCCATTTATTGACTCAGGCCCAAATAATTCAATATGATGCCCCTAAAACTTCTCTGCAAATTATGGAGAATGATAGTGGGTTAAAGGAATAAGAGACTTTGTGCTAAAGGGGTAACTTAGAGCCATTTTAAGGAGGAAAGCCATGAAACAATCATAGGAAAACAGAAGTCTAAGATCAAGTCCAAATGTTGTGTGGCAAAGATGATGAAAGTAAAGGATGTATTTTTGTGAATTCTGGTGGTTTTAACTTTGTTTTTAATTTTCTGAGTAATCCAAGGGTCTGTATTTTATGAATCTACAACAGTATAGGTAACATTTTATTGCAACTGAATTTATTTCAAAAATTATTAGTTTTGGCTGGGCGCGGTGGCTCACGTCTGTAATCTCAGCACTTTGGGAGGCCGAGGCGAGTGGATCATGAGGTCAGGAGATCGAGACCATCCTGGCTAACACGGTGAAACCCCATCTACTAAAAATAAAAAATAAATAAATAAAAAAATTTAGCCAGGGGTGGTGGTGGGCGCCTGTAGTCCCAGCTACTCCAGCTACGCAGGAGAATGGCCTGAACCCGGGAGGCAGAGCTTGTAGTGAGCCGAGATCCCGTCACTGTACTCCAGCCTGGGCGACAGAGCGAGACTCCATCTCAAAAAAAAAAAAAAAAAAAAAATATTAGTTTTTTGTTAGACCATTCTCAGTCTACCTTCTTCATTACCAAACTATATTGTTTTACTCATGCAGATTGACCTTACAGAAGCACAGGAAACTGTACCTTCACGATGTCTACATCTGGATGCAGAGAATGAAGTTCTTCAACTTCAACAGACATTATTCTCTATGAAAGCAATACAAAAGCAATGTGAAACACTACAGAAGAATAAGAAGCAGCTGAAACAAGAAGTAGTAAACCTCAAAAGTTATATGGAAAGAAATATGTTAGAACGTGGTGAAGGTGAACGGCATAAACTGTTGATTGAAGAAAGAGCAAGGAAGGAGATACAAGAAAAATTAAACGAAGCCGTTCTCACCTTGCAGGTTGGTTCATTTATCTGTAATGTGCTTTCATTCATTTCACTGCAAATTTTATTTTGGATATATACATTGTACATGTTTTCTCTACTTTCCTTACAGCAATTTGTTTGGTAGACTTCTAGAAGGAAGGTGGTATTTGTTTCTCCATTTAAATATTTTCGTTTCCATCATTCTTATAACTAAATTGATCTTCCATAAGAATAATTCTCACTAGAGAATCATTTAATTACTAAAGCCAGTTGGCATAAAACAAGACTAATAGAAAAAGTAAAAAAAAAAAAAAATTGTGATTTAGAAATTATACCATACTCTTGAACTGCTTTTAAGTTACGTTGTTCCACTTTTAAAATTTTAACTTGGTTCTGTCATTCTTTGGAGAATTGTTCAACAATTCAGATTCAGTTATTAATTCAGTTGGTACTGGTGATAAATATGTTAAGCTTGAGCTTCTTTCTTTCTTCACATTTTTCTTAAAATTGTTCTCTGAATCACATACTTAAAATTGTTCTCTGAGTCACTGACTCCAAACAAAAGGAAACAAATACACAGTAATTATTCAGGTTATAATTACTTTTAAAATGTTCCCTTTTAATTTATTTTAGAAACAAGCAGCAGTATCTCATGAACAGTTAGCACAGTTAAGGGAGGATAATACTACTTCAATAAAAACTCAGATGGAACTCACAATCAAAGATCTGGAATCTGAAATCTCCAGAATAAAAACTTCGCAAGCCGACTTTAATAAAACCGAATTGGAAAGATATAAGGAACTCTACCTAGAAGAAGTAAAAGTTAGAGAATCCTTGTCAAATGAACTCAGTAGGTAAGTCAATATGCAGAATCATAGAAAATAAGTTAAGCTCATTAATTTGCCTTCAAAAGCATGACTTTTAGTGAGACAGGTTCATGAGATTTGTGGGAAGTGAAAGCTAACTAGATCATACAATTTTGGAAAATTGTAAATTATAAATAGTAAATGAACTTAACCTTTAAGTAAAATTGAAAATAGTAAATGAACGTAACCTTTAAAATCTTTAGTCCAGGACAGTTCCTGTCTCTCCTGTTTTTTGGTTTTATGTGGCTTCCCCCCACCCCTTAATATTCTTATATAGTTAACCTGATCTATTAGGGTTTCAGCTAAATATTTATGAAGCTTCATAATTTAGACAGTGATACCATTATAAAAATTGCTTGTCAGTATTCCCTTAATTCAAAATATTAATGAATTTAATTAATTTCTGGAAGACGACAGCTGAAAACCGAAAGGGTCAAGTACGACTACTCTGGACACATTCTGGCACTCAGTAAATTCACTTTGCTTGATTGTGATCATTAGAGGGTGCCTTGAGAAGAAGTGTCCTGTATAGTTTTTCCAATCCACATAAAGGCACACTTGTGAAGCAGAGAATGATCAACTAGGGTTGAAGGGAAGTATAACTTACTAAGTGATAAAAAATAACACCTTGGTCAGCCTGAGGGGGTATATGGAAGACAGAAAGGGCAGGCCCCACCTCTGATACATGGGCCACAGTGTTAGGAGCTGATTGTCCTCGATGCTGCTTTAGTTCTCTTTGATTTCAGCAGTCTTATTCTCCCCAAGGAAAAGTCGCCGTGAATGATTCCTCAGTGCCAAATGCTCAATTTTTTCCAGATAATGGGTGAAATATACAAGGGTGGTGAAAACAATTGTTTGAAAATGTCTTTGAGAGAGAGTTTTTTAGACAATCTCTAACAACATGTATTGTTTACTAAATACAAGTATTTCTAGCTTTTATTTTTACTTTTAGTTTTTTTCTTGTATATATTTAAGGAGTACAACTTGATGTTTTGATATATTTATACGCAGTGAAATGGTTATTTTGTCAAGCAAATTAATATCTTCATCATTTCACATAGTTACCCTTGGAATACAAGTAATTCTAATGGCATCCTTAAGAATCGTATAAGTAGAGTCATTCCAGATGGGCAACAAGTGTTAACTATGAAGCCATACATCATTGATAGTCTTTTCTGTCCCCTCCCTCTCTTTGAACTACTTGTTTGTTAGAAATCCCTCTAGAAATAGATGTACTTCTTTAGAACAATGTTAAAACTATAATTGGATACAGTAGGCATGCTCTAACACATTTTCAGAGTTAAAACACGGCCTATGGTATATTCCATTTACTCTTAATGGCAACTTTTAGAACAATCGAAGTCATTTAGGAATCATTTAGGAAAAAATGAAATACTAAGCATTTGTCTTTTTCAATCTTCGTAGAACTAATGAGATGATAGCAGAGGTCAGTACGCAACTTACTGTGGAGAAAGAGCAGACCAGATCCAGATCTCTATTCACTGCTTATGCTACAAGGCCAGTCCTAAGTCACCTTGCGTTGGAAATCTTAATGATAGTGAAGGTCTCAACAGAAAACATATTCCAAGAAAAAAGAGGTCTGCTCTTAAGGACATGGAGAGCTACTTGTTGAAGGTTAGCTATCTTTTTTCCTTCGGCGTTCAGATTTCTGATAGAATTCTTGTGTGTTATTTGGTAAAATACTCAGTTACTTAATTGTCTTGTGTATGGTAAGTAAAAGTAATAATTACCTGTGTTAATAAAGAGAGGAGACAGAAATTTTACAGTTATTTTTAAGTCTCTGGAGCTCTCATTCATAAGAGATTACTCCTTTGTTAACTTTATTTAATAAATGTAACCAAACTGACACATTTTAAATTTTTTTAAAAACTGCATTTAAGTTAGATTTTAACCAAAGGTTTACTTTGATGTGCTTTGTCTTACTAATTGATTTTAGTTTGTCTGGGGTTCACTTTTAATGGTTTAGTGTGCCTGGGGTCACTTTTAAAGTTTTTCTGCATCATCTCAGGTTTTCTACCCGTCATCATATGTGAATGATTGGTGTCCAAACACTAACCACCCATGGATGTTTATTATTTAAAAGGACCCAAGGTGAATACTTTTGTATGTTATATAAACCTGCAACACTTGATTAATCTGTTCTTTAAGTTCAAAGTTTTGTGATTTTCTTACATGAGTACATCTGTAATTGCTATTGCACTTAATAGTGTTTTAATCCCAATTTTAGTAAAATGTGTCTATTGCTATGCAATAGCACAGTGGTTTTGAAATAGTTAAATCAAATAAATATTTGAATTTTTAAAGTAAAGCTCACATAAGTTTTGTCTCTCTACCTGGCCATAACTTTAGTAATTGATGACTAAGATGGCAATGGTATCTAGAGTCCTTCAATAGCAAATGTGACCAAACAGAATCAGTTCTATTCTTAATACCCCAAATTCCATGTAAAGCTGCACATGGACATCTCCCCTGGACATGTAACAGGAACCTTTTAGTTCAACCGTGTGGTTTCACTCAGAGTAAGAGTCTATTTCTGGGGATTTCAAAATGGATCCAAAAATGACGAGCTGTATCAACTATAGAGTTGGTAAGGAAAAAAAAAACAAAACGTAGTTCAACTATGCTTGACCCAGATTAAGGTATTTGTCTAACATTTGTCCATTTTTCAACTGAGGGAAAATTACAAAAACTGGGCACAGTGGCACACACCTGTAGTCCCAGCTGCTCCTGAGGCTGAGGCAGGAAGATCACTTGAACCCAGGAGTTCAAATCTGCAGTGCGCAATGATTATTCCTGTGAGTAGCTACGGCACTGCAGCATTCCAATCTGGGCAACATAGCAAGATTCTGTCTCTTAAAAAAATTACAAAATCCGTAAAACATTTGTTTGAACAACAATAAATAGTTTTCTTTGTGTATATTGTTGTTTTTAAAATTTTCCATCGATGCACATTGGCTTATAGTTTTGATGTTTTTATGATCTCCTTAGCGCACAGAAAAGTAGCACAGGCCCACATGGAATGAACCTCAACCTTGTTGTGTTTACCTGGCTATTTCGTGTCCTAACAAATCATAGAAGAGCAAATCTAAGGTTTCTTAGATAGCATTGTGGCTAAATAGCTTAAAAGAGAATGCATTAAATGATTGTTTTAATACATAGATTACAAGAGCCCAGCTAGCTGATATTTTTAATCATATTGTTCGCTTAGGTTTTATTTTTCTGAAAAAAATGAGATGATCAGCATCCAAATGCCTCAGTCACGAAATTGTACCACTGGGTACTAATGGGAAATGAATGTTAAATACGTCTGTCAATGGTTAAGCAAGATGCAAATATAATGTTCTCATTAGTACTATGAACCCCCCAAATTTGAGACAAGTCTCAATTAATTTAGAAAGTTTATTTTGCCGAGGTTGAGGACACACATCCGTGACACAGCCTCAGGAAGTCCTGATGACATGTGTCCAAGGTGGTTGGGGCACAGCTTGGTTTTATACATTTTAGGGAGACATGAGACATCAATCAATATATTTAAGAAGTACATTGGTTCACTCTGGAAAGGCGGGACAATTTGAAGCAAAGGGAGGAAGACTGGTGGCGGGGAGGGGGCTTCCAGGTCACAGATAGGTGAGAGACAAACAGTTGCACTCTTTTGAGTTTCTGATTAGCCTTTCCAAAGGAGACAGTCAGATCTGCATTTATCTTAGTGAGCAGAGAGGTAACTTTGAATAGAATGGGAGGCAGGTTTGCCCTAAGCAGTTTCCAGCCTGAGTTTTCCTTTTAGCTTAGTGATTTTGGAGGCCCAAGATATTTTCCTTTCACAGTACTTACCAGAAAAACAAGGTAATGTATCATTTTACAAGATGGTGCTGAGAGAGTATAAAAAGCAGATGTAGGCCGGGCACTGTAGCTCAAACCTATAATCCCAGCACTTTGGGAGGCCAAGGTGGGTGGATCACCTGAGGTCAGGAGTTTGAGACCAACCTCCAACATGGTGAAACCCCGTCCCTAATAAAAATAGAAAAATTAGCTGGGCATGGTGGTGTGCGCCTGCAGTCCCAGTTACTTGGGAGGCTGAGGCAGGAGAATCGTTTGAACCTGGGAGGCAAAGGTTGCAGTGAGCTGAGATTGCGCTGCTGCACTCCAACCTGGGCGACAGAGCAAGACTCCATCTCATGGGTGGGGGAAAAAAATAAATAAAATAAATAAAAGCAGATGTGATGCAAGGGAAGATTTTTGAGGAACTTTTTTTTAAATTTCTGTTTTGTGGGGAAGGGGGTGTTCATTTTTTAGTATTTCTAGATAAGTAGAAAATTTGTTTGTTTTAAAGTTAATGTTAATGTAGTAGTTCCAAGGCATACCTAGTTTCCTTGTGGGGCATTTTTTGCCCAATCATGTTAGATTTACTAAAAGAGATTTAAAAGCATGATTATATCAAGATATGAGTGCTAGGTGCAGAGGCTCACACCTGTAATCCCAGCACTTTGGGAGGCCGAGGCGAGTGGGTCACTTGAGGTCAGGAATTCGAGACCAGCCTGGACAACATGGTGAAACCCTGTCTCTGCTAAAAATACAAAAATTAGCCTGGCGTGGTGGCGGGCGCCTATAATCCTAGCTACTCGGGAGGCTGAGGCAGGAGAATCGCTTGAACCCAGGAGGCAGAGGTTGCAGTGAGCCAAGATTGTGCCACTGCACTGCAGCCCAGGTGACAGAGCAAGACTCCATCTCAAAAAAAAAGATACAAAGGCATGTCTCCATAATCACACCTTGGAAGAGTTCTTATACAGCTGTTGTCTACAGAATTTTTAGAGTTACAGAAAGAAGGTGCCTTCTAGAGTTGCTAGGAACTTAAGTATTTCCTATAGGAAAACATCAGCTAATACAAGGAGGAGGAGGTAACATACCATCTAAACTGAGATTTACAAAAAAGGTAGGGGGTGGGGTGGGTTTCTGGGTGGGGCGGGTTTCTGGGTGGGGCATTACAAAACAGGATATTTGGAAATTTTTAGCTACGATTTTCAAAAGCAAAATGTTAAAAATAGCACTAATATTGGATCTGTTTATACATCTCCTTTATTTGCAAGATTTTAACACTTTGGACTATTCCTACTGTGAAGTGCTATCGTACTCAGCATTGTCTCTAACCTCAAGAAAAATGGTTATAATTTTGTATGAAATCACACACCAGAGAAATAATATATTATAACTGGTTGTTGAAACAAGTTTTCTCTACATTCATGACAGTTAGTATTTATTGCATCTCTCACCCCATTATATGAAGTCTAGAGTCTGACTGTTCCCAGACCAAACTGAGAGTCGGGCTGCTATTTATCATGGTCCAGTAATGAGATGCAGATGAATTGGGAAGAGAGGTTTTATTTTCTGCAACCGGTTACAGGGTTACAAGGAAGGCCTGGAAATTATTACCACACCAATTCAAAATTACAAAGTTTTCCAGAGCTTATATACCTTCTAAGCTATATATCTACATGTAAGTGTGCATTCGTCTATAGACATAAGTGATTAACTTCTTTTAATCTATAACTAAGATCTAAGTCCTGCAGACCTTCCTCTGGAGCTTCAGTAAATTTATTTAATCTAAATGGGTCCAGGTGCTGGAGCGATTACCCTTATCTTGTCTCCTGCTAAATCATGGAGGTTTGGGAGTTCCATTAGACCCCCAATAAACTTATTTGTGGAGGCCTGGGGAGTTTCTTGAGATCCCCAGTAAAACTTGTTTAATACCAAACAGGTCCTATTAAGAATTCCTTCATTATTTTGTCATACTTTAAGGCCCAGGGAAGGCCTAGGCAAGATTCTTGGTGGGCTTTTGTTACATTCCAGCCTGTATAAGGGCACTGGCTCTTTCAGCTTTTAATGTTTAACTTAACTACTCAGTCAGTGCCAAAGCAGTTGTTATGGAGGCCTGCGTTAGTGAGACCTGGCCTGCCACATAGCCTTGCCACTTAACACCATTGTAGTGATAATAGATTGCTATGCCTATGTTTTACTGATTTTTACTTACAGGTTTCACATTCTAGATTAACCCTGGGATCCTTTGTCCTATATATCAGAAGTACTTTTTATAGTTTTATTGGCTCCTTATTTTCCAGCCTGTAATCTCAAGTATAATTTAGCAGTAGCCTGTCAATAAATTATTGCTGAAGAGTGAACTTTGTATTTATTGGACTTTGCCTTTGGTACTGATTTCACTATATTTCTTTAAAAAAATTTTCTAACTCCTCCCCTCTTTAAAGTGGAGGTAGTTGTGAAGAATGTATGGTAAGATTAGAAAAGTCAAGGAAGAAGAAACTATTTCTATAAGTGTTATACAGTCATCTTTCTTGTTCAGGCTGTGGTGGATAGGCAGCAAATGGTGCTCCTCCTTCCCTTCTGAGTTCAGAACACAGGAGTCAGATAGATGGACATCAACACACTAGCTCTATTGCAGACTCATGATAACTAATGGGAGGATGAGGCTCAGATGTGCAGCCACAGTATTTTATGCCAGATTAGGCACTAACCCACAGAGTTTTAAGTGGAGAAAACAAATGCTTGACACCCATCGCAGGTGCGTGCTGCTTACTGCAGAGATGACAGCAGACCTGAACTCATGTCACTGTGGGCAGACACATCTTTTGAAAGAGACCCTGAGCCAAGCAAGCACACTGTGTGCTTTGCCCAAATTCACCCATTAGGTAGATCTGATATCCTCTCAAGAGGAAGCTATAGGTAGAGAGAGTCTAAGTCCTCATTTGAAACCTGAGGCCAGGAAAATGAAGGTTCTCCTATCATTTATGGCTGGATTTAAGTGATAATTGAAATTAATCCCATGTCTTTGTATGTACAAATTAATGATGAGAAGTTGGACAGACGTATGCTAGACGGTAAAGAGAAATCTGTTTTGTGTTTTCAGTTTTTCTATAAATAACTCACAACATGGGTAATTGACTTGATTGATTTTCCTAAACCACGTCTTATTTGGAGGAGAATGAATAGTTCTTTTAAGGAACAGTTTTCTTAATTTCTGCTTGCTTGGTTCAACTAAAGATTTTCTCCTTCAAGTTTTCTGTTCTGCGGTTTGAAAAATGGGTTCTTTATAAATTGAGTGTCTTGACTGGTACTAGCCAGAAGTTATGATATTAATTGTTCTTTAAATTTGATTCATAACTTACAAATTTGGAGAGCTACTATTTTTTGTCTCATGCTTAAACATTATAGAGCATCATGACAGTTTATAGATGCATTTTCTCTTTTTTTTGTTGTTGTTGTTTTTGAGACAGAGTCTCACTCTGTCTCCCAGGCTGGAGTGCAGTGGCGTGATCTCTGCTCACTGCAACCTCTGCCTGCCGGGTTCAAGCGATTCTCCTGCCTCAGCCTCCTGAGTAGGTGGGACTACAGGTGCACACCACCACGCCTGGCTAATTTGTATATTTTTAGTAGAGACGGGGTTTCACCATATTGTCCAGGCTGGTCTTGAACTCCTAACCTTGTGATCCACCCAATTCGGCCTCCCAAAGTGCTGAGATTACAGGCGTGAGCCACCACACCTGGACTGTCTGAGTTATTTTTTTATTTTTATTATTATTATTTTTTTTGATGTGGAGTCTCACTCTGTCACCCAGGCTGGAGTGCAGTGGCACGATCTCGGCTCACTGCAAGCTCCGCCTCCTGGGTTCACGCCATTCTCCTGCCTCAGCCTCCTGAGTAGCTGGGACTACAGGCGCCCGCCACCATGCCCGGCTAATTTTGTGTATTTTTAGTAGAGACGGGGTTTCATTGTGTTAGCCAGGATGGTCTTGATCTTCTGACCTTGTGATCCTCCCGCCTCGGCCTCCCAAAGTGCTGGGATTACAGGTGTGAGCCACCGCGCCCAGCCTATTTTTAAAAACCTGTATTTCTTTTCTGAATATGAAGGAAGGTGCTGGCATAGAATAACTCCAGGCTCAGTGAAAGATCTGAAGCCCACTCCTACCTTGTAACTAATTGGTTTTGTGACCTCAGGCAAGCTGCAGTCTCTCTGAGCCTGTTTTGTTTCTTATGTAAAATTAAGGACTTTGACTAAATCAGTGACATTCATACGTTTAAGTAAATCTCTTTTTTTTTTTAAGAATGGAACTTTTTTAAATTGCATAAAACCACATTATAGAAAACAGAAGTAGTGCTGCCTGACTAAAGGAAGGATCAGTGCTCTGAAGCTGTGACTTTCTTATCCCTTAATCCTTCAGCATCCTCTGTGGAACCTTAGATTTCTGTGGGACATAGCTTGAAAAGGATCATTTCTTGAATTATTACTTTTATAAGGCCTGGATGGTAATGCTGTTGTCATGTTACCTACTCTATAAAGCCTATCTATAATGTTTTTGTCACAGAAATGTTATGGAAAGGAGTCTCAAAATATTGGTAAACCTGTTAGTAAAACAAAAAAATTGACTTGACACCTAAAATTTGTAAAGGCATTAGATATCATTATCTTTATCACCACAAACTATCTCAGACCCTGTTCTAGGCATTTAGTGAGAGAATACCTATTCTAAAAAAAAATTAAATCAGAGCACTCTAGATAGGGACACTGGCAATAAGTTTGAAATATTCCCACACCTTTCATAATTAAGTAGCTAACTATAACTTGTCAGATGCTTAAAAAATGGGTACTAATTTCTGAAAAGAAATCAAAGTTGCAGTTAAATAACTCTAAATTGTTTTCCTAGTTTTTAATTCTAGACATTCATGAATCACAGAAACTAAGATTGAAAACTGGCTCTAACCTGTATTTATCCTTGTTTTTATGTAAATTTTCTGAAATCTTTGTGTCCGTATGAATGAAGAAATGTTAATCATAATAGCGTAATATTTTTAATCTTTTGCCAGTGGAACTTTCACATGGCATCACAACAATACTGCTTTCTTCAAGTATGTATTAAAGATTCTGTGCTGAATTAATAGCAAAGAACATACTTTGAAATTATTATTTTCTAAAAGTGGAGAATGGAGAGTTCATTGTAAGGAACTATTCATTAAAGTGAAAAACTGGTTAGACCTTGATAAAGGGCAGAGTTTTGATAAGAATGGGAAAGTAATGCATTCATTGCAGAATATGACTTGAATTGTGTAACCTCTGTACTAATAAGGGAAAACATCACACTTTTGAAATGACATAGATCCAACAGACCAATATTAATTGTACTTTTGTGAGATTAATCTAAACAGCATAACACATATATGTTCTCCATTATCTAAACTTAAAATTGGTAGGAATTTATATGATATTTTTAATTTAAGCAATCTTCAAATTAGGTCTAGTCTGTAAAAGTATTATTTAAAGGCCGCATTTTGTAATTAATGCTCCTTACCATGATAATGTCTCTTCTTAAACGTTATAAATAATATTTGACTTATTTCAGATGCAGCAGAAGTTGCAAAATGATCTAACTGCAGAAGTAGCAGGTATGTTACCAAAATTTATGAATTAAATTGATTAAGTAATATATATCTGAAATAAACTGCAAACGACATCCCTTTCCGTTCTTGGGCTAGTAGATACTACATTAAATATTCTTTCATATACATCTAATGAAAGATGTGAAAACTTGAACATGTATAATGAAGAGCATACTTATGCCTCATGAATTCATCACGTTCCATAGCTTGAAAAAAATAGCTCAAGAAGTCTGGCTCTACTCTTCACTTCTGCCATCCCTATGGAATTGTCAGCCAGCACACAGAAACGGTTCTCAGAAAACAGAGGCATCATCAATTTCTCAGGGTTATGGTAGTGATTTTTAAGGCCAAAACATCCCAGTCTCATCTAGTAACCTATTCAAGCAGTTACAGTTTATAAGCAGTCGCTTGAGAGGTAACACTTTAAATCTCCAGTCATTTACAGTGTCATTGGTTTACTTTTGCCCTCAGAAAAAGTTCCAAATTCCTTAACATGTAATATAAACACCCACGTTCATTTGGTTCTTGTCAAGTTACTCAGGCTTATCTCTCACCACTTACTTTACTCTGCCCCTTTGCTCTAGGATCCAGCCAAACTGGACTGCACAGAATTCCACAGTGCTCGTCCTTCTCCAGCTCTTTGCACTTGCTTCTTTGCTCTATCTGCCAACCTTTTTTTCTCATCCTTCAGGTATCCACTAACCATGCCTCCACCGAAAAGCCTACAGTATCGAGACAAAACTGGGATAGGTATCCCTCTTGCATTCCAATAGTGCCCTGTTTTATACCTGTCAGGGTATCTATGACTTGGTATGGAAATTGCCTATTTGTCTGCTTTTTCAGGTTATAGCATATGATTGCTGAGGGGTGGACTGTATCATCTTCATCTTGTAACTCCAGGGCATAGTCTAGTACCTTAGCATGCGGTTGTTGAATAAATGAATGAAGAATGAGAAAACCAGAAGCTGTGATACACAACCACAGTGATCATTAATTTAGTGTGCAACTATGGGCAGATTCTTATCTAATAATAAGTTAGCATTGTAGTCATACATACGTTTCATTCTTGTTAACACTGAAAAAGCTCTCAACTCTTTTTTACTGATTTGCACTTAGTTAACTATGAAATATGTAGAATATAATTCTTTGGCCAGGCATGTTGGCTCACGTTTGTAGTCCCAGCACTTTGGGAGCCTGAGACAGGCAGATCACTGGAGCCCAGGAGTTTGAGAGCAGCCTGTGCCAACATGACGAAACCCTGCCCCTATAAAAAATACAAAAGCTTGCCAGGCACAGTGGCTCATGCCTGCAGTTCCAAGTACTTGGGGCTGAGGCAGGAGAATTGCTTAAGCCTGGGAGGACGAGACTGCAGTGACCTGTGATCACACCACGGCACTCCAGCATAGGTGAAAGAGTGAGACCCTATCTTAAAATAATAACAATAACAATAATAATAATAATAATAATATAATTCTTGCTTTTTTTTTTCAGCTGCTACTAAATATGAACCTGGATCCTATATAGCTTCTCCTCTAGGATTTACACACAAGGAAAATCTGAATCAAGATCCAGTTTTGGAAGTAACAAAAGAGTATGCACAGATTTTAAGAAGAAAATACATACTCTGAAAGATAAGGCAATTTTATTTGGGCTATTCACATGATATTTTGTTTCCCATTAAATATATGATGTGAACATTTTTACTAAAGGGAAATATTCTATATTATACATGTCTGATGAAAATTTATGTAGTATTTTAAATAATGTTTCTTGGCCTCTTCAGCTAACTTTTAAGTGGATTTTGCAAATGAAAACCAGTATTACTGAGTTTTACATACTCGAACTGCCCAAATGTTTGCTGTTTAAACAGCCAAATAATCAAGTTGCCATTAGTAATTTAGTGGAGCCAATTGATGGCTTGTTTGTATTTTATAATTTTATCTTTATACATAGTGATAGATTTAAGTTTAGATAGACATCATTTTGGTATACTGGTACTGTGGTCATTGTCAATGTTTGGATGTATTACGATTGTTATAGTGCAATCAAACTTAGATAATTTTAATTTTAAGCACTGATTTATTTAGATCTTTCCTTGTGGAAAAATAAGGTTTGCCTAAGGCTTTTTGCTTTTTTATTTATTGTTTCATTTCTTTATTAGATTAACTTTTGGGAAACAGTCTTAAAATTGGAGAAAATTTCCACATTTTAGGAAAAACAGCTTCCCCCCTGTGGGCCATTTGAGAGTAAATTGCTGACATTATGCCATCACATCTGGTATGTGGGTATTCCCACAAGTCAGGACATTTTATATAACTACTTCATAATCAGAAAGTTAACATCAATACACTTGATCATTTAATTCTCAGTTTCTTTTCAAGTTTTCTTAATTGTCTATAATGTTCTTTGTAGCAGAAGGATCCCATTCAGGTCCATGAATTTCATTTAGTTGTCATGACTCTTTCAGTCTGGAACAGTTCCTCAGTTTTTCTTTGACCTTTATGACCTTAAATCTTTTGAAGAGTAAAGTCCAATAATACAGAATGTCCCTCCATTGGATTTCTCTGAACTTTTTTTATGATAAGATTTAGATGATAATTTTTTTTTTGGCAAGAGTATCACAGAAGTTATCCCATGATCTTCTCACTGCATTCTATCAGGTGACCTGCAATTATTATTATTTTTTATTTTCATCTTTTAAGTTCAGGGGTACATGTGCAGGATGTGCAGGATGTCCAGGTTTGTTACATAGGTAAATATGTGCCATGGTGGTTTGCTGCACAGATCATCCCATCACCTAGGTATTAATAGTAGCCCAGCATCCATTAGCTGTTCTTCACGATGCTCTCCCTTCTCTCACCCGCCACCATCCCACATGCCCCTGTGTGTGTTGTTCCCCGCCATGTGTCCATGTGTTGTCATTATTCAGCTCCCACTTGTAAGTGAGAGCATGCAGTATTTCATTTTCTATTTCTGTGTTGGTTTGCTGAGGATAATGTTCTGCAGCTCCACCCATGTCCCTGCAAAGGACATGTCTCATTCCTTTTCATGGCTGCATAGTATTCCATGGTGTATATGTACCACATTTTCTTTATCCAGTTTATCATTGATGGGCTTTTAGGTTGATTCTTTGTCTTTGCTGTTGTGAATAGTGCTGCAATGAACATACGTGTGTGTGTATCTTTATACTAGAATTAGTTATATTCCTTTGGGTATACACCAAGTAATGGGATTGCTGGGTTAAATGGTATTTCAGGTTCTAGATCTTTGAGGAATCACCACACTGTCTTCCACACTGGTTGAACTAATTTACACTCCTATCAACGGTGTAAAAGCATTCCTGTTTCTCCATAATCTTGCCAGCATCTTTTCAGTTTTTTGAATTATAGCCATTCTGACTGTTGTGAGATGGTGTCTTGTTGTGGTTTTGATTTGCATTTCTCAGATGATCAGTGATGTTGAGGTTTTTTTGTTTGTTGGCTGCATGTATGCCTTCTTTTGAAAAGTGTCTGTTTGTGTCCTTTGACCACTTTCTAATGGGGTTGAGTTTTTTTTTTCTTGTAAATTTGTTTAAGTTCCTTGTAGATGCTGGATATTAGACCTTTGTCAGATGGATAGAGTGCAAAAATTTTCTCCCATTCTGTAGGTTGTCGGTTTACTCTGTTGATAGGTTCTTAATGCTGTGCAGAAGCTCTTTAGTTTAATTAGATCCCATTTGTCAATTTTGGCTTTTGTTGCAATTGCTTTTGGCATCTTCGTCATGAAATCTTTGCCCTTGCCTGTGTCCTGAATGGCATTGCCTAGGTTTTCTTTCAGGATTTTTATAGTTTTGGGTTGTAGATTTAAGTCTTTAATCCATCTTGAGTTAACTTTTGTATATGGGTTAAGGAAGGGGTCCAGTTTCAATTTGCTGCATATGGCTAGCCAGTTCTCCCAGCACCATTTATTAAATAGGGAATCTTTTCCCCATTGCTTCCTTTTGTCAGGTTTGTCAAAGATCACATGGTTGTAGGTGTGTGGTCTTATTTCTGGGTTCTCTATTCTGTTCCATTGGTCTATGTGTCGGTTCTTGTACCAGCACCATGCTGTTTTGGTTACTGTAGTCTTGTAGTATATTTTGAAGCTGGGTAGCATGATGCCTCTAGCTTTGCTCTTCTTGCTTAGGATTGTCTTGGCTATTTGGGCTCTGTTTTGGTTCCATATGAATTTTAAAATAGCTTTTTCTAGGTCTGTAAAGAAGGTCAATAGTAGTTTAATGGGCCTAGCATTTAATTTACAGATTGCTTTGGGCAGTGTGGTCATTTTCACGATATTGATCCTTCCTGTCTGTGAGCATATGTTTTTCCATTTGTTTGTGTCATCTCTGATTTCTTTGAATAATGGTTTATAGTTATCCTTGAAAAGGTCCTTCACTTTTCTTGTTAGCTGTATTCCTAGGTATTATACTCTTCTTGTGGCAATTGTGAATGGGAGTTAATTCATGATTTTTCTCTCGGCTTGCCTGTTGTTGGTGTATAGGAATGCTAGTGACTTTTGCACATTGATTTTGTATCCTGAGACTTTGTTGAAGTTGCTTATCAGCTAAGAGGTTTTTGAGCTGAGATGATGGAGTTTTCTAGATATAGGATCATATCATCTGCAAACAAAGATAGTTTGACTTCCTGTCTTCCTATTTGAATAGCTTTTCTTTCTTTCTCTTGCCTGATTGCCTTGGTGAGAATTTCTAATACTGTGTTGAATAGGAGTGGTGAGAGAGGGCATCTTTGTCTTGTGTCAGTTTTCAAGGGAACGCTTCCAGGTTTTCAGGTACTCAGGCAACAAATAGCGCTACGAATAGAATAGTACCTCACATCTCAATGCTAATGTTGAACGTAAATGGCCTAAATGCTCCACTTAAAAGATATAGAATGGCAGAATGGGTAAGAATTCACCAACCAAGTTGCTGCTGTCTTCAGGAGACTCACCTAACACATACGGACTCACATAAACTTAAGGCAAAGGGTTGGAAAAAGACACTTCGTCTAAATGGACACATCAAAAGCGAGCAGGAGTAGCTGTTCTTATATCAGACAAAACGGACTTTAAGACAACAGCAGTTTTAAAAAGACAAAGAGGGACATTATATAATGATAAAAGGACTAGTTCAACAGGAAAATATCACAGTCCTAAATATATATGCACCTAATACTGGAGATCCCAAATTTATAAAACAATTACTACTAGACATAAGAAATGAGGTAGTTGGCAACACAATAATAGTGGGGGATGTTAATACTCCGCTGGCAGCACTAGGCAGATCACCAAGACAGAAAGTCAACAAAGAAACAATGGACTTAAACTATACCCTAGAACAAATGGACTTAACAGATACTTACAGAACATTCTACCCAACAAGCATAGAATATACATTGTATACATCAGAACACGGGACATTCTCCAAAATAGACCATATGATAGGGCACAAAACAAGTCTCAGTAAATTTAAGAAAATCAGAATTATATCAAGTACTCTCTCAGACCACAGTGGAATAAAATTGGAAATTAATTCCGAAAGGAACACTCAAAAGCATGCAAATACATGGTAATTAAATAACCTACTCCTGAATGATTGTTGGGTCAACAATGATATCAAGAGGGAAATTTAAAAATTCTTTGAACTGAACGATAATAGTGACACAGCCTATCAAAAACTCTGGGATACAGCAAAAGTGGAGGTAAGAAGAAAATTCATAGCATTAAATGCCTATATCAAAAAGTCTGAAAGAGCACAAATAAACAATCTAAGGTCACACCTCACAGAATTGGAGAAACTAGAACAGTCCAAATCCAAACCCAGCAGAAGAAAAGAAATAACAAAATCAGAACAAAACTAAATGAAATTGAAACAAAAAAATACAACAGATAAATGAAACAAAAAGCTGGTTCTTTGAAAAGATAAATAAAATTGATAAGCATTAGCAAGATTAATCAAGAAAAGAAGAGAGAAGATCCAAATAAGCTCTATTAGAAATGAAATGGGAGATATTACCGCTGATACCACCACAGAAATACAAAAGATTATTCAAGACTACTATGAACATCTTCACATCCATAAACTAGAAAACCTACAGGAGATCGATAAATTCCTGGAAATATACTACCCTCCTGGATTAAATTAGGAAGATATAGAAACTCTGAACAGACCAATCAGAAGCAGCAAGATTGAAAATGGTAATTTAAAAATTGCCAACAACAAAAAAGTCCAGGACCAGATGGATTCACACCTGAATTCTATCAGACATTCAAAGAATTGGTACCCATCCTATTAACACTATTTCACAGGATAGAGAAAGAGAAATCTTCCCTAAATCATTTGATGAAACCAAAATCACCATGATATGGTTTGGCTCTGTGTCCCCACCCAAATCTCATCTTTTAGCTCCCATAATTCCCACATGTTGTGAGAAGGACCCAGTAGGAGATGATTGAATCATGAGGGCGGGTCTTTTCCATGCTGTTCTCATGACAGTGAGTGAGTGTCACAAGATCTGATGGTTTTAAAAACAGGACTTTCTCTACACAAGCTCTTTCTTTTTGCCTGCTGCCATCCACGTAGGATGTGACTTGCTCTTCCTTGACTCCACCATGACTTTGAGGCCTCCCCAAATATGTGGAACTGTAAGTCAAATAAACCTCTTTCTTTTGTAAATTGCCCAGTCTCAGGTATGTCTTTATCAGCAGTGTGAAAATGGACTAATACACACCCTAATACTGAAACAGACTAATAGACACCCTAATACCAAAAGCAAGGAAGGACATAATGAGAAAAGAAAGCTACAGACCAACATCCCTGATGAACAGAGATGCAGTAATCCTCAAAAAAATACTAGCTAGCTGAATCTAACAACATATCAAAAAGATAATCCATCATGATCAAGTGGGTTTCATACCAGGGATGCAGGGATGGTTTAACATCTGCAGGTCAATAAATGCGATACACTACATAAACAGAATTAAAAAACAAAAGTCACATGATCATCTCAATAGATGCAGAAAAACCACTTGAGAAAATCCAGCATCCTTATTTTATTAAGACCCTCAGCAAAATCAGCATAGAAGGGACATACATTAAGGTAATAAAAGCCATCTATGACAAACCCACAGCCAGCATTATACTGAACAGGGAAAAGTTGAAAGCATTCCTCCTGAAAACTGGAAGAAGACAAGATTGCCCGCTTTCTCCACTTCTATTCAACATGGTACTGGAAGTTCTAGCCAGAGCAATCAGACAAGAGAAAGAAATCAAGGGCATCCAAAGTGGTAAAGAAGAAGTCTGCCTATTGCTGTTTCCCAATGATATGATTGTATACCTAGAAAACCCTAAAGACTCATCCAAAAAGCTTCTAGAACTGGTAAATGCATTCAGCAAAGTTTCAGGATACAGAGTTACACACAAGTGTGCACAAATCCGTAGCTGTGCTATACACCTTCAGCGACCAAGCCAAGAATCAAATCAATAACTCAACCCTTTTTACAATAGCTACAAATAATAATAATAAAATACTTAGGAATATTCCTAACCAAGGAGGTGAAAGATCTCTGCGTGGAAAACTACAAAACACTACTGAAAGAAATCACAGATGACACAAACAAATGGCAGCACATCCCATGCTCATGGATGGGTAGAATCAATATTGTGAAAATGACCATACTGCCAAAAGCAATCTACAAATTTAATCCAATTCCCATCAAAATACCACCATCATTCTTTACAAAATGATGAAAAATAATCCCAAAATTCATATGGAACCAAAAAAGAGCCTACATAGCCAAAGGAAGACTAACCAAAAAGAACAAATCTGGTGACATCACATTACCTAACTTCAAACTATTCTGTAACACCATAGTCACTAAAACAGCATGATACTGGTATAAAAATAGGCACATAGACCAATGGAACAGAATAGAGAACCCAGAATTAAAGCCAAATACTTACAGCCAGCTGATCTTCAACAAAGTGAGGAAAGGACACCCTATTCAACAAATAGTGCTGGGGTAATTGGCTAGCCACATTTAGGAGAATGAAACTGGATCCTTATCTCTCACCTTATACAAAAATCAACTCAAGATGGATCAAGAACTTAAGACCTGAAGCCTTAAAAATTCTAGAAGATAACATTGGAAAAACCCTTCTAGACATTGGCTTAGGCAAAGACTTCATGACCAAGAAGCTCAAAACAAATGCAACAAAAACAAAAGATAAATAGATGGGACTTAACTAAACTAAAAAGCTTTTGCACAGCAAAAGAAATAATCAGCAGAGTTAACAGACAACACACAGAGTGGGAGAAAATCTTCACAACCTACACATCCAACAAAGGACTAATATTCAGAATCTACAAAGAACTCAAATCAGTAAGAAAAAAACCAATCCCATAAAAAAGTGGGCTAAGGACACGAATAGACAATTCTCAAAAGAAAATATACAAATGGCCAACAAGCATATGGAAAAATGCTCAACATCCCTAATGATCAGGGAAATGCAAATCAAAACCACAACGCGGTATAACCTCATTCCTGTAAGAATGGCAATATTAAAAAAATTAAAAAATAATAGATGTCGGCATGGATGTGGTGGAAAGGGAACACTTTTATAGTGTTGATGCTAATGTAAACTAGTACAACCACTATGGAAAATGGTGTGGAGATTGCTTAAAGAACTAAAAGTAGATCTACCATTTGATCCAACAACCCCATTCCTCAGTATCTACCCAGAGGAAAAGAAGTCATTATACAAAAAAGATACTTGTACACACGTTTATAGCAGCAAAATTCATAATTGTGAAAATATGGAACCAGCCCAAATGCCCATCAATCAATGAGTGGATAAAGAAAATGTGATATGTACACACACACCCCATGGAATACTACTCAGCCATAAAAAGGAGCAAACTGGATGGAATTGGAGACCATTCTTCTAATTGCAGCAACCTGGATGGAATTGGAGACCATTCTTCTAAGTGAAGTAGCTCAAGAATGGAAAACCAAACATCATATGTTCTCATATGTGGGAGCTAAGCTATGAGAATGTAAAGGCATAAGAATGATACAGTGGACTTTGGGGACTCAGGGGAAACAGTGGGAAGGGAGTGAGAAATAAAAGACTACACACTGAGTACAGTGTACACTGCTCGGGTGAGGGATGCACCCAAATCTCAAAAATCACCACTAAAGAACTTATTTATATAACCAAACACCACCTGTTCCTTAAAAACCTATTGAAATAAAAAGTAAATTTAAAAAAACCTCCTGGATTCATTGATTTTTTTGAAGGTTTTTTTGTGTCTCTATTTCAGTTCAGCTCTGATCTTGGTTATTTCTTGTCTTCTGCTAGCTTGGGAGTTTGTTTCCTCTTGGTTCTCTAGTCCTTTTAGTTGTAATATTAGGTTGTTAACTTGAGATCTTTCTCTCTTTTTGATGTGGGCATTTAGTGCTATAAATTTTCCTCTTAACACTGCTTTAGCTGAGTCCTGGAGATTCTGTTATGTTGTCTCTTTGTTCTAATTAGTTTTAAAACACTTCTTGATCTCTGCCATAATTTTGTTATTTACCCCAAAGTCATTCAGGAGCAGATTGTTCAATTTCCATATAGTTGTGTGGTTTTAAGTGAATTTCTTAATCTTGAGTTCTAATTTGATTTTGCTGTGGTCTGAGAGACTCTTTGTTATGATTTCAGTTATTTTTCATTTGCTGAGGAGTGTTTTTCTTCCTAATTTATGATTAGTTTTAGGGTAAGTGTCATGTGGCTATGAGAAGAATGTATATTCGCTTGTTTTTTGTTGGAGAGTTCTGTAGATATCTATCATGTCTACTTGATCCACAGCTGAGTTCAGGTCCTGAATATCTTTGTTAATTTTCTGTCTCCATGATGTGTCTAATATTGTCATTGTGGTGTTAAAGTCTCCCACTATTATTGTGTGGGAGTCTAAGTCTCTTTGAAGGTCTCCAATAACTTGCTTTATGAACCTGGGTGCTCTTGTATAGGGTGCATATATATTTAGGATAGTTAGCTCTTCTGGTTGAATTGAACCCTTTACCAACAGGTAGTGCTCTTCTTTGTCTTTTTTGATCTTTGTTAATTTAAAGTCTGTTTTGTTAGGAACTAGGATTGCAAGCTCTGTTTTTTTCTGCTTTCTGTTTGCTTGGTAAATTTTCCTCCATCCCTTTATTTTTAGCCTATGTGTTTCTTTGTGTGTGAGATGGGTCTCTTGAATACAGCATACTGATGGGTCTTGGTTCTTTATCTAGCTTGCCATTCTGTGTCTTTCATTGGAAAACACATTGAGATTTAAGGTTAGTAGTATTATATGTGGATTTGATCTCATCATCATGATGCTAGCTAGTTATTTTGCTAACTTGTTTATGTGGTTGCTTCACAGTGTCACTGTTCTTTGTACTTTAGTGTGTTTTTCTGGTGCCTGGTAATGGTTTTTCCTTTTCATATTTACTGCTTCCTTCAGGAGCTCTTGCAAGACAGGTCTGGTAGTAACAAGTTCCCTCAGCATTTGCTTGTCTGAAAAGCATCTTATTTATCCTTTGCTTATGAAGCTTGGTTTGGCCAGATGTGAAATTCTGGGTTGGAAATTATTTTCTTTAAGAATGTTGAATATTGGTTCCCAGTATCTTCTGACTTGTAGGGTTTCCACTGAGAGGTCGGCTGTTCATCTGATGGGGTTCCCTTTGTAGGTGACCTGGCCTTTCTGTCTGACTGCCCTTAACATTTTTTCTTTCATTTAGAGTTTGGAGAATCTGATGATTATGTGTCTCAGGGATGATCTCCTCGTGGAGTATCTCACTGGAGTTCTCTGGATTTCTTGAATTTGAGTGTTGGCCTGTCTTGCTAGAACTAACCTGGGGAAGTTAGTTCTCTTGGATCCTGTGCTGAAGTATGTTTTCCAACTTGGTTCCATTCTCCTTGTCTTTTTCAGGTACCCCAATCCATCATAGATTCGTTCTCTTTATGTAATCCCATATTTTTTGATGGTATCGTTCATTCCTTTTCATTCTTTTATCTCTATTCTTGTCTGCCTGTCTTATTTCAGAAAGATCATCTTCAAGCTCTGAGATTCTTTTCTTGGCCTATTCTGCTGTTAATAATTGTGATTTCATTGTGAAGTTCACTCAGCTCTAACAGGTGAGTTATGTTTTTCTCTAGACCGGCTATTTTGGCTGTCTGCTCCTGTATTGTTTTGTCATGATTCTTAGTTTCTTTGCATTGGGTTACAAGATGCTCCTTTAGGTCATTGAAGTTCACTGTTATTCACATTCTGAAGCCTACTCTGTCATTTCAGCCATCTCAGGCTCAACCCAGTTCTGAGCCCTTGCTGGAGAGGTGTTGCAGGGATACTCTGGCTTTTCGAGTCCTCAGGATTTTGGTGTTATTTCTCATCTCTGTGGGTCTATCTTAAACTTTGACCTTGAGGATGGGGTTTTTGTGGCTTTTTAAATTGTTATTGTTGTTTTTTCCTGCTTGTTTTTCTTTTAACAGTCTGGCCACTCTTCTGCAGGGCTGCTGCAGTTTGCTGGGGGTTCGCACTATACCCTAGTTGCCTCAGTTTTTCCCATAGCTGGAGGTATCATCAGTGAAGTCTGTGAAACAGCAAAGATGGCTGCCTGCCACTTCCTCTGGAAGCTCCAGCCCAGCAGGGTACTGACCTATTGCTGGCTCGAAAGTGCCTGTAGGAGGTGGCTGGAGACCCCAGTTGGGAGGTCTCCTCCAGTCAGGAGAAATGGGATAAGGGACCTGCTTAAAGAATGATTCTGGCTACTTTTTGGTAGACCAGCTGTGCTGTGTTGGGGATCCCTTCAGTTCCCATTCAGTTTGGGCTGTCCAAAGGCCCACAGGCTGAACTGGCTGAGAAGCTTGAAAGGCCTAGGTGGCAGCCTGCCCCACCCCTCAGGCACTCCATCCCGGGAAGAAATTAGAGCTCTGTTAGCCCCATAGAACATGAGTGACCTACAATTTTGATTTGCCCTTTTACTGGTGATGTTGGCATTGATCACAAACAGTGTTGTCTGCTAGCTTTCTCCTCTGTAATGTTACTTTTTCACCTTGTAATTAATTAGTATTAATATTTTGTGGGGAGGTAATTCGAGACTATGTAGATATCTCTGTTCTTCATCAAACTCAATTTATTCATTTACTTGATTTGATATTTACTTGTGGTTTATTTCATTTAATAGGTTATAATTTGACAATTGTTTTAACAATTTTTTTCTTTTTAGAAATGTTTTATTTTGACAATTTTAGACTTATAGAAAAATAGTAAGAAAACTACAAAACATTCTTGGATAATATTCCCCAAATGTGAACATTTTACTGTATTTGCTTTATCCTTTCTCCCCCTTTTCCTCTTCTCTTTCTAGGTAAATATAAATGTAGGTGCATAATATAGACTTTTTCTGAATGGTTTATAAGTTGCAGGTATGATGCCTCTTTATTTCTAAATAATTTTATGTGTGTCTCCTAAAAACAAGGCATTATCTTGCATAATTATAGTATAACTATCAAAATCAGGAAATTAAAAATGGTTTACTGTTACTATCTCATCCATAAACCTTATTTTACTTTTTTCAGTTGTCTCAATAATATTTTTTATAGCCAAATAATTTAAGATGGGTGATTTTACAATCCATGATGTTGACTTTCATAATCCATGATGTTGAGAGGTTTCAGCATTTTTACGTTGATTCTTCCTCATCTCTGTGGGCCTATGTACCTTTGATGTTTGAGGTTGCTGACCTTTGGAGGAGGTCGATCTGTGTCAAATTATTCTGTCTTTTTAGTCTCTTTTAGTCCAGGATGATTCCTGAGTCTTTCCTTGATTTTCATGGCATTTATGTGTTTGAAGAGTATGGGTCAGTTTTTTGTGGATTTTCTCTCAGTTTGGGTTCATAGGATGTTTCTTCATGATTCAGTTCAGGTTATACCATTCTGGCAGGAAGGTCACACAAGTGAGGCTGAGTTCTTCCCAATGCAGCATATCTGGAGGCATATGCTGTTACTTGGCTCCATTACTGGCCAGTGTTGACTTTGGTTGAGAATCTGCCAGGTCTGTCCATGATAAAGTGACTATCTACCATTTGTTTTTCACCAATGTCTTATGTGAACATAGTTTGAGGCTCTGTAAATATCTGGTTACTCTAAACATCTCACCCACTAGATTTAGCATTTTATTGATTATTTTTGTTGGGTCAATTATTATTATGGTGGTTGCCAAATCATGATTGTCTTCATCTTTCATTCCTTCTACGTGGATAAGTAAAACAAAACAAAACCAACCAACAAATAGGGGAGAAGGGAAAATTTATTGTTTTGCTGTTCAGGTTCCCTCCGCTTTGACCAGTGGTAGCCATTTCAAGCTGAGTTCATGTCTTTTTGAACTGTCCTTATTGTTCTTTGAATACTTCCTTACTTTCTGGCATAAGCTGTTTCAACCATACTTTGTATTTTCTCTGCCCCAGCCCTTGAATCAGCCATTTTCATTTTTTTCCAGAAGCCCTGACTTTCTTTAGGGGACAGTAATTAGAAACCAATATCTGGGCAGTAATTGTGGTAGATACGTATGGCTGTTGTAGTTGTCATTGCTCATAGGCTTCCTCAGTGAACAGAGCAGAAAAATACAGCTAGATGGATAAATATACAAACATACATGCTTATATTCATCGATATTTCTATATTAGAATATACTGAAAACCATGAGTTCTTCCTGGTGATTCTAATTCCAGTTGAATCACACATGGCTCATTTTAGGTTTTTTTTCCCTTTCAGTACTCTTGACCTTTGAACAATGTGGAAGTTAGAGGGGCTGAACCCCACACAGCCGAAAATTTGCCTAAATTTTGACTTCCCTGTAATGTAACTGCTGACTGACCTGATTAACTACTGTTGACCAGAAACCTTACCCATAACAAAGTTGATTAATATATATGCTGTATATTCTATGTATTATACACTATATTCTTATAAAAGTAAGCTAGAATTGCCTTAGCTATTCCAGCTGTTTTGGGGTTTGATATAAATTTTAAAATAGTTTATCCTAATTCTGTGAAGAATGTCATTGGTAGTTTGGTAGCTGACTTCAAACTATACTACAAACCTGCAGTAACAGAAATAGCATGGTACTGTTACAACAGCAGACACATATACCAATGGAACAGAATAGAGAGCTAAGAAATAATGCAGCACACCTACAACCATCCAACCTTCAACAACTCCACTTAAAAAAAGCAATGGGGAAAGCAATGGGACTGCTGGGTCAAATGGCAATTCTAAGTTCTTTGAGAAATCGCCAAACTGCTTTCCGCAATGACTAAACAAGTTTAAATTCCCACCAGAAGTGCATAAACATCCCCTTTTCTCCACAACCTTGCCAGCTTCTGTTAGTTTTTGACCTTTTAATAATAGTCATTCTGACTGGTGTGAGATGGTGTCTCACTGTGGTTTTGATTTGCATTTCTCTAATGATTAGTGAGTTTGAGCATTTTTTTCATAGCCTTGTTGGCCACATGTTATGTCTTCTTTTGAAAAGTATCTGTTCATGTCCTTTGCCCACTTTTGATGGGGTTGTTTGTTTTTTTTTCTTGTAAATTTAAGTTCCTTGCAGATGCTGGATATTAGACGTTTGTCAGATGGCTAGGTTGCAAATATTTTCTCCCTTTCTGTGAGCTGTTCACTCTGTTGATAGTTTCTTTTGCCGTAAAGAAGCTCTTTAGTTTAATTAGGTCCCATTTGCCAATTTTTGTTTTTCTTGCAATTACTTTTGGCATCTTTGTCATGAAGATCATTTCCAGGTCCTATGTCCGCAATGGTATTTCCTAGGTTATCGTCCAAGGTTTTAATATGTTTTCATTTTAGATTTAAGTTTTTAATCCTGCCTTTGCCTCCCAAAGTGCTGGGATTACAAGCGTGAGCTACCACACCCAGCGAGGAAGCCAAGTTTAACGTGTGTGCTCCACTCCTCCAACCTGGCCAAAGGGCAGTCATCATCACTGGCCACTGCTGACCACAGCCTTTAGAAACTCCCCTTGAACGTGCTGGGCTGACCTTCCTCTGATCACAGGCAAGGTAACCATACACTCAAGGCCAATGATCCCATCTGCTGTGGGCTGGGTCATGCTCCCAATGCTTACAGAACCTGGGAGGCAGAGGAAAACTCTGCCCATCCCATGGGACGTTACCTGTAAGCTTTGAACACCAGAATCTTGAGGCCTATCTCTTTCTGGAAGGCTTTGTCTTCCTCTAAACCAGGAAGCTGGAGCAATTCCACCAGATTCTGTACAACAGATGCAACAAGAAAATTCATGAAGAGTAGATCTTAGGTTGAATTTTTCACAGAAGACCTTGTAAGAACAGACAATGGTGAGAAAAAAAAAGCCCGAGGTCAATACAATGGGGAAAAGCCTGTGAAGTGACCTGGCAGCAGCCACACCTGCTGTCGCCTCCATTCCCCTCTCATCTTGGAAACAGATTTGCCCTTTACAACTCAACTCATAGCTCACCCGCCTTCAGAGACTTCTTGGCCCATCTTAGCTGGAAGGGATCTGTTCCAGCGCTGAGCTTTTATTTTGCTTAGCATCTACTCAGATGCCTTGACTGTGTGTGTCTCACAGTCCTACTGACTGACAAACTCCCTGGGGGCCGAGATGGCATGGATTCAGGTCTCAGATGCTCTATGGCACCTGGGAGCATCTTACACAGGTGAAGTGCTCAGTGATGATCTGAGGTCACTATTCTCTGCAGATCAGCATGTCTGAGAGGTAGGGGCTCACAGACTGTGGAACTGGTGTAAGACCTTTGTCTTTTCCCAGCTACTAACAGGTCCTGCTTGTCACAGCCCTTCCATGATACAAAGTTAAGTCATTTTGTGTCTGACACAGGCAAAGGAAAACGACAGGCCCTTGCCTTCCCGGTCCTCAAGGGTCAGCTGTAAGATGATGTCATAAAGCCAGATCAGGTCCTGGGGCCGGGGGAAGCACTTGCTGTCATCCTCTGGCTGCTGCTGCAGCAGAGCCCTCTGCAGACCTTTGGCCATGCTCTCATTACGCTTGATTGCCATTGACAGCTTGATGTAAGTCAGGTAACTGGAATGCACCACACGTCAGCTCAAGTTATACTCAGAGAAGCAGAGGAACTGGGAGGACTGGACTACGAGTTGGGGCTGACCCAGAGAAAGTGGGGGGGTGCGTTGGGGCAAGGCCACAGCAGGGCCATTTGGCCTGGGCTTCAAGGGACCCTGTAATCCCAACTACTTGGCAGGCTGAGGCAGGAGAATCACTTGAATCCGGGAGGTGGAGGTTTCAGTGAGCCGAGATAGTGCCACTTCACTGCAGCCTGGGCGACGAGTGAAACTCCGTCTCAAAGAAAACTAAAATAGGCTGGGTGCAGTGACTCAAGCCTGTAATCCCAGCACTTTGGGAGGCCGAGATGGGTGGATCACCTGAGGCTGGGAGTTCAAGACCAGCCTGACCAACATGGAGAAACCCCATCTCTACTAAAAATACAAAATTAGCTGGGCGTGGTGGCTCATGCCTGTAATCCCAGCTACTCAGGAGGCTGAGGCAGGAGAATTGCTTGAACCTGAGAGGCGGAGGTTGTAGTGAGCTGGGATTGCTCCATTGCACTCCAGCCTGGGCAACAAGAGCGAACCTCCGTCTCAAAAAATAAATAAATAAATAAAATAAATACATAAAATAAATAAATACATAAATAAAATAGATATGTATTTATGCAAACCATAGAAAAATGTTTGGCAACCATCGCAAGATACCTGACAATGTGAAATAGTTTTATTACAACTGGCCTGACCTTCAAAGGCCTTCACAGCTCCTGCCTTCATGTTACCGTCTACTATGTTCCTCGTGCACCTTCCACTCAGCACAAACAGGCTGCACTGCCTCCGAAACACATCACTTGAATCCTACCTCTGCTCCTTTGTCCATCTGAATCACCCTCTCCACATTTCTGACCGTGTAATCCTGATCTCACTTCATGAGGCAGTTCGCTTCTCTTTTGCATTTAGCTTTCCCCGGGGTACACTGTCAATAGCCTACTGTCTGATGTCATCAGTCAGCACTTCATCAGAGGCAATTATGTCCACAGAGCTTTTGGCTAATTACTGTCACTCCTCTTTACATGTGTGCATATGCATATCATCTTTCCCTAATGAGACTGGAAATCATGATTCATTCCCTGGAGCAGTGGTTTCCATAAGTGACCAACCCACAGACCAGTGCAAACTGGCTGCAAAAGAGCTTCCTCTGAGGAACTTATTAGAATGCAGATTCTTTGACTGCATGGGAGAGGAGGATCTCATAAATCTGGGTGTAATAGGCACAGAACGTTAGGTGTAATATGGGCGGGACTCTGGACTCAGCATATCCAACAAGCTGCTGGCTGATTCCGACGATGCCGATGAATTGCCAGGTTGGGAACTGCTGCCCCCAGAGAACCTAGCAGAGAGCTCTGTACGTGGTAGGTGCTCACTCCCCTATTGTTTGGGTGTATGCCTCCTGATAATGAACTTGATCGTAACTTTATTGTTGTATTATGCCTGTATTGTTTCCTTAAGTGAAGGAAGAATGCTTTTGAGTACCTAATAGGTGGCAAGCTCTGTGCCTACTTACATACATGAACTATTCCTTTTAATAACCTTTGGAAATAAAGTGGCATTTCCATTGGGCATTAGAAATCTGAAGACTTTCGTTTACAGCTGTTGCAACAGCAGAACTAGAATTCGACCTCCGACATTTCTGCTCACCAGAGGGCATGAACTGCTGGTTTGTACCTGGCTTGCAGATACCTTCTTTGGGCAGCACAATGTTCAAAATTAAAAAAACTACCAACACTTCTAAACTGGATACTTTGTATCAATATCTGGGTTTCTGGCTTCTCTTCACGGGAAAAAAACAAACAAACAAAAAGGTTTGGTGAACACTGGGGCCCACATTCCTGCAGGGCAACAGTCACATGGAGACTTTAGATGGGCACGTGCCCAGAACACACTAGAGTCCCCATCGCTCCCCATTCTCTTACATTCTGTTCCCAACTAGGTTCTTATAGGCCTGGGTTTGTGCCTGTTGCACACTTATCTACTCTCTTGCTTCCCACTGGTCAGGAAGTCTGGCAAACTTAAAAGGCCTCTTTTTGTTGCTCTCTTCTGTATGGATCTCTCATCATAGAGGTGTGTGCATTTCTGACTTTGTGATTTCAATACTAAGGAAGCTGTCGGCAGATTATCAAGGAAAACGGGGATCGCTGCTCCCCAACGTACACATTCTGGTGTGCCCCAGTAAAATTCTATATTCAGCCTCCAAACTAGCTGGGAAAAATGTGGCAAATCATCTACTTGCTCCAATTCAATGGTGTTTAGAAGTAGGAAGTCACTGTGAGCAATGCCACCAAGTGGTGGAGAGACTCCATGCAGAATCGCCACCTTCAGCCAGAGAGGCTGGGAGGCCGAAGACCTCTCTCAATGCACAGGGCCATTCAGAAACTAGAAACAAAATGCTTGCTCATCTCCCTAGGCCACTCCTTCCGAGGCTTTTTGAGACGAGGTCTCACTGTCACCCAGGCCGGAGTGCAGTGGCACAATCAAGGCTCACTGCAACCTCAACCTTCTGGGTTCAAGCGATCCTCCCACTTCAGCCTTTCAAGTAGCTGGGATGACTACAGGCATGGGCCACCACAGCCAGCTGATTTTTTTTTTCTTTTTAGTAGAAATGAGGTCTCGCCATATTGCTCAGACTGGTCTTGAACCAACACATCTTTAGCTTTTTAAAAGACAGCCTTGGCCAGCCATGGCAGCTCACACTTGTAATCACTGCACTTTCGGAAGCTGAGGTGGGCAGATAGCTTGAGCCGAGGAGTTCAAGACCAGCCTGGGCAACATGGTGAAACCCCATCTCTACAAAAAATACAAAAATTAGCTGGGTGTGATGGTGCACATCTGTGGTCCCAGCTACTGGGGAGGCTGAGGTGGGAGGATTGCTTGAGCCTGGGAGGTCGAGGCTGCAGTGAGCTGTGATTACCTCACTGCATTCCAGCCTGGGCAACAGAGAACCCTGTCTCTATTTAAAAAAAAAAAAAAAAGAAAGAAACCTAAAAACAGACTGGCACTTAAAAGAGTTGTGCTTCATTTTTTGACTTTCTGTATTAATTTTGTTTGTTCCTTTCCTTAAACAAGCTGCCACTGCTGCTGATTCAACATGTTTCATTTTATACTTTTTTTTTTTTTTGAGACAGAGTTTCGCTCTTGTTGCCCAGGCTGCAGTGCAATGGCGTGATCTCGGCTCACTGCAACCTCTGCCTCCCGGGTTCAAGCAATTCTCCTGCCTCAGCCTCCCAAGTAGCTGGGTTTACAGGCATGCACCACCACACCCGGCTATTTTGTATTTTTAGTAGAGACGGGGTTTCTCCATGTTGGTCAGGCTGGTCTGGAACTCTCAACCTTAGGTGATCTGCCTGCCTTGGCCGTCCAAAGTGCTGGGATTACAGGCGTAAGCCACTGAGCCTGGCCCATTTTATACATTTTTAATGTGTATTCTTGCTTTTGGAAAATGTGACCAGAGGACTATTAAACTCTTTTAGCATCGGTATAGCAAGGAGGTAAAAAAACAAACAACAAAACAAACAAAAAAAACCCTTTTTGTAAAATAGGATTGAGTATCGTTGGATTGAGCACTTACCAAGCAACTGTGCCAGGCATTTGTGTCCTTCATTTAATTCTTACAAGCCTGAGTGTTCGGTATTTTAATTTTATAGGTGAACAAATAGAAGCTGAGGGTGAAGGACCTACAGCTGTCACCTTCATCTCTTCTCAACACTGCCAGCTGTCCCCTTGGATCTCCCAGACAGACAACAGGGTACATCTCTGGTTTCTCGGTGCCCCCTAGAAACCTCGGGTCATTTCAAGGCATTATGCAAATGAGAAGCTTTCCTTCTCTTCACCTCATCTCCTGATCTGCACAAAAGTGACTGTAGGACCCAGTGTTGGTACCGATGTAGGCACCAGTCCTCAGTTTACCACCTGCTCTCTACTTGCTTCCCTGCCATAACTTTCTAAAAGGGATGTGAGCCATGTTTAAAGTCACCTGGTCACTGGAGGGATCTTGTTCTACCCCCTGTAGTAGTACCTCTGTAGGGTAATACCCACTGTAGGAATCTTGTTCTACATCAGTGGTTGCCAACCTTTTTGGCACCAGGGACTGGTGTTGTGGAAGACAATTTTCCACGGACTGGGGGGCTGGGGGGAATGGTTTCAGGATCAAACTGTTCCACCTCAAATCATCAGGCATTAGATTCTCATAAGGAGGGCACAACCTAGATTGCTAGCATGCGCAGTTCACAATAGGGTTCGTTCTCCTGCGAGAATGGCATGCCGCTGCTGATCTAACAGGAGGCAGAGCTCAGGCGGTAATGGGAGCAAGGGGGAGCGGCTATAAATACAGCTCACCGCTCACCTGCTGCTGTGCAGCCCGGTTCCTAACAGGCCATGGACAGTGCTGGTCTGTAGCCCAGGAGTTGGGGAATCCTGCTCTACAGAGTTTCCAACCTCAGAGATGAAGCATCCCCTCTGTAAGTCAGAAAGAAATTATTCAAGTAGGAGAATTAAAACAGGATCACAGAGAGGGAGGCTGAAGAATTTGACTTTCTGTGTTTACTTGTATGAGGAAAAACAGCACATAGAGGCATCCACAGTATTTAATTTGTTTGGATAACAGTTACAGATAAACAGGTACACCCCATATACAATTACCAATACTTTTTATACAGTTCATATTTCAGTACATCAACACTATTTTATTTACACTCTATTTATATACATTAACATCTTTTTAAATTGGGATTATTGTCCATATGCTTTATATTTTTTATTCCAGTGATTTCCCTTTTAGGAATTTATCTGAGGGGAGAATACTCTGTAATTACTCCATAATTTGCAGGCAAATATCATCATAGCATTTTTTAGGAGAGTAAAAAGTTATTAACAACTTATATTTGTCTCACATTAGAGGAATGGTTAAATAAAGCATGGTGTATTCATTGGATAAACTATAATGCAGTTGTTGAAAATGATTACCAGGAGTTTTTGCTAACATTTATGGGAACATGCTTATGATATGTGAACATTTTTTTAAAAACAAGACATAAAGTTGCATATACTGGAAATAATACCTTCAATATTGAAAAAAATACTATTTAGGAAAAAGGACAGAAGAAAATCTGCCAAAATTTTGACAGTGGTTGCCTTTGTA
This sequence comes from Homo sapiens, assembly GCF_000001405.40. NCBI lineage: Eukaryota > Metazoa > Chordata > Mammalia > Primates > Hominidae > Homo > Homo sapiens. Next base: position 18,522,384 of record NC_000017.11, on the reverse strand, counting down.
TTAAGAATATAAAAGGATTCCATGCCTTTTTACATTTTTCTCTGCTTTCCAAATTTTCCACATGAATATTATACATAGTAATCAGAAAAAAATACAGGGACACTCACTCTTATCCTTTACATTTCTCTCCTGTTTGGACCTCAGATTCCTCAGTAGAAAATTAAACTAGATGCCAGCCTGGGCAATATGATGTCACCCTGTCTTTACAAAAAATGCACAAATTAGCCAGGTGTGGTGTTGTGCACCTATAGTCCCAGCTGCTTGGGAGGCTGAGGTTGGAGGATTGCTTGAGCCCAAGAGATCAAGGCGGCAGTGAGCTGTGATCTCGCCACTGCACTCCAGCCTGGGTAACAAAGCAAGACCCTGTCTCAAAACAAAAAAAAGAAAAAAAAAGAAAAAAAGAAAATTAAACTAGACAAATTCTTAGGCCTCTCTCTTTTTTTTTTTAATAGTCTTATATGAAGACTATTACTTCATTTCCTGTGTTTTGTGTTAAGATGAGCTTTAAAGCAACTCTGAAAAAGAAGAGGGTGCCTATAAGTAATTCATAGACTGTTTAAACAATAGTAGAGGATCTAAGCATAGATCCCAAGAGGTAAAGGGAATCTTTATCACTTTGGGAACTTTTACTGATAAATAGAAATTACTGTCAGTACAGTCCACAAATATGTTGTTTATCAGCCATCTTTCCTCCCTGTCTTCATCTAGCACTGTAGCCTGTGTTCCACAGAAAATATAGTCAATAAAATTCAACATTCTTTACTAGCTTACTCTAATTTGTGGTTGGCCATAAAGTATTCCTGGTAGAGATAATAGAGATAATATTTAACTGGCCATGAGAAAGGAAACACTATCGTATATGATACACCCCTTTTTCTACTCATTCCAACAACGATGATACAGCACGTTTCCTTTTGAAGCACGTGTTTTTTCCTTGAGTGACCAGTTCAAAAGATGATGACAGTTAATATCTTGTTACTACAGAATTTGTACTCAAAAAAGAAGTCTATAACCCAAGTCCTTTTCTAAAAAAAGAATTTTCCTCTAAGTTCCCCTTTTTAAATGAGCTCTTTAGCCTGGGTAATTATGCAGTGCTAGAACCGTAACTGCATGATCAAACCCAACCTTGCTTGTTTATAACAGCATTTGACAGCCTCGTGACTCTCACATAGGGAAAAAGTCTCGCCTGAAAACCCATGCTAAGCTGCGTGTCTTGAGCTGTGCCAATTTGTATTCCAGGCAGCCTAAGGTTCCCATCGTGAGTTTCAGGAAGGGAAATTCATGGAGGAAGTTCACCTCTGGAAGGGTGAGGAGCAATAAATAGGGTGGGTGATGGACATATGTGACGTTTGCCACAGAGAGGCAGTCAGTATGGGCCTTGTGGTCCGGGCTCTGCTTTGGGACACAAATATAAACTGTGTGAAGTCTTATGGTAGCATTCATAACCCTGATGCTTCACCCACCTTCCCATACATTAGAGGGACAAACAGAAGGATCCCAGCTCTATGGTTCTTGATTGTTTGTCAGGTAGCAGCCAGGCATGGAGAGGGAAAAATTCTTTCTTTTCTGCTGCACTCTAGATCCTTCCTTCTCTCCTCCTTCTTCATTCTACACCACCCCCAACACATATCCCTGCACCCCGCCCATTCTTTGCTCTCTCTCCTTTCTTACACTTAACTCCTTCTTGCTCCACAGCCTAACATGCTGATTAACAGGACCCCAAAGGTTTGGGTGGGTATTAGGGGCCTTCTCAACAAAAGCAGCACACTCTTGAGCTTGTTCTTCCTTTTGTTGCCATCTCAGATAAAAAGGCCCCATGAGGGAGGAGACAGATAAGTATAGACTTGGTATTCTGATAACTCTGTGTTACATGGGATCAGATGTAAATGAGTTGTACCCTGTGGTGTTTCATGCTCTGCTGTGTTGTCTTCTCATGGTGAGCTTTTCTGTGCCCTTATTTCATCCAGCTCTGGTTTCTGTGTTTCATGTTATTTCTCCTAGCCTCTGTAAACTCTGCAGCATACTAATAATGCTCTGGCTTTCTGATTAAAGATAAATGGCTTACTATCATCACCCCTGGCTTGAGGGCCAGCTCACATGTAATCCCTTATAGGATTCCAAAGTTGTTAAATAAATGCAGTTCTTTTTGTCATTTTGAAGCATTCAAAAATTTTTCAAGAAAAGCTATGATCATATAAATAGAAATTTTATCCAGAATGTTACAGTGTAGCATTTGTGAATAAATGTGTAGGTGCTGTATTTGCTCAGACTCTAGTTTGGGTTGTGTTTTCTTTTCCCTTTTTTTTTTTGAGACAGGGTCTCTCTCTGTCATCTGGGCTGCAGTGCAGTGGTATAATCACAGCTCACTGCAACCTCTACTCCCAGGCTCAAGCAATCCTCCTGAGTAGCTGGGACTAGAGACATGCGCCACAACGCCCAGCTAATTTTTAGGTTTTTCTTTCACATAGACAGGGTCTCACTCTGTTGGCCAGGCTGGTTTCGAACTCCTGGACTCAAGCAATTCCCCCCACCTCAGCCTCCTAAAGTGCTGGGATTACAGGCCTGAGCCACCATACCCAGCAAGTTATATTTTCTTTTTCCTTATATAGAGTAAAATAAGGGTGAGTGACCGAGAGGTTGATGCATAGCTAGATCACCAGTTTAAATGCCTTCCCACACACCCCTTTCCTCCTGTTCCCTCCACCTACAGGTTGTAGATGAGCATGAGAGTGTGGAGCAGAGTTGGCGAGTGCAAGTCGAGCCCATCAACCTGGACAGCTGTCTCCGTGCTTTCACCAGTGAGGAAGAGCTAGGGGAAGATGAGATATACTACTGTTCCAAGTGTAAGACCCACTGCTTTAGCAACAAAGAAGCTGGATCTCTGGAGGCTTCCACCCTTCCTGGTATGTTACAGTCCTGCCTCTGAGAGAGCAGGAATCTAGCATAAAAGAAAGAAGACATGAACAAACAGGAGGTTTTGTTATTTTTGAGAATAAGACTTTTCCTGCAGCAGTGTTTAAAACACTTTCTGTACAAGGTTTTTATGTTGAATACAGAGATGAATCTTTCTACAAATATTTGGTAGTTCCTTTTCCTAACGAACTTACAACCTAGAAGAAGAGATCAATCATGTAGACCAGTAACTGCAATTCAGTGTGATCTGAGAACTGCCACAAGGGGTACAACGTGGTGAATTTGAACTTCAGGAGAGGGTGAACTTCTGGCTCTGTGGAGAGAGGAAGCTCAGGCTAGCCCTTTGTGGACTCTAGAAGAGCAACTGAGCCCGGAGCCCCCAACACCCACTGCACATAGTCATGTGGCTGTGGCACGCTGCTGAGTTGAGTGTGTGTGCACAAGCACGCCAGTGCACTAGGGCCTGTGTGTTCTTTTAGATTTAATTTACTTCTGCCTTCTCCCTTCATGGATTAGGAGACTGTCCTTTTGTTTGTCAGGAGAGTTTGAAGTGACAAATCTTCCTATTCATTAAGGTCAGTGTAACTGTAAGGTACTGGCCTATTTTAATCAGATATTTATATGTATTTTCTTTCTTTTTTTTTTTTTTTTTTTTGGAGACAGGGTCTCACTGTGTCACCCAGGCTGTAGTGCAGCGTTGTAATCTCAGCTCACCGCAACATCCACCTTTTGGGCTCAAGTGATTCTCTTGCCTCAGTCTCCTGAGTAGCTGAGATTACAGGCATGCACCACTACCACCTGGCTAATTTTTGTACTTTTAGTAGAGATGGGGTTTCACCATGTTGGCCAGGCTGGTCTCGAATTCCTGACCTCAGGTGATCCGCCCACCTTGGTCTCCCAAAGTGCTGGAATTACAGGCATGAGCCACCATGCCCAGCCGTATTTTCTTATTCTAATTATGTCTCTGTCACACTACTCTGTGAAGCTGAATGTAGGTTTTTCTTAGACCAGAAAAGCTTCCCAGGGAATGATGCACAAGAAATTAATAACACTGGTTGTCAGCTAGCTCCACAGATAGGAACTAGAGGGAAGGGGCAGGCTTGGGGACAAGGTGGGTGGGGAGGAGGGGGAGACGTTTTTTTTTTTTTTTTTGAGATGGAATCTCGCTCTGTCACCCAGGCTGGAGTGCAGTGGCAAGATCTCAGTTCACTGCAAACCTCACCTCCCAGGTTCACACCATTCTCCTGCCTTAGCCTCCCGAGTAGCTGGGACTACAGGTGCCTACCACCATGCCTGACTAATTTTTTGTGTGTTTTTTTATTTATTTTTTTTAGTAGAGACGAGGATTCACTGTGTTAGCCAGGATGGTCTCAATCTCCTGACCTCGTGATCCACCCACCTCGGCCTCCCAAAGTGTGGGGATTACAGGTGTGAGCCACCATGCCTGGCCGAGGGGGAGACCTTTTAAAAAAAATTGAGGTATAATTAACATACAATTAAAAGCATAGATTTTTAGTATCCAGTTTGATGAATTTTAACAAGTATATATTTTCATATAATCATCAAATAAAACAAGCAGAGCAGTCATGTAGCCCAGTAACTGCAATTCAGTGTGATGTGAGAACTGCCACAAGGGGTACAACGTGGTGAATTTGAACTTCAGGAGAGGGTGAACTTCTGGCTCTGTGGAGAGTGGAAGCTCAGGCTAGCCCTTTGTGGACTCTAGAAGAGCAACTGAGCCTGGAGGCAGTACCCACTGCGCAGTCACGTGGCTGTGCCACGCTGCTGAGTTGAGTGTGTGCACAAGCACACCAGTGCACTGGGGCCTGTGTAGAGGCCTTTAGGAAACCATATTTTTGAAGTCTTTAAAAAATAATGAAGAGTAAATGTTCTGTTATATATTCCCAAACATTCACATGTATTTGACTTGTTTTTTCCATGTAAATTTTGTATCTTCAGAACGCTTTAATGTGATGTTTTCTACCTTTACTTCTCCAGATTATTCACCTTAAGCGATTTCAATTTGTAAATGATCAGTGGATAAAATCACAGAAAATTGTCAAATTTCCTCGGGAAAGTTTTGATCCGAGTGCTTTTTTGGTACCACGAGACCCGGCTCTCTGCCAGCATCAACCACTCACACCCCAGGGGGATGAGCTCTCCAAGCCCAGGATTCTGGCAAGAGAGGTGAAGAAAGTGGATGTGCAGAGTTTGGCTGGGGAAGAGGACATGCTCCTGAGCAAAAGCCCATCCTCACTCAGCGCTAACATCAGCAGCAGCCCAAAAGGTGAGGCCTGGGGGCCTTATGCAGTTGCTTTCTTGGGACTCCTGTAGGCTACATATGTTTCTCTGTCTTCTGTTCTGGAACATCAGGTTGGTTGGGTGGAAGGAACCTATCTGGAATCAGACCTATCTGTATTTGAGCTATGTAAGTTTTATCAAGAGATTCAGCCTCCCTGAATCTATTTTCTCATCTGTAAAATGGAGATAATGCCAGGTTTACAGAGTTGAGAGTTTGACACATGGAGAGTAAAGCACTTCACACAGTGCCTGATGTATGGTAAACAGGAATGGTAGCTGCTGTCTTGTCCCCTTATAGTGAAAGTTCTGAGGTTCCCCATCTTTCAGGGGGTCTAGAGGATCAAAACTCTTTATTTATTTATTTTATTTTTTATTTTTTTGAGACAGGTTCTCACTCTGTCACCCAGGCTGGAGTGCAGTGGTGCAACACAGATCACAGCTCACTGCAGCCTCGACCTCCTGGGGTCAATCAATCCTCCCACCTCAGCCTCCTGAGTAGCTGGGACTACAGGCATGCACCACTGCACCTGGCTAATTTTTGTATTTTTTGTAGAGATTGTGCTTTGCCATGTTTCCCAGGCTGGGCTCGAACTCCTGCACCCAAGTGAACCTCCTGCTTCGGCCTCCTAAACTGCTGGGATTACAGGTGTGAGCCACTGTGCCTGGCCCAAAACTATTTTAATAAAAATACTAGACAATATGTGCCTTTTCACTTTTATTCTCTCACATATGTACAATGGTGTAAGAGACAACTTGACATGGAATAATATCGTCACTTTGACAGTGAAGTCTGTGCTAATGTATTGTACTTTTTCATGCCTCAGTTTTAGTTTCTAATACAGGAAATATTGATAGATAAAATTCACATAAAAGTTCTAAAGGTTCTCAATAATTTTTAAAGGTATAAAAGGGGGTAGGGGTAAGAGGCTATAACCAAAAAGTTTAAAGCCTTACAGGATTTTTGTGAGACATAGAGGTAACAATGGACAGCAAGAAATTCCCAGTACCATGCCTAACAATAGGAAGTACTCAGTAAATGGTGGTCGCATTTTTTGTCTAATTTTACAAAGGAGAGGAATATGTATTTGGAAAACTCCTTACTCTTAATAATTAGATTTTTTTCAACTGAATCTGACATAAATCATCTTTCTGCTATTTTCTGAGTCCCTATAACCTACCTTACATTTTCAGGACATTGTTGCTTATAGGGACTCGGCATTGAAGAAGACAAAAATGTAACTTACCTGCTACATAATAGGAACTAAAGGGTAGCCAGTCACGACTCCCCTGTCTTTACCTTTGTGTGTACAGTTGTGAAGCTAACCTCAGAGTTAGCATTTGGGGCTGGCTTACTTTGTGGCATTTGGATTTGTGAATCTTTTCTTCTGTCCTGTTCACAGGTTCTCCTTCTTCATCAAGAAAAAGTGGAACCAGCTGTCCCTCCAGCAAAAACAGCAGCCCTAATAGCTGCCCACGGACTTTGGGGAGGAGCAAAGGGAGGCTCCGGCTGCCCCAGATTGGCAGCAAAAATAAACTGTCAAGTAGTAAGAAGAACTTGGATGCCAGCAAAGAGAATGGGGCTGGGCAGATCTGTGAGCTGGCTGATGCCTTGAGCTGAGGGCATATGCGGGGGGGCAGCCAACCAGAGCTGGTCACTCCTCAGGACCACGAGGTAGCTTTGGGCAATGGATTCCTTTATGAGCATGAAGCATATGGCAATGGCTACAGCAATGGTCAGCTTGGAAACCACAGTGAAGAAGACAGCACTGATGACCAAAGAGAAGACACTCATATTAAGCCTATTTATAATCTATATGCAATTTCAGTAAGTGGTTTATTGTATGGTTTTCGGAGAGTGGTCTGTGTTTTGTTCACTTGTCTTCATGTATTCATCAGCAAGTATTTTTCAGGTCCTGCTTATTTCCTAGCATTGAGCTTAGTGATAGAGAAAGTTAACGTAGAAATCTGGGCCTGCCCAGGTGTGGTGGCTCACACCTGTAATCCCAGCACTTTAGAAGGCTGAGGCAGGAGGATCGCTTGAGCCCAGGAGTTTGAGACCAGCCTGGGCCCCATCTCTACAAATAATTTTAAAATGGAGCGAGGTATGGTGGCATTGCCTGTGGTCCCAGCTACTTGGAAGGCTGAGGCAGAAGGATCACCTGAACCCAGGAGGCCAAGTCTTTAGAGAGTTGTGATCACTTGACTGCACCCCAGCCTGGGTGATAGAGCAAGCCCCTGTCTCAAAATAATAATAATAATAGTAATTACATTATAAAATGATTGTTTATCCACACAAGACTTGGAGCTTATGACTTTTGTATTTTGCTTTTTGCTTATTTTGGTTTTAGAGAAAGTTAGAGGGTTCTAAAATATTTTCTCACCTACTGATCATTTACATGATCACTGTTCTCCTGCTCAGATCCTAGTGCTATACCCTGGCCATAGTACAGTTAACTACTAACATACATCCACTCTCTTATCTCTTACAGTGCCATTCAGGAATTCTGAGTGGGGGCCATTACGTCACTTATGCCAAAAACCCAAACTGCAAGTGGTACTGCTACAATGGCAGCATCTGTGAGGTAAACATTCTCAATCTTTGAATGAAAGTTAGAAACAGAATATCAACAGAACTGGAGAACATTTGTTGAAATAATGGACTATCTCTTGAATAGGAAATAGATATTTCTGTTAGAATCAATATATAGATGCTGTCAGTATTAAAGAAACAAAAGTGATATGCAGAGTAGGGAATGAAAACATGAGTAGTGAGGAAAAATAAAGAGTTAGTTGACCGGGCGCAGTGGCTCATGCCTGTAATCCCAGCACTTTGGGAGGCTGAGGCAGGCTTAGGAGGTGGATCACTTGATGTCAGGAGTTAAAGACCAGACTGGCCAACATGGCGAAACCCCATCTCTGCTAAAAATACAAAAATTAGTTGGGCATGTTGGCACATGCCTGTAATCCCAGCTACTCAGGAGGCTGAGGCAGGAGAATGGCTTGAACCTGGGAGGTGGAGGTTGCAGTGAGCCAAGACTGCACCACTGCACTCCAGCCTGGGCAACAGAGCAAGACTCTGTCTCAAAAAAAAAAAAAAAAGGAGTTAGTTAATGCAAAAAGCTCCTATCTTCTGGACTGTTAGAATTTGATGGGGTTGGGCCAAGTGCAGTGGCTCACGCCTGTAATCCCAGCACTTTGGGAGGCCAAGGTGGGCAGATGATGAAGTCAGGAGATCGAGACCATCCTGGCTAATATGGTGAAAGCCCAACTCTACTAAAAATACAAAAAATTAGCCAGGCGTGGTGGCACATGCCTGTAGTCCCAGCTACTCAGGAGGCTGAGGCAGGAGAATCACTTGAACCCAGGAGGCAGAGGTTGCAGTGAGCTGAGATCGTGCCAGTGCACACCAGCCTGGTGACAGAGCAAGACTCCATCTCAAAAAAATAAATAAATACAAAATAAATAAATAGAATTTGATGGGGTTTTAGGTCATTCTGTTTTGACTTGTCTATGGTCAAAATATTTTCTCCAAAGCAAACATTGGAAATAATGGGGCTCATTTTAAAGGGGCAGGTGTGAGACAGCCAAACTAGTGAGCTTATTGGAAGCAATCAGGTTTAGTAATTACAGACGGTTGGTCTTCCCTTTCCTGGCAAGGATTTAGAGCCATAATAGTGATGGCTTTTTGTTAAAGGTTTTTCTTGCCCTTCAGGAACATCACCCTGATGAAATTGACACCGACTCTGCCTACATTCTTTTCTATGAGCAGCAGAGGATAGACTACGCACAATTTCTGCCAAAGATTGATGGCAAAAAGATGGCAGACACAAGCAGTATGGATGAAGACTTTGAGTCTGATTACGAAAAGTACTGTGTGTTACAGTAAAGCTACCACTCTGGCTGCTAGATAGCTTGGTGGGGAGGGAGATGACTCCTTGTAGCTGATACTTGGCAAAAGTGTCACTGAGAGGCAAGCTAAATGTAGTTATTTTATCCTGTTAGAATACAAATTCTAATTAAAATAGTTAACTTTAAGAGTAGTAGTAATTTTATTTTGAAGTCTCATGCAAGTTGTCTGATAGAGAACTTTCAGGCAGATCCCACCATTAGCCTGTAAACAAAAAGTTTGGCACCAGCCACCTGGGACCAAATAAGAATTCAATTGTGCTTGTCCAGATATGAACAAATATGTAGTGAGTATAGAGTTTATCAATAATCATAACAAATATTAAAGATTTCCTTGGAGTCAAAGTAAAAAACAAAAAATTGTAATGTTGTCTAGGGATGACATGATATGCTACCTCCTTTTTCCTGAAGTTTTATTCCATTCTGTTGACAAGATGGAGAAAGCAAGATCATGAAGGTGTGCAAATGATTCTTACGGCATGGGCGAGGATTTTTCAATTTATTTTTTAAAGTTTCCATACCCTTTCTTTGTCTTTCTTGCTTTTTGTTTTTGCCGTTGTGTTTATGTTTGAGATACAACCAGTCATTGGTGGCAGGGGCATAGAGTGGTCAGTCTGAAAGGGAGGCTCTCTTAAGAGCTATGTGCCTTCCACCCAGAGGGAGACCCAGTAGAAAGAAAAACATCCTGGGAAATCCAGCTACCATGGCCCTCCCAGTGGAGGCATCTTACATTTAGGATACTTCAGGTATCCTCAGAAATGTATTCTGCACCCCCCGGCCCCGCCCATGCTGAGGGAAGGGGAGCAGTTGCCAATATTTGCACCATCTTCACATGCACATGTTGCAACAAGAGCTTCTGGGAAGGTAAGCGGCATCGGAGCTAGATCACGTTTCACAATTAGTGGTGGTTCTTTTCCATGTTTGTTTTGCACTTTAAAAAAGAGAGAACACATGCAAATGAACTTGCTTGTGTGTATTTGATGGCTCCAAGGGCTATAAATTACAAACAAAACACATCCCAGACATTAGGAGTTCATAAGTATATTTAATGAAATTGGTGGTTTTAGGAAGTCAACTTTAGTTTTGCTTTGTTTGCATGTCCACTAATTTTTTTATTTTGATATTAGTCTTTTTTAAAAAATTTTACAGTAGTCATTGAAAGTTATGTTTCTTTGTTTACTTCATTTTTTCCTCTAAATATTCAAGACTGGGACAAAAGTATAAATATTATTTATTTCAGGTAGAATTTTTTTGGTGTAGTTTTTTAATATATACTTGAAGGAAATGTTTCACCTTATTTTTGGTCTTTGTTTATTCATTTAGACCCTGCAAGTTGATTCTCATTAATTGTCAGATTCCACTACACTTTCTTCCTCATAGGTAGTAATTACCAGTGTAACTAAGCATTTGTGTTCTGATATCTGAGGCCAGTAACTATTAATATCTAGTTCTCAGAGCATTTGGAAAGGTTATCTTAAATGGCTACCTAAATTGAAATCCTTTTCAGAAAAAATATAATTGCAAATAGGTAGGAGTGGCCTAAATTATCTAATGTAATAAAGTCAGACAAAATGCATACTTTATAGTTCAAGATTTTCGGTATATAAAATCTGTCCTTTCCTACCTGGACATGTCCCATTAAAAAGTGGAAGATTTTAAATAATTTCTTTACAGATGTTTTATTTAAGCAGGTAGCACAATCTACTAATGTTGTTTGATCTGTGTTTGTTATACTGGTTGTAATTAATTTTTTTAATTCATGAACTAGCGGAAAATTTATTAAATTAACTATTAACCACATTCACCTTGTAAATGACTGTATAAAACTTGTTGACAATGCACTGACTTTAGAAAGATGTTAATGTGCATAAATAGAGTGTAAATAAAATAGTGTTGATGTACTGAAATATGAACTGTATAAAAAGTATTAGTAATTGTATATGGGGTGTACCTGTTTATCTGTAACTGTTATCCAAACAAATTAAATACTGTGGATGCCTTTATGTACTGTTTTTCCTCATACAAGTAAACACAGAAAGTCAAATTCTTCAGCCTCCCTCTCTGTGATCCTGTTTTAATTCTCCTACTTGAATAATTTCTTTCTGACTTACAGAGGGGATGCTTCATCTCTGAGGTTGGAAACTCTGTAGAGCAGGATTCCCCAACTCCTGGGCTACAGACCAGCACCGTCCATGGCCTGTTAGGAACCGGGCTGCACAGCAGCAGGTGAGCGGTGAGCTGTATTTATAGCCGCTCCCCCTTGCTCCCATTACCGCCTGAGCTCTGCCTCCTGTTAGATCAGCAGCGGCATGCCATTCTCGCAGGAGAACGAACCCTATTGTGAACTGCGCATGCTAGCAATCTAGGTTGTGCCCTCCTTATGAGAATCTAATGCCTGATGATTTGAGGTGGAACAGTTTGATCCTGAAACCATTCCCCCCAGCCCCCCAGTCCGTGGAAAATTGTCTTCCACAACACCAGTCCCGGGGGATGGTGAGCAGAGCGGTGCAATGGCCTGATCTACCAGGTAAAGGCTCCCTCTCGATCAGGATTTCTCAACCCGGCACTAGTGACACTTGGGGCAGGATCATTCCTTGTTACGGAGACTGTCCTATGCAGTGTGGGATGTTCAGCAGCACCCCCGACCTCTGCCTACAAGACGCCAGGAAGGACCCTCTGTCTAAGTCGTGACAAAGAAAAACATCCCCAGACCCTGCCAAATGTAACCTGGGGGGCAAAAACACCCACATTTGAGAACCATGGTTCTAGGATATAGGAGTGTGGACACAGGCAGCTCAGGTTTACACAGGCTGGATTTGAGGTGCCTGGGAGACCTGCTTGCTGAGATTCTTTTGAGCAGTCAGACAGGAGGGGCTGGAGCCCAGGAGAAAAGTCTGGGCAGCTTTGCTGTCTTCAGGCTCGGTGGCTGTTAGAAGGAATGTGGCAGAAAAAAAGAAAGCGATACCCAAAGAGTCTATTTCATTTAATTTAATTTTTTGAGCATGGATTATGCTAAAGTCACCAGGCAAGAGACCAAGATGAGCCCACCTCACAAACCCAGAAACCGCAGATCCAAGGCAGCTGTATAAGGTACAGTTCGTTCCGGACTGTAGAAGAGAGGGTTAATCCAACTTCATCAGGAGAGAAATGCCATTATCCACTGAACTATTTCTTGGCTATCTCCTGTATGCTGGTCAGTTTCACTCACATTGTCTCATTTAATCTTTGACAAACTAAATAAAAGTGTGAAGTAAATATTTTCCCCTCCCTTTTTTTTAAAGATTAGAAAACAGAGGCTCAAAAGGACCCACATACTCAGAGTCACCCTGTCAATGACAGAGGTGGAGTTTGAACACAGGCTGTTTAATGCCAAAGCCCAATACTGGCTTCTGGAAGCTTCTAGAAGGAGGGGCTGGAACTTCGCATTGAAGACGTTGAGGGGCAGTGTTGCAGGAAAATGGGAGAGGGAAACATACCAGGCAAAGGGAACTGCTTGGGCATGGCTTCGGCAGAGAACGAGGTGCAGAGATTTGAGAACAGGATGATTTCTTGGAACACAGAGCTTGGTTCAGTAGAAAGAGCCCAGGAAAGCCAGGATGTGGCCAGTTGAAAGGGAGGGGCTTTGAGCCATTTTGCATTTGTGGTGAGCCATTTTGCATTTTACTCTATTGGCATCAAGGAGACAAGTAATGAGAACTCTGACTTGGGAAAAATGTTAAGGATCAATTTATCTCAAATATCACATGTAGCTCTTAAGTCTGAGGGCCCTCTATTCCTCATCTTACCTAAAAGGCACAAACACACCTCTCCAAGTCAGGTATAGGGCCCCCAACAATAGTTGCCTGGTCAAAAAATGTATCCTCAGAGTTTACTACTACTACAGTAAATCTGGACACAGTTTCTGAAAATTTTTGTTTCCCTAAAAGTTTCCATCAAACTATATTCACTGACATGTAATGATAATCATCAAGACTAAATCACATCCCAGGAGGTATCTGAATGCAACCGTGAGGTGCTCCTTCATATCCGAAGATGCATTTATAACAATCTGGAAAACAGTCTAGATCTTCTTGGAAGTTAGACCTTCAACTTTATCTGAATTTTGATGATAAATGAAGAGCTCTTCTTGTGCAGTTTCTGAGGTTCTTCAAAAGAGTGACTGTTTCTCTGTTTCCCCAGAAAAATACTACAATATGTGGTGTGTGTGTGTGTAGGTGCCTGTGCACATGTGTGGGTGTGTGTGAATTTGCCTATATGTGTTTGTGGATGGAGTAGGTATACATGCTGTGAGTGTGTGTGTGGATGTGCATTGTGAGTCTGGGTGGGAGATCGTGAGTGCATGTGAGTGTGTGTGGATGGAGTAGGTATACATGCCTGTGAATGTGTGTGTGGATGCGGATGTGTGAGTGTGGGTGGGAGATTGTGTGTGGATGCATGTGAGTGTGTGTGTGGATGGAATAGGTATACATGCTGTGTGAGTGTGGGTGGGAGTTTGTGAGTGCATGTGAGTCAGTGTGTGTGGCGAGTGTATGGAAGTGGGTAGCCCATGCATAGAGCATTTCTTAGCCTACTTGACAGCTTAGGAGCCACCTCCTCCAGGAAGCCTTCCTTAATCTGTCCTTCGTCCTGCCCTTCGGGACCCAGGTGACACCAAGTATGCAATTGCTCTATCCCTGCAGGCCTGCCCCTCACTCATCTCATCCCCAAACACAGACACATGCAAGAAATGTGACCCTCCCTTCCCAATACAACACTAGGACATTTGATTCCCTTTGTATTCCCAGTACCTAGTGCAATGTCTGGTACACGGTAGGTCATCAGTAAATAATAAATTGAATTAAACCTTCCAAAGGCCTCCAAATATCAGAATTAGTAAGCTCTAAAGGCTTTGTTTATTCCTGCAGATTCCTTCTCAGGTTTCAGCAGGTCATAGAGAACATCTCTTCCACCAGTCCTAGTCTCAATGGGACAGTAAATGAAACAGAAATACCACCATCCCATACCCTCCCCTTCAGTCCCTCTAAAATGAGCTGCCGCTGCTGGGGGAACCAGAGCTAAGCTTCTGCAGAGGCCTCTGCCCATGTCACCCCAGCTCCGCAGTCCTACCTGGCATGAGTCTTCCTATAACTATACCTAGGCTTCCTGACTGCTCTGTGGGGACACCCAGCCTCATTGCACCACAGGATGCGGCAGTCAGAGCAGGGCTTCTTACACTTTAACATGCATATGATCACCTGGTTAGCATGTGGATTCTGATCCAGTAGGTCTGGGATGAGGCCTGAGATTCTGCACATCTAACACGCTCCCAGGTCCTGCTCATGTTGCTGGCCTGTGGCCCATCCTTCCACCAGAAGCGTTTAGAAGGCTTTAGTCTCCTCGCAGCTGTTCAAGAGACCGGTGCGGTGCAATCGGGTGCTGAGTCATTTGGTCACTGCCGCTTCTTGTTAAGTCAACTTCTATCATTTCACATGCATAGAAGTTTTGACAAGCCCTTGAGTCTTTTGTTTCTTTCTGTACGCCAGTAAAAAAGAAAGAACAAGCCAGGCACGGTGGCTCATGCCTGTAATCCCAGCACTTTGGGAGGCTGAGGCAGGCAGACCACGAGGTCAGGAGATCGAGACCATCCTGGCTAACACAGTGAAACCCCGTCTCTACTAAAAAGACAAAAAATTAGCTGGACGCACCTGTAGTCCCAGCTACTTGGGAGACTGAGGTGGGAGAATCGCTTGAACCCAGGAGGTGGAGGTGCAGTGAGCCGAGATCGTGCCACTGCACTCCAGTCTAGGTGACAGAGCGAGACTCCATCTCAACAACAACAACAACAAAAGACAACCAAAACCAAAAAAAAACAAAAAACAAAAAACCAATCCTATACTCATTGCTCCCAGTCCACTAAAGCAGAAAGAAAACTGGACTGGGCGTTAGGTGACATGAACCCCAGTCCCAGCTCCGCAGGCCTCCAAGGCTCTCTGGCCTCTGTTTCCTTTCCTATAAAATGGGGTAACATAGTGGCTGGCCTGGTTATTTCAAGAAGAGAGTGTGAGATTGCAGAGAGAGGGTGGGCTTTCTGGTGTCAGAACAAGTTTCTAATGAGGAAAAATGACTTGCCTTCTTGGAGCCTCACTGTCTTCATCTGTTAAGTTACAGGGGAAAAGAAAATATGGGATATGTAAGTGTGCAATGCCTGTCAGCTGCCAGAAGTGCAGCAAATGTTAAATCCCTTCTCTGCTCAAAAGGCTATGATGGAAATTCAAAAGCCCCTTCTCAGTAAGGCCCTCTGGACACCCAATCTGAAATGTCGGGCCCCTCCCCCTTTTCTCTTTATTGCGGATCACTGTCTAACATTTGACTTCTTTATCTGGCTTATCGTCTCTCCCTCAGCGAAGGGCTATGCCATGAGGCCGGGAATTTGTGTCCGGATGGCTCACTAATGTATCTGTGGTGCCTAGACCAGCGCCTGGGACATGAATCTTTGTCGAGTGCATGGACCAGCAGTGCTTTAGATATTATGCTATTGCGTTATCAGAATCCATTTCTTCCACACCTCTGAAGCCAGAATAATGCACGTGGAGAGGTTTTAAAGCTGTGGAAAAGCAGAGCCCTAGAAGAAAACAGCCCAGGCTGAGACTTTGGGGACAACAGGAGACAGAAGAATACTTGATGATTTCATAGTGGGAGGCATGGAGAATTAACGTAGTCAAGAGCTGCGAGGCAATAAGAGGAGACTCTTGGGCAGCCCTCAAATAGAATATTATTCCTCCTCCTCTCTCCACCTTACCCCAGGTACAAGAGATGAATCCTGTTCCCCCATAAGCCAGCTGATTCCATGACACAGCAGTCCATGCAGTCCCCAAAATTTATCCCAACTGCCTTCCTCATGCTCAGCTTCCAGGCTGCTCATTTCCTTGGCTTATTCACCCTGCATCAGTTTCTAGTGTGGCCCAGTCTCCAGGATCAACACAGTCAGTTTGGGATTCTCTATTCAAGCTCTGATATTGATTTCATATTCGCCCTCTGGCTTCAGGCACTCACTTGGGTCAGGGGCACCCTACAGTCTGAGCCCCTTTCGGGGAGAGAGTGGAACAGAACATGGGTTTGAGGTCAGGTGGCTCTGGGTTCTGACCCTGAGTCCTTGAATCACTAGGTTTTGCTATCTTGGTCAATTTACCTGACCTCAGCTTTCCTATTTGTGAGATACAAAGAGAAATATTATATTGTAAGCTTGTTGTCAGCAGTGATTCTCAAAGTTTGGTCTTTGGAACATCAATCCTATGAGATGGAAAAGGTTTTTATTATCAAGTGAGTTTGGCAAATGCTCAATATCATATCCTCATCTTGGGAATTCTCAAATAACAAAAGAATGGGTTCCACTTTCATTAACTCAGTTTTTCTAAACAACAAAATTCCTTTTTGCAAGGAATACCTGTTAGCATCCTGTAGAACCAATGTTTTGTGTAATCCATGGTGGGGAAAGCTGCTTGGGAAGATCAGAAATGCTCAACACCAGGCCCTCTGCTCGGCTCCTGGCACATGCATCGTGGACACCAGGAAGCATGAGTGCCTGTTGCATTTCTTCCTAATGTCAGGTATGTTTGGTCAAACCTTTCCTGCTTCTGCTACAAAAAAAAGCATTTTAGGGTGTTGAGACAAGTAGTTTTCCCAAATATTTTTTGAGCCCTTCTCGTGAAAGGGAAATAACACAAACTGAAGTTAATGACATCTGTACTTTGGAGCCTCGCTCTGTCGCCCAGGCTGGAGTGCAGTGGCACGATCTCGGCTCACTGAAAGCACTGCCTCCCGGGTTCAAGAGATTCTCCTGATTCAGCCTCCCAAGTAGCTGAGACTGCAGGCACGCATCACCATGCCCAGTTAACTTTTATGTTTTCTTAGTAGAGATGGGTTTTTATCATGTTGGCCAGGCTGGTCTTGAACTCCTTACCTCAAGTGATCCACCCACCTCGGCCTCCCAAAGTGCGGGGATTACAGTCATGAGCCACCATGCCCAGCCCACATCTGTACTTTTAAAGCTAAAATATGAGCACTCATGAGCCTAGCTGTGAAGAACAGTCACTCTTGGATTTCTGGGAAGTGACTACTCAGACCTGCACCAACAGGAGTTGGTGAAGTTGGGTAACTTGCCCAATGTAGCAGAGTCTGAGCTCTTTCTAGTGACAACACCACCCCACACACAAATTAGGGTATGTCCCATCATGTAGGTCCAGGGGATCTGAATACCTTCATGTTTCATCCTTCTAAAAAAAAAGTCCAGCAATATGTATCCTAAAAGCCTTACAAAATCTTCCCATTTGGGGATGCCACTTCTGAAATTACTATAAGGAAACCATCTAAAATAAAGACAAAGAGCTGTGCATAAAAATATTCAGGCCAGGTGCCGTGGCTCACACTTGTAATTCCAGTGCTTTGGGAGGATGAGGGAAGAAGATTGCTTGAACCCAGGAATTTGAGGCTACGGTGAGCTATGATCACATGATTGCATTCCAGCCCGGGCAACAGAGTGAGACTTGTCTATTAAACAAACAAACAAACAAACAAACAAAAATGTATTCATCACAACATGATAATAGGCAGAACCAGAAACAACCCAACATTTGGAGAATAGTTAAATGTCCAACAGCTAGGGAATGATTAAATCCATTATGAGGCTTCTCTACATTAAATATCTTACAGCCATTTATAACCATGTTTATAAAGAATTTTGAATGATATGGAACATGCTTATACTATGAGGTTAAGGAAATAAAACAGGCTACAAAAATAAAATATATGTACTATAATAACAGCTATGTTGGTGCACAGAGAGAAAAACATTTACCAATATATTAGGAGTGGTTATTTCTGAGTGGCGAGATGATGAGTGATTTTTCATTCTATTCTATATATTTTTCTATATTTTCTTTTATTCTACATGTTTTTCTGTATTTCCAAGTTTTATACAATAGTGATCAAGAAAAGGTAATTATTTATTTAAAAAGAAAAAAAAAGACCCATGAGTTATCAGAACCCAGTAGATCTAAATGGCACTACAAACACTATTGTGTTCAGAGGTGTCTCCCCTATCTAAGCAGTGCCAGGTTAGGGAACGCCGCCCATCAACGTTCTAAGCAGTGCCAGGTTAGGGAACGCCACCCATCAACGTTCTAAGCAGTGCCAGGTTAGGGAATGCCGCCCATCAATGTTCTAAGCAGTGTCAGGTTAGGGAACGCCGCCCATCAACATTTCCCAAATTCCAGGAACCATCTGTTCCATAGTGTCATATCTGTGTAGAACCTACACCATTACTTAATATTTTCATAGAAATCAACTCAGTTTTTAAAATTTGATTACCTGTGTTTTAAGAAAAATTTTAAATCACTCTAAATGGAAAAATAATGTCACTTGCCATTAATGGAAAGTAATCACAAAAATAAATGCAATAAAACAAAACAATATCATTAAATTCTACAGTGGTAAACCTTCTGAGCTTGAGAGCTGCTTTTGCTCTGTTTGATAAAAGCAGGGGCTGAGGGAGAGTGTTTTCAGGCAGGAGGGACGGATTTACAAGGGTTTGAGAGTAAGCCTAGCCTAGCAACAGACCCCTCAAAGGATTCGGGAAGATTGAAAGACAATGAAAAAGATTTTCTCACTAGAGATTTTGATTTGTTTTTAATGATTTGCCCACCTACCACCCAAACTGCCTAGGATACGACAGCTGGGGAAAGTGCCATTCAACAAAGATTTGACCCCAGCCCATGAGTTGCTGACAGTGGAAGTCACATAAGTTAGATAAGTGTACCGGACTGAGTTCCTCCAGGACAGGAACTATTTCTTCTTAAGCTTGGTAGTCTCAGCACCCTGGACAGTGCCTGGCACATGGACTTGTTTGTTGAGTGAGTGAAGAAATGAATGAATACTGGGTTGTGACAGCCTTTTCCCCAAAGCAGGGCAGGCGCCCTGAGTCGCTCACATCACCCTTGGCTTTCAGTCCTCAGAGTACAGCAAGTGGAAGTTCACCAACAGCCCCACGTTCCTGGAGTTGCTGGAGGAGTTCCCATCCCTGCAGGTGTCTGCTGGCTTCCTGCTCTCCCTGCTCCCCATTCTGAAGCCCAGGTTTTACTCCATCAGCTCCTCCCAGGATCACACGCCCACAGCGATCCACCTGACTGTGGCCGTGCTCATGTACCACACTCGAGGTGAGCCTGGGGCAGAGGCTGTGGAGCAGTCACGCTCTGCCCCTTCAGTTCCCTCATCAGTTCAAGGAGGGAGGGAACACCTACAGCCCAGAGTTGTTAATGGTAATAGGAGGCATGTGGGAGACAGCTCTATGAACCAGGCAGTAAACCAAGCCTTCTGTATGTATATGATCAGTTACCATGTAGGGTAGGTACTGTGTGCATTTTACAGGTGGCACAGAAAGTCACACTGTGAGTAAGTGGAGAGCTGAGATTTGGACCTGGGTGGTCTAACTGCTGAGTCCAAGTCTTCCACCACTCCACTGTCCCACTACTCTTGAGACAATTTAATGAGATCAGACTTGGAGAGCACCCAACCCTTGGTGAGAGCCCAGTGGTCCTTAGTCTTCCTGATTGTGCAGCCTGAACGCAGGGGAGATTCTGCACTGGCTGTTCACTCACTCACTGAGCTCATTCAGTGACGGTTTATTTCACATCTCTCCGTGCTCAGCACTGGGGCAGGTGTGGAAATACAACAGACATCAGCCCTGCCCTCAGGGAGCATCTAGAGGCAGCAGTGGAGAGATGAGTGTAGAAATAATTAGATGATTCTCATTGTCCAGAAGCCAAGAAGGAAAGGTCAGCGTCACTGAGGACAGTGAAGAGGGGGTGACGCTGCCATAGAGTGGTAGGCCAACATCTCTTTCAGGTGGTCTTGGCTCCACCACTGGCCTCTGCCCCCCGCCCTGCCCTCTGTAACTGAGTGTTGCTTGGTTTGGCAAAGCTGGGAGCTGCCTATACTTCTGAGCCCTCTGTCTAGGAAACAAAAACACAGTTTCTAAAAACTGGCCAGAGACTCTGTTTGTCCTGCTAGAGAACACCCACCCAGACCAGGAGAGGAGAGGCAGACACGTCCTGTGAGAGCAAAATTTAATCCCGAGGAAAACCAGGGGGACCTCTGCAGTTGGTTGGAGGCCTCCTGCAAGTGCTGGGCCATTGTAAAAGAAATGCAACCCAGAGAAACCTCCTGGGTTTCTACCAGCCCAGGAGGGGCAACTGAGGAGGAAAGCGAGGTGCCAGAGCAGGCTGAAACGCGCGGAGCTCATCCGCCACCCAGGGTTGCAACCAGCAAGGGCCACGCTCATGAGCACGCACAGCAGTAGCCACCCCGAGGGGCCACTTCCTGCTGCTGTCAGTGGAGCTCAGTGGTGAGCTGGGAGTGTTCCTGGAGAAACTCTTTGGAAGGAGCACTGGAGTAGGAGTCAGGGAAGCTGAGCTGTCCTGATTTCACCATGACCTGAGTGACCTTGTCCAAGTCACTCTTCCTCTCCGGGACTCACTTTCTGCGTTGAAGATGGAGCAACTCGCAACCTCTCTAAGTCCCTTTCAACCTTCCTCAGCTCTGGGCTCACAGCGGGTGGATCTCAGAACCAGGAGGACAAAGAGCTGCTCATTGAGTCCTGAGAGTGCCTGAGTGGGGGCGTCCAAGGAGGCCGTGGTGTGGGCGGAGCAGCTGGTACAGTTTGCGCATGGGCAGTGGGGGGACGTTGGTCACTTTGTGGTATCGTTGCAGATGGCCAGGGTCCCCTGCACCACGGCGTCTGCGGCACATGGCTCAACAACTGAAGCCCCAAGACCAAGTGTCCTGCTTTGTGCGGAAGTAAGCACCCCTTCCACTCTGTCCCCTGTGGGACCGCCGACCCCTGGAGGTTCGGGGAGGAAAGGGAGGGATCTGGGGTTTAGGTGCCGCTCGGGGCTCCTTGGCCCACAAAGAAGACACTGGGGTCACACTGGTGTGGCTGTCTCTAGCAGAGACAGCGATGACAGCAGAGCTGGAAGGGCCCAGAGTCCAGTGAGCTTGGCCCTTTTTCAGAAGGACCTGGGGGAGGTGCTGGTGGCTGGACAGAAGTGAAGCCGCCTGCAGGGCGTGGGAAATCAAATAGGAGCTGCTCTCCACCCGCTACGACCGCTCCCCACAGGCCCAGCTCCCCAGCCATCCTGTGTGTGCGTGGGCCCGGGGTGTCTGAGGACTGGCCCCCTCTTCTCCTGTCCTCTTCAGCGCCAGCGGCTTCCGGCTCCCCGAGGACCCCTCCCATCCTCGTGTCCTCATCGGGCCTGGCACAGGCATCGCTCCCTTCCTCAGTTTCTGGCAGCAGCGGCTCCATGACTCCCAGCAAAAGGGTGTGGCTGGAGGCTTCCCAGGTGGGAGGGTACCAGAGGCCAGCGCCTGCCTAGGAGCAGAACCGTAGCCCCACAAACGGTTCCTGGACCTCTCTGGAGGGAAGGCCTCCCAAGTTTGTCTCCCTGTGTGGGGCCTATGTGGGTGAGAACGGCCGCCTTCCTGTCTCCGGCATTGGAACCGGGGCTCCCTCTCTCGGGAGTGGAGGTAACGGGAAAGTCCCTGCTTTTGACCTCCGATGGGCTGAGGGAATCCTGCATCTGCACTTTCAGTTGTGTGACTATGTATGAGTGATTGGAATGCCCTGGGCCTCAGTTTCTTCATCTGTAAAGTGGGGATAATGCTATTAACTAGCTAGGATACTTGTGGGAGTGAAGTGAGAATTCCAGTTCGGCTTTGAGCCATAGCGCCCTGCTGGCCAACATGGTAACAACAGCCCGGGACTCCTGCAGGAGTGCAGGGAGGCCGCATGACCCCGGTGTTCGAGTGCCGCAGCCCAAATGAGGACCACATCTACCAGGAGGAGATGCTGGAGATGGCTCGGAAGGGGGTGCTGCCTGCGGTGCCCACAGCCTATTCCTGCCTGCCTGGCAAGCCCAAGGTAAATGCAGCCTCAAAGCAGGTGAAGCAGTACACAACGCAGGCTCCAGTGTGAGCCCGGGGTCCCCACAGGCCCCTCGCCTCCCTGAGCCTGCAGCTCCTGAGCTCTAAAATGCAGGTAATTCACAACCATCAGAGTGGGGCTGTGAAGACTGTTACGCCCTCTCTTCCAAGAGAAGTGACAGGACCGGAGAGGTTCAGGACTAACCTAGGTCACAGGCGGGTTGAGCCCAGAGCCCAGCCTGCTGAAGGTCGTCAGCAGGCCCCCGGGACAGGCGACTCCCCTGGGAGAGGTGGTCCAGGCCGGCTACGTTCAAACCCACCATGGCCCTCAGACGGGCTCACCTGCCCCCAGGGCCGCGTTGCCCTCTGAGCCTGAGGTGTCAGAATAGACTCTCGGCTCTCACACATTTGTTGCCATCAGGGCACCTCTCGGGCCCAGTGCTCTATGCCCAGTGCTGGGGCCACTGGGCATCCTGTGTGGAGCAGGAGCAGAGAGTCCCCGACTGACTCCTGGACCTTCTAACTGGGAAGCCCGGGATCCGTACCCTGCAGGGACCCGATGGACAGTCTGCATTGAGAGGGTACTTTTCAGGGGTGTAGGCAGAGCCCTGGGCAGGGGGACTGCCTTCATTGATGCCTCTTTGAAGCATGGCAAATTCAGAGACAGTCTGGGAGCCCCACTGGACAGTCTGCCCCTTGAGGGCAGGCCTGTGTCCAGCATTTATCTCTCTACTCCCAGCCCAGCCCCCAGAGCATCTGTGCTCCTCCTCATCCTGAGCCTGGACCTGTGCAAGGTCGTGGCTGGGAGGGGACTCACTCCACAGCCCTTAGTGCCCTCTCCCCACCTCCCTGAGGCCAGCAGTCCTGCCTGCAATCCTTGTCTCCAGTGGCCGGGAACTGGACCCACCGTTTCCTCTGGTTTTAGGTCTGTGTTCAGGACATCCTGCAGCAGCAGCTGGCCAGCGAGGTGCTCCGTGTGCTCCACAAGGAGCCGGGCCACCTCTATGTTTGCAGGGCTGTGTGCATGGCCTGGGATGTGGCCCACACCCTAGCAGCTGGTGGCTGCCTAGCTGAACTTGAATGAGGAGCAGGTCGAGGACTATTTCTTTCAGCTCAAGGTGTAATAGTGGGTGTATGGGCTGAGGGTCCTGGCCAAGGGCACAGGCTATTGGAGCCAGGACCAGGGGTGGCAGGTAGACCCAGGGGAGTCAGGCCCAGAAAAGTTCTGGACCCCAAGGGAATCTTAGCAGTGGCTGGGATCTGAGCTGGGTGGGCTGTCAGAAGGCCCCACTGCACATCCTGGACTGGTTGGCAGCTTTGAGAAGTCAGGTGAATGTGTTCCATTTTTCCATCTGTGGAATGGGAGCAAGAGAGTCTACTTGCCCTCTCCCCAAACCCCCCTTTCAGAAAGTATCTGTGTGGCCAAAGCAAGGCTGTGAACACAGGGGAGAGCAAGGCTGCCCCCCGTCAGCCTCGTGTGAACCTCACACTTCTTATTTACACACAGGCTGGCGTCTGCTCACCCTCATCCTCCCAGCAGGAAGGGCTTGCATTTTATTGATGAAGATAATAGTGATATTTATCAAGGGCTTACACTGGGCCAAGTGCTTGCCAAGGATTCTCATGTGACATTTCTTTCAGTCCTGCCGAGGACTTTATGAGGGAAGCACCCTGTTTTACAGAGGGAAGGGGGCCTATGGGGTCTACAGCAGTGAGAGCCTAGAGTTCAGTCTGCGTCTCTCTGATTCCAAAGCCTGTGATTGTGACTTCCATACTCTCCCTAAGACACATTCATACATTCAACTGAATATTTATTGAGCACCTACTGTGTGCTAGGGATAGAGCAGTAAATGAATCAGGCAAAAATTATTTACATTCCACTGGGGCTGACAAACCCAAACAAGGAAGAGGTGTAGTGCTTCGGAGAAAAACAGCAGGAAATAGCCCAGGGGACACTGGGGAGTGTAATTTTAAATAGGGTGGCCAGGGAAGGCGGAGCTGGAAGGCGGCGTCTGAGAATAAACCTGAGATGGTGAGGAGGAGCCCCGTGGATACTGAAGGAAACACTCTGGGCTGTTCTGGAGAGGGCAGCAGATACAAAGGCCCGGGGGTGGGAGTTAAGCTGGCGTGTTTGAAGAACAGTGAGGAGATAACAGGCATTTCCCCAAATGTGTTAAATGAGTCGGTAGATGTTTGGCATCCAAAAGGTTACAAGGTCGAATAGCCTAGGACATGCTTAGTTAAGCCAAGGCAAGCACGTTGCTTTACTACAAGACTTCTGGGGGCCTTCAACGTGCTGCTGTGCATCGGGACCCTTCAAGGCTGGGAGGAAAGAAAGGATGTAGCATTTCCCAAATGTGTTAATCTGAAAGCTCACACTTCCTGGAGCATCTTGGGTGGGGGATGAGCACAGGGCAGGAAATGGGAATGCCAAGTAAAGCTTTGGAAATGGTTAGAGGGCCTGCTCCAGAGCAGGTGCTGAGCGGGTTTAGGGTCTAAACCAGATTCAAGCGCAATCAAAGTATAACAGTTGGGAAGACAGATGGCTCATGAAGGTCCATGTGATAGGGAAGCTGGGCAACCCCAGGGGCTCATTCCAGCCTGGACTTGACACATTGGTCTCTGTTTTTACCTAAAAGAGCCAGAAGCACTTCCATGACGATATCTTTGGTGCTGTATTTCCCTACGAGGCAAAGAAGGACAGGGCGGCGGTGCAGCCCAGCAGCCTGGAGATGTCAGCGCTCTGAGGGCCCACAGGAGGGGTTAAAGCTGCCAGCACAGAACTTAACGATGGAGCCAGCTCTGCATTATCCGAGGTCACAGGGCCTGGGGAGATGGAGGAAAGTGATATCCCCCAGCCTCACTTCTTATTTCTCACCTCGTTCCCCATCAAGCCCTTTACTTGACCTCCTACCAAGTAGCACCCTGGATTGATCGGAGCCTCCTCTCTCAAGCTGGGGCCACCCTGGTCCCTTGGAGACGAAATCTTCAATGCCAGGCCTGGCAAGTGGGTGAAAGATGGAACCCGCTGCTGAGTGCACCACTTCAAGTGACCACCAGGAAGTGCCGTCACACCACTGTGTATTTAACTGCCATGGGTAAAATTATTTATGCCTCTGTTTAAAAAACGAACACCCTAGTCTGTTCCTAATGGCCCCTTGGGTCTTCTCTGTATGATTCCCTGATGGAGATATTTACATGCATTGAATTTTACTTTAATCACACTGTATGTGTGTTTGTTGGGTGGGCTGGTGGGGGATGTTTTGTAGGGAATGTGGCCCTCAGTTATAGAGTGGGGAGCTGGTGGGTGTCGCAGCCTGGACAGATGCCCCACAGAGGGACACCCCAGGCAGGCCACGGCTCCTCTGAAATGGCTGCCAGGTGTGACAGCAGCAGATGGAGCTTCGTGCTGGTCCAAAGACCTGCGGTAGGGTGGACGGCACAGGCCTGCCTCCCACACAAAGGATCTGACGTGGGGTCTGGCAAGAGTGGGATTCTCATATGAGGCCAGAGCTTCAGGGAAGGTCTTGAGCTTCTTCTTGGACACTGTCTTAGAAAGGTTTTGCTCTGGGGCCACCTGTCTCACGTGAGTTTGGCCAGTACAGATGTGGCCTCTGGGAACGCAGGGTGTCAAAGCGAGTGTGGGCCACAGCATCCTCGCCCAAGGGACTGAAGACCCTCCTGGGTTTGGAGACGGCCAAGGAAGGCTTTTTAAGAGACTAGGTCCATTTCCTTCTCCTGGTCAGAACCAAGGAAGGAGCTCAGTGGCGGCCTCTGGGGTCCTGGCAACACGTGGTTCCCAGCTGGGGTTTGGCCTGTGCCTCCTGGGCCAGGCCCAGGACCCTCCCCCTCCCCTCCTCCTTCCAGCAGCAGCGTCTCAGGTGGCAGGAGAAGGTGCAGTGCCAACTTCAGGCTCCAGACGTGCCCTGCCCTGCGTGGCAGCCGTGCATCTCAGCAACACGGCCAGGAGTCCGCTCCGGACCAGGGCTTCCCCGCTTTCATGTGCGGGCCTCATCTGGGGTCCCGTGAAGACAGAGACTCTGATCTCGCAGGTGGGGTGGGGTGCGGGATGCTGCGTTTCCAACAAGCTCTCAGTCGCTGCTGCTGCCACCACTCTGAGGACTACACGGGGGCCTGAGGAACTGTATTCTTGCTGGGCCAAGCAGGATGTATTGGCATCACGTTGACGCGGAGCTGGGCTGTCTGGCGGTGGCTCAGTGGCTGGCAGAACCCCACACATGGACACTGAGCCACTTTTCTCATGCGAGTCCTAACCCTATTGCCAGGGAGACCCACAATGGAACACACACCCATACGGTGCTTCGGGTCGGCCTCTCCTGACACCCCTTCCCCAAGCCACCTCCTCCCACTGGGATGCCAGGTCCGAGGAGCCAGCTCTGGCCCTGCTGTGGCCCTCACAGGCTCTGCCCCAGCCCGCCTCCCATCTCAGAGGCATGGGGCTGTTTCCTGGGGTCCCCCATTACCACCTTTCCTGTGTCCGAGACTCCTGCCCAAAAGACTAGAGCCCCAGCCTGCTTTCTCCAACACCCTCATGGGACGGTGGCTCTCTTCTCATAGCTCCCCTAGACACTGGCCCAGAGGGGGCTCTGTGTGGGGGCTTCAACCCCACATTTCCCTTCCACACTGCCCTGGTGAAGTCATCCCTGAGACCTGATAATTCTAGACCCTGTGGCCACCAGAGGAGCCCATGCATTGGCTTCCTTTTTTGTTTTTTTTTTTTTGACAGAGCCTTGCTCTGTCACCCAGGCTGGAGTGCAGTGGTGCAGTCTCGGCTCACTGCAACCTCTGCCTCCCGGGTTAAAGTGATTCTTGTGTCTCAGCCTCCCAAGTAACTGGGACTACAGATACCCACCGCCACCACCACCATGCCCAGCTCGTTTTTCGTTTTTTTGTTTGTTTGTTTGTTTTTGAGATAGAGTTTCACTCTTGTTGCCCAGGCTGGAGTTCAATGGCGCAATTGCGGCTCACTGCAACCTCCACCTCCCAGGTTCAAGCCATTCTCCTGCCTCAGCCTCCCAGGTAGACGGAATTACAGGTGTGCACCACCACGCCTGGCTAATTTTGTATTTTTAGTAGAGATGGGGTTTCTTCATGTTGGACAGGCGAGTCACGAGCTCCCAACCTCAGGTGATCCACCTGCCTCAGCCTCCCAAAGTGCTGGGATTACAGGCGTGAGCCAGCATACCCGGCCATTAATCCTTTTTTAATTAGGAGTTGTGAGGTCAGGACCCCCTGCCCAAAGGGAGTCCATGCTCTCCCATCCCACTCCTCTCAGCAGCCCCTCCGCCTGATTCCACAGATTCCAAAATGTCTCCAAATGAATTAAAGAAGCCACAGTCAACCCACATGAATGTGCCAACAAGCATTTTCATTTCTTTATTTTAAGGACACTGGGAAAGGAGCCAGTCCCCTGAAGAGAACACTCTGGTCAGTTGGTGGAGGCCAGTGGGAAGCCATCAGGCCTGCTTTCCAGGAGGGGTGAAGGGTTGGTGCAGGGTGCAAGGTGAGAGTGAGGTTAAAGGTCAGAGAGGAGGGGCTGAGGAGGCCATCTCCCACCAGGAGCAGACAGCTGGTGGCTTGAGACTGGGGTGGAGCTGCGTGGGGGATGGGAGGGGACTGAGCATGGGGCTTCATCTTCACTGCCCACTCCTCCCCTCTCCCTGGCTGTGCCCGCCTTCTGGGATTGTAGGATTCCAGCAGCTGGCGCCCCAGGTGCTGCTGCGGCTGAGGAAGGCAATCCCAGTCAGCTGCCTTCTCGATTCCAGGGTGGCTGTAGCCAGAAGCAGGACCAGATAAGGACATGGCCTCTGCATTAAAGCCCAGATCCCAGGCACGGTTGGAAAGGCTGGGCCTGGGAAGTGGGGATGATGAGAGGACCCAGACTGCCCCACACCCCAGCCCCCGGCCCCAGGGCCAGGGAGCCGCCTATGTCTGCACGTGGGTCAGCTGGATGTCGCCACCCACTTCCAGTTTGTTGATGGTGGGCAGGTTCCTCAGGCGATGGTAGTATTCAAACACGTGCTGACCATCCACGGCCACCTTGAGGCAGTGAGCTTCACACAAGATCCACACCTGTGCAGAGATTATGCCGTTTGCACTACACTTGGGAAGTCCTCCACCCTCACTGCAGCCTCCTCTCTCCCTCCCTCCCTCCCTCCTCAGTTGTTAATAAGCCCCTCACCTGCACTCTATCCCCACTGAGCGACCGGCTCTTCACTAAACAGGCTGTGCGTGCTCCTTCCCCTGTACTGTTCCCTGGCGTAGAATACTGTTCCCACGACATCAGGGACAGGAGCACTGGCCTGTGCCATCTGTATCCCTCGGACCCAGCACACAGGAGTGCTCTGGGCCTGGGCTCCTGCAGCATCAGCCTCCTAACTTGTCTTTTCCACCCCAATGCCTTCTCCATGAGGCAGTCAGGGTACAAATGTTAAAACCTCCTGCCCTTTGCAATAGCTGACACTCCTAACACACATGCCATGTGTAAGGCACTGTCCTAAGCGTGCTACAGATACTGCCTCATTCCATTCTTACAGCTCTAGGAGATTCATATGATTATTAGCTCCATTTTGTAGATGAGGAAACTGAAGCACAGAGTAGCTAAGTCACTTGCCCGAGGTCACACAGCTGTCCACAAATCAAAGAATGTTGCTCCCTGGCTCCATGGCTGCAAAGCCCTACATCAGTCATTTTCAACTCTGATTGCAGAGTGTAATCACTTCAGGCATATTTTAAAAATACAAATGCCCAGGCTGACCGCCTCATTGGCCTGGGCTGGGGTCCCAGCACCTATATGTTCTTTGTAAGCTCTCTGGGTGATTTGAATGTGTAGTCAGGGCGGAGCACGCCTGCTGCTGTTCCTGGAGAGGCCACACCCACACCTCTGCATGTTGGCCCTAGCTGCCCCTCCCAGGCTCGCTCTATCTCATCGCTCTGTTTTGCTTTCTGCGTGGCACTGTTGTTATCTGCAACAATCTGTTCATGCTTTAGTTTCCTTGTTCCTTCCCCCAGCTAAATTGTAAACTCTCTGGAGGAAGGACCCTACGTGTCTGCTTCATGACTGCGCTCCCAGCATGTGGAGTGCTTCCTGCACAAAGCGGGCGACAGTGAAATCGTTGAATGAGTCAGTGAAGAAATGAATAACACCTCCTTCTTGGGTCTGATTTGACACTTACTGACTGTGTGACCGCAAGCAAGTAACCTGCACTTGTGAGTTTCTTTCCTCATCTAAAAAAGCAGATCCCAACGCTTCCTTCATGCAGGACAGTAATAATTATTAATAATAATGACAATAATTTTTTGGCCACCTTTTCTTCTGGGCCCTCATCCCAGAGGCATCAGCTCCCATCCTGTTCAAGGTACCCCAGACCTCCTTTACCCCCTCCCCGTGTACCCATAGGAGCCTCCTCAAGCTCCAGGCTGCGGCGCCTTACCGAGAAGCTCTGGCCTCGGACGAAGGGCATTTTTCGGGGCAGACTTCGCTCCTCAGACCCCCAAGAGTTGTTGATCTGGGTGTTACGGACCACAGCATTCTCATCAAAACGGGGGTTCATGTGGAAGGCGATGTGGCTCCCAGAGCACAGGTTGATGTGGAACCTGGGGTGGGCAGCCTACCTGGACCTTTGTCCACTGAGTTCTGAGCCCCATTTCCTCCCCATCATCCCCAGCCTGCCAAAAGCCAGGGGAATGGCTGGAATGACCTTGAAGGGCTCTCTCTTCCCAGAGGTCACTGGAGCCTTTGGCTTACCTCTGAGCACTGGGCAGGACAGTGCCTGACAGGATGATGGACTTGGATGGGTACAGCCCTCCCGGAATGGTGGTGATGAAAGGCATCGGCTGTCAGAAGGACGGGGACAGGTCAGCCAGTGGCAGTCAGGGCAGCCGCCACATGGAAGGGGAAGATTGTACCAGTTCCCATGAATTTAGGCTGTCAGCTGAGAAGAAGCCCACGATATCTTTCCTTGGTTCCATAAAAGCCAAAGGAAAACTTTCCGGTGCTCCTCAAATTAATGGGCTTAGATTAGTGTCATGAAAGGAAATTTGGCCAAACACAGAAAGAAAGACTCGTGGGGTGAAAAGGGAGGGCCATGCAATGTGCTCACGTTGACACGACAGTTTTAAGGTTGAAAGCTCCTCTCCACAGTCTTCTAATTCACTGGGACGCTTTGAAGCCCTTCAGCTTACCATTTTGAAAGCCCTTCGCTTTTCATTTTTCAAGGCCAGCGGATCCCCCCGTAGCGGCCCTTCATCCCTAGCCTGCCCACCACAAACAGAACCTCTGCCCTCCCTGAGAAACCACTTACATAGGCAGGGTGGGGGTACATCATAGGTGGGATGGCGGGAGTCTGCTGAAAAGAAACCAGGAAATTCAATGGGAGAGCGCATGTGTGCGCGAGCACTCACCCACGCGCACCCACGCATTCTAGAGGGGGCTCCACTGTGAGGCTGACCTCATGAGCCTTTGGCCCTTGGACTCTCCCGTAAACCTCCGTTTTCATGTTAGCCTTCCTGGAACTTCCTGCCGTGTTCCCAGACCCCACCATGGTCACCTGCCCCTCAGCCCCTCCGCAGGCAGCCCCACTAATGCTAAGTTCCCGGCCTGATTTGCACCAGCAGGAGAAGAGCTTAAGCCTGTGATCTGTAGTGACATCCCGGGGACCCAGGAGGCAGGGCCAGGAACCTCACATCCGGGTGCTGGGGCCACTGCACTCCCCACTTGGTGACAGAAGGACCAGTTTCCCTCCCAGTCTCTAGGGAACCTGCCTCTTCCACCACTGGATAAATCCAGAATCTCTGCTGTCCCAAGGATAGTTTTAACCACATGTCACCTGAGCCAAGGACTCAGCCCCAGATGTCCCCACCCTCCTTGCTAAACCGCTTTCTTCCCAACTCTAGGGCTCTAGGGAGTTTAGTTCTTGGGGAAGGAGGGCACTGTGCAGCTGTGAACTGATCAGAACTTGAAGACTTACAGAGAACATCTGTCCAGAGGCACTCTGCACCGTGTGGATGACTGTCTGGGTCTGGAAGAAAGAAACCAGGTCTCACCCAGGCTCTCCTGAGTAAAGACCACCCCAGCTCCCACCAGAGGGTGCCACACGGCAGGCACCCTCCAGGGGCATAACCAGCCCAGTGGCCCCACAGACCCCACGGAGGGTGGGTCCAGGGGACGAGGGAGAGGCAAAGGTTAGGACCCTGGAGAAGACAGATGGGGACGCTGGTGGCTCTGGCCCATCTTTCCTCTCGGGGAAACGTCTCTCAGCCTAGCCTCCCTTTGCAGGTGAGAGAAGTGAACGTGGGGCATGGTCTTCCGTGGCTGCCCATGGAGTGGCAACTCAGGTTGTTCCATCACGGCCAGCCAACCACATTCACCCACCAACCTCGCCAGGCCGGGTAGATGGTCAAGGGCCTGGCCTCTGCCCTCCCCACTCCCGATGGGAGAGGCCCAATGCCTGGCCCTGCATCCTCCATTAGCCCAGAAGAAGAGCCAAAATCAAGAGGATCCAAAAAGAAAGCAAGAGACTTACAATGGGAGCTGGGTTGGCAGGCCGCACGCTGGGAGGCTGGAGGGGTGAGGAGAGTCAGAACGGTGGTTATTGCGGGCACCACAGAACGGGGAGAGACGATGGCAGAACTCCAGGGAGGCTCTTGTGCTCAGAAATGCCTCCCCAGACACACCCACCTCCCTCTTGCTCCCAAGCAAGCCTTCCTGAGCCCGTGGCACCCAGATTTTTACCCTCAGGTGCACAAGGCTTTGGGGTTGAGGGGTAGGGTATCCCCACTGGTTCCTCTCGAGAGAGAGGAGGCTGGGTTTGATAGAGACCTCATTGCTGTCTGTAGCTCCCACAGCCAAGAGCATTACTTCCGGTGCCATATTTCACCCGTAAGCTGAGAAGTGGTATTTGTTGAAGGCCTATTGTGGGCCGAGTCCTGGGCTTCAGTGCTTTCCAAAGAGGGAAGCAGCCTCAGCTCCTGTGTCCCTGGTGAGGCAATGAGGCTCAGAAAGATTAAGCAACTTGCCCAAGCTTGCCCGGGTGGAAGGGATCAAATCCAAAATGGCAGCCAATTCTGTCTGACTGTATCCAGCACACTTTCTGTCATCCCTAGGGCCAGGGCCAGCGCCAGGGCCAGGGCCAAAGTTTGGCTGCCCTGCGAATGTTCCCTGGGGCTCCACCAGTCCTGAAGTCAGCGTGGCAGGAGGCAGGTGCACTGTCTGTACCATCATGGGCCATAAAAAGGCTACATAGACAAAGCGCCCCTCCTCCCAGTCCCCACTGCTTGAGTGGCCAGAGGAAGGGCTGCCCACCTCCTTGTCGTGGATCCTGCCCCACCCAGTAGACTGTTCTTGCCCTGGCTGGTATCCCATTCTCCCTGGCTGCGAAAACCACATTCCACATTCATCCATTCTTCGAGTCCCTAAGTGAGTGCCAGGCACTGTGCAAATGAACGACCCACAGTCCCAGCCCTCTGGGGCCTCATGGGCATAGGGAGATGGGGGTGGAGTGACAGGGACAGACACGCAAACAGTTACAATGGGGTGCTGTGAACTGGCATGGCACAGATATGTACAGACTCCGTGGGGGCATGGGGGGAGCATCCAACAATATTCTGGGCAGGGAGGACTCCCAGAGGAGCGACACTTTGGCAGAGCATGGAAGGGCGATTAGGCGTGTGCTGAGGGCAGGCTGGCAGAGGGTGCTTCCGGGACCAGGGACAGCATATGCAAAAGCATGGTGGCCCGAGAGGGCCTTGAGTGAGCCGTGGAGGTTGCATGAGCTTCGTGGGTTGGGGGTGAGGCAAGGAGGTGGACTGGGGCCAGACTGGGGAGGAATTCGTATGCCCTGCTGGGGAATTTGGGCTTTGTTTAAAGGGCTGGGGACTTTTAAGATTTTTAAGCAGGGAGAGAGTGTGATCAGATTTGCTTATAAGAAGGTCACTGTGGCAGCGGTTGGGTGTGGGGGGTGGGGAACTGGACCCCTGTAGTCATGGTGAGGAATCCCAGAGGCCTGGGCCACATCGGTGGCTTTGGGAGGGAGATATGTTGGTGCCTTGGAGAGACATAAAGAAAGGGTAGTGAAGAATCCAGGGCAACACCCAGGTCCCCGGCTCTGGGTGCCCAGCAGACAGAGACAGGGAACTCTTGAGTGGGCAAGATGTGGCCCATAGGCCCTGGTGGCCTGCTGGCTGGGGCCAGCCTCTCAAACCCTCGGTCCTTCCTGCTGTCTGCTCAGCCACCCAGGGCCTCTGTGTTGAACTCACTTTTTGTCTGCGCCCCCTGGGCCTGGGTGGGAAACAGACAGGCTGGGAGAACGGCACCGTGGAGAAGGCAGGCTGAACGGGGACTGCGCGGGGATTCTGTTAAAACAAAAGGCACCGGCCGGTGAGGAGAAGCATTAATAGAGCCAAGGAGAAGCCGAAAGGCAGATGCAGGGGCAGGAGGCAGAGAACAGGCAGGCAGGGGGATGCAGCAAGGGGGTTAGGGCCACACGGAGGCGGGAGCGGAAAGGGCCAGGCTTCGGTGAGCAGCGCAGGGGGACAGTCTCCCTCCAGCTCTTCCCTCCCCTTCCACCCGCAGGGGAGAGAGTCAGGGAAGGAGGGAATGAGAGATGAGGACCAAAGGGTGAGGAGCCCAGATTTGCTGAGGGCCTACTGTGCACTTCGCTCATCTCAGGGAGCTCCCTTGAATGCCAAAAGGGTAACAGCAGCTCCCATCCAGCTGCCGGTGCCCTGTGGGAATGTGGGCCCAGCATACCCTAATCTTCCCATTTTTCACGTGGTGTTGGTATCTCCTGACCTTCTTTAGTTTTATTTATTTTATTTTATTATTCAAACAAAAAGATTTTAGAGATGGGGTCTTGCTATGTTGCTCAGGCAGAACTCTAATTCCTGGGCTCAAGCGATTCTCCTGCCTCAGCCTCTTGAGTAACCAGGATTGCAGACCTCCACCACCATACCTGGGTCTCCTGACCTTTTAGATGTTGGCAACGCATTCAAAGTTTTTAAAACACAGAGGTCACACAGACCCTGGTGTGGGCCCAGGGGCGCCATTGTGTGACCTCTGATATCTGTCTCCTCAATGAATCACACAACCACCCATGGGGGGCAGGCAATGACCATGCTCATTCTACAGATGACAAAACTGAGGCTGAGAGAGGCAAAGTTGCTTGTCTAAGATCCCACAGATGACGAATGGCAGAGCTGGGAATTTGAACTGGATTCAGTTTGGTTCTTGAGCCTGGGCTCTTTCTAGAACAATATGCCCTCCTTACCAGGATGGAAATTGACGGATGAAGAGAAAGGGGCAGCTGAGGAGTCTGGGAGACCAAGGCAGGTGTTCCAGACAGAGACAGTGACACAGAAGGAGGGGCAGAGTGACAGAGGAGAAGGGGCGGGCAGGTACTGGGACAGGGAAGCAGAGGTTGTCCCCAGAGTGACCTGGGTAGGAGATTGGCTTGGGTCCCCCCAGCTGGGCCTAAGCACAGCTACGCTGGGCCCTGCATCCCAGCCCCTGGGACCGGTGCCAGGTGGACAGTCTGACCTGGAAGCTGATGTAGGACAGCTGCACAGAGCCATTGACGGAGATGGTGTCCACACGGTGGAAGGGCACGCGGTGGAAGTACTGCACGAAGAGGCTCCCGTTCACCATCACCTGCCAGAGGAGAGCACGTATTTCGGGGGAGGTGCCCCAGGCCGGGATGGGGACCACCCCTGAGCTCCTGGTCCCTCCTTCTAAAAAATGAAGACCTGAGTCTGGTCTTCAGTGTGGGGCCAGTTACAGGGACGTGTGTGTGGCCCGAAGTGCATCAACCGGAGTCTCTACTGGGCTCCAGTCGGGCTTTCCATTCTTCTGGTTGTTTCCTTCCCCTTTCTTCTCACTCCTCGATTTCCAGCCTGGTTAGGAGGCCATATTGTTCCAGAAAGAGCCCATGCTCAGGAACCAAACTGAATTTCCTGGGGTTTCATTTATTTATTATTTTTCCTTCAACTTTTTTTTTTTTTTTTTGAGATAGAGTGTCACTCTGTCAGCCAGGCTGCAGTGCAGTGGTTCAAGCGATTCTCCTGCCTCAGCCTCCCGAGTAGCTGGGATTACAGGCATCCACCACCACACCAAGCTAATGTTTGTATTTTTAGTAGAGACGGGATTTCACCATGTTGGCCAGGCAGGTCTTGAACTCCTGACCTCAAGCCATCTGTCCTCCTCACCCTCCCAAAGTGCTTGGATTATAAGGGTGAGCCGCCGTGCCCAGCCCCTTCAACTTTTATTTTAAGTTCCAGGGTATGAGTATAGGATCTGCAGGTTTGTTAACTAGGTAAATGTGTGCCACAGTGTTTTGCTGCACAGATCAACCCTTCACCTTGGTATCAAGCCCAGCATCCATTAGCTAATCTTCCTGATGCTCTCCGTCCCCGACCAGGCCCCAGTGTGTGTTGTTTCCCCGCTTGTGTCCATGTGTTCTCATCGTTCAGCTCCTACTTATAAGTGAGAACTTGCGGTGTTTGGTTTTCTGCTCCTGCAACGGCTTCCAGCTCCATCCATGTTCCTGTAAAGGACATGATCTCATTCCTTTTTAGGACTGCAGGGGTATTATTTAAATATGCATAAAATGCTCACGGGGAGCAGAGGAGAGGTGACATCGGGTTGCATACTGAATGGATGGGAACATCCTTATCTCAGATAAGCATATTCAGACTGAGTTACCCACCGGCTTCTCAAGCCCAGAGACCTACTGTGCTTGCAAAGGTAATTTGCAATGTGCTTACAGAACTATAACCGTAATAGACTCTGGATAAGGGCTGGAACAATGTCGCTGAAAAATAAATGTTACCAGGGACCTGGAGAGGAGGTATGGTGATAGCAGAGGAATGGAATGAGCTTGGAATTCAAAGACACACAACACCTAACAGCAACGTGATGACTCCTCTAGTTCTTATTTTCAGAGTAAAAGAAGCAGGAGGTGCACCTGTAGATTCAGGTGAAGGTGCGTAAGGAGACTACACAGCCATGGGTAACACCCTTACAAGGAAATGGTCATGTTATCTGTATGGTGGTGTCACTCTGGCTGAATGTCAATTAAAGTGGTTACTTAAAAGGCCATTCACATTCACCTGATAGGGCTGGGAGTCCCGTGGGCGAGAGGTGGGGAGGGGATTCCTGCTTACCTTGAAATCTGAGCTCTGCACCAGGAAGCAGAGGTCAAAGGGCATCCCCTTCTGGAAGGGCATGTGCATCTTCCTCTCCTCGGGCCCCCATGTTCCTTTCTGCCTCGTGTTGCACACCACATACCCTCCGTCTTCAAACCGAGGGTTGAAGTGGAAGGCAATGTCGTTTCCACTGAAGCCCGTCTGAAAGTCCACAGCAAACCTAGGCCCAGGAAAAGCAAATAGTCTTCTGTGGCATGGATTATTGCCAGTGACAGGCACAGGAGGGCCTCGGTGCCTCTGCCCTGTGTTTGTCTGGGATCTTGCATACAACCTGCGTGGCAGAGACTGCTTGGTTGGCATCCTTTTTGTTTCTCTAATTTGGATCCAATGTGTTTTTGTGCGATTATTGCATTTTGCCTTTACAGCACGATTTTCTAAACATAAGTAGAAAATGGCTAAGGGAAAGTGCTGGCATTAGCAAACAAGAAGCATAGGTCCTGGAAAGTGATTACCAGTTGGTAACAAAGATGGAAGTTGTTAAGCACACCTAGAAGAGAGAGGCTTCTGTGCCAGTGGACACTTGTTGGAGGCCAGCACATGCCTGATTAAGTGCGAAAGAAGAGAACAAATGTAAAGAGCATGTGAAATCGGGGCCGGGCGCAGTGCCTCACGCCTGTAATCACAGCACTTTGGGACGCCAAGGTGGGTGGATCACTTGAGCCCAGGAGTTGAAGACCAGCCTGAGCAACAGAGCGAGATCTCATCTCTACTTAAAAAACAAAAAGATATATATATATATTTAATTAGCTAGACATCATGATGCATGTCTACAGTCCCAGCTGCTCTGGGGGATGAGATGGGAGGATCCCTTGAGCCCAGGAAGTCGAGGCTGCAGTGAGCTATGATCGTACCACTGCACTCCAGCCTGGGTGAAAGAAAAAAGTCCCTGTCTCTAAAGAAAAAAATAAATTAATTAAATGAATAAATGGAGAAGATTGCATTTGAAATATCACTGCATGTATTTTTTTCCTTTGGAGACCTTCAGCTTCATTCCTGTGGCCCTTTGGAAATTCCTGCCCCAAGGAAGGGAGAGACAGAAAGCTCCTGAGAGGAGAGGGCCCTCTGAGGTAGGATCTGTCTCCGTGCAACAGGATGGGAGTGGGAAGCCCTCCTGGTGCTGGGAGGTGGGGGAAACAGAGGGAGAGGGAAAGAGGAAGGGGTGGAAGATCAGAGGCATGGTTCTGATTCCCCCGGTTGGAGGATTCAGGGGGATCAGGGCCTCCCTGCCCTTGGCATCTCCTGGGGGCACTGCAGGCTCTCAGAGAAGTCCGACAGCAGGATGGCAATGGCGGAGGAGGTCATCAAGAATCTAGGTGGCGGAGCTGAGGTTGAGCTGGCATCTACGAGGCCCAGAGGGTCTTAAGAGAGGTCCGCTGGGACTGAGGCAGAGAGGCTTCCGAGAGAGAGCCATGAGTCCAGAGGCTCTTCTGTGGGCCCCGCAGACTTCAGCAGGCAGCCACCCGTGGTCCCTCACTAAACCAGGAGAGAGCTGCACACCTCTGTGCCACCCAGTCAGGATGCCTCGGCAGGGGTCAGCCAGGCCTGCGTGAGGGTCGGGGGCCCTCCCAGCCACTGACAAGCCACGTGAGCTCCTCTCTGTTCCCAGACAGCCCACCTTGGGAGGGAGGAAGGGGTGGGAAACAGCCCTGATACAATGTTAGTATTTTGAATGGACTTAGTAGTTTCCAGAAAAGGCCTTGAAACCGAAAGAGACCAAATTACTTCGGATGTCAATTTTCAGTATTTTCATGTCAGCAGAAGGAGAGCTTCAGAGTGGATGAGAGCAGTTATGGGAAACGGAGGAAGTTTGATTTTTGCAACTCTCAGTCACAGTGTGCAAGGTTCAGCCCAGAACATAATCATCCAACTCTGACCATCCCACTCCTTCCTTAGACCTTCAGCTCCCAGGGCCCCATTCATCCTGGAGTCCAGGTTAATGGCATCCCTGGGTGCAGGTTGTGCCTGTGGAGTGCTGTCCTGTGGCATGGGTTAAGGATGCATTGGGTCTCCCCTGCGCCAGGCACGTGAGCTTGGATGTTGTTGTTTGAACTAGCCGAGGCTCACAGGCACAGTGGCTTTACTAAGGGACGAGGCTGGAGTGAAACGTTTCCATCCATATACACACACCTGGTTCCACTGCAGCTGAGAACGGCCCCATTGACAGTGATCTGAAATCCGTCCTGGAGACCCCCTTGGATAGTCCCAGAAAAGGGGACGGCCTGCAGGGAGAAGACATGGGGCCTCAGTCAGGTGGCCGGCCTCCTGTTTGCTCCCCTTCGGGGCTAGTCAGTGGCTGGCCTGGGTGTGACCGCACCATGCGAGGGGCTAGGGTGCAGCTGTGACCAGGACAGAAGGAGTCTCAGCCCCACGGGTCTTAGGGTCCTGTGTGGAGGCAGACACAAATCCAATTAGTTACTCAGACAGTCTAAGCTTGTGATAAGGAGAATCCTGGCCCTGAGAGGACGCGACAGGGAGCTGAGCTTGTGTGAGAGTCTGAGAGGCAGCGGAGGCCACACCAGGAACGCTCCAGGCGGAAGGCCTTCCTTCCAGGCAGGGAAGTAGCAGGCAGACGCCCTGGGCTGGTAAGGAACTAGGTAGCAATGGGGCTGCTGGACCCCATGCCAAGCTCCCAGCAAAGTGCCCAGCGCCCTGGCTGGGGACTCAGGAGGCCCAAGGGAACAAAGGGGCCCATCAAGGGTCTGCAGGTTCCACCGAGAGGGTCACCAGAGAGTGTCAAGAAGAAGGCATGCACCTCTCCCCACCACCACCATATAACAATGGCCACCGTGACCTTTGCCCTCCTGACCACCTTCAGCAGAGCCTCTTCCCAGATGCCCTCCGCAGCCCCGAGCCCCAGCGTAGTTTCCCCACCCATCCCAGGCCCCGTGGGCAAGCACTTTGTCAAATTCTCTCTTCCGCGCCTCTTTAAAGGAGCTATGGGCCATGGTGAGGCATGCATCGTTTTGGAGTCAGGCCGACTCCAGGTCTGAATCCTAACTCTGCTGCTCCTGACCTGAGTGGCCTTGGGAAGCCTATTTCACCTCTCTTTGCCTCAGTTTCCTCATCTGTAAAATAGGAAGGTGTTTCTCCTACTGCATATGATTGATGATTTTGTGAGAAAAAGCCTGTGGTAGAAGAGACTGGCACAGAGGAGACGCTTCACCACTGTCACCCACCCCCCACCTTGGTCTCTCTGAGCAAAATTCACAAACTGGTACTTCCAATTTTCAAAGTTTATTCCGAAATGCCTCATATCCGGTGTGGTTCTATAACCTGCATTAAAGCACAGTTCTATCTCATGGCTGATTTTCACATTCTTCAAGTTTTTAATGTCTTCTCTAATATCTCCTTTAGGTCAATTTCCTACACAAATTAAATGCCTAAAGAAGCCAGGCAGGTGATGTGTATGAGTCAGATGGCCAGGTAGGGAGTGGTGGGGACTGTGGCAAAGTAGACGTCACACGCCTCATCTAAAAAGTCAACATCTTCTCAGCACTAACCAATGATTACCGTCTGGGCTTAGTATTGGCAGAACTTCCAAATTTTTAAGATGAGACAGAAACCTGAATTTTTTTTTTTTTTTTTTGTAAAACTTTCTAATTTCTTGGGGGAAATCTTTTGTCAAAAAGGATTATGTAAAAGTTCCTGACTGGGCACAGTGGCTCACATCTATAATCCCAGCATTTTGGGAGGCTGAGGTAAAACAATCACTTGAGCCCAGGAGTTTTAGGCCAGCCTGGGCAACATAGTGGGACCCCCATCTCTACAAAAAATAAAAAAATTGGCCAGATGTGGTGGTGCACACCTTTAACCCCAGTTACTTGGGAGGCTGAGGTGGGAGGATCACTTGAGCCTGGGAGGTCGAGGCTGTAGTGAGCCACGATTGCACCACTGCACTCCAGCCTGGGCAACAAAGCGAGACCCTGTCTCAAATGAAACTCCCCAAATTCCCACATTGTAGAGATACACAATGAAATATTTACAATGGAATGAAATCTCTGGATTTGCTTCCGCATATCTGAAGGTGGGAAGAGAAGCAAGCGAGGGAGGGTATAGGATGAAGCAAGATAGGCCTGAGTTGATCATTGTTGGAGCAGAGTGATGGGTGTGTGTTGTTGATGGTACAATTCTC
The DNA here is from genome assembly GCF_000001405.40 of Homo sapiens. Lineage (NCBI taxonomy): Eukaryota > Metazoa > Chordata > Mammalia > Primates > Hominidae > Homo > Homo sapiens. The sequence goes on along the minus strand of NC_000017.11, from coordinate 18,481,961 downwards.
TCTGCATGTTTGAATTTCCTATAATAACAAGTTAAAATAAACACTGTGCAGGCCAAACAGAAAACACCCACTAGCCAAATTCAGCCTACTGGTCACTGCTTTCTGGTCTGTATTGTTGAGTTATGTGACCACACAGCACCCTGGGAAACCCATCCTAGCTCAGTGTACACACCTGGCACCGTGAAAGCCCCAGGCAATCTGAGATCTGATCCAGATAGTCTCTGCTCCCCATGGATTTGAGGGGGTTGTCTTTTCTTGCCCCTCAGGTCAGGTCTGAACTCTGCCATTAAATACTTTGGTGACCTCAAGCAAATCACAGCTTCTCTGTGTCTCTGACTTCTCTTTCTTGTCCCTGTCTACACCAGCGGTGTGGGGGAAGGAGAGTCAGCCTGATCCAGTTATGGGCCAGCATGGGCTAGGATTGGGAAGCCTGTTGTCCCTGAAACGCGTCTGTGGAAGATTTTTCCCCTTGCCTGTTTGTGGCAGCCTGTGATTCCCTCCAGAGCCTTTCATTCTATCATGAGAGACAACGCTGAAAATACACACCCTCCTGGGAAGCATGCGGCCTCCACTCAAGCGTATTCACACCACAGCACCTAGAATTGAAGGCAGAGAGTGATGGACATGGGCTCGCAAGTCCACACAAGGCTTAACTAAGGAAGCCAGGAGGGAGAAAGACCAAGTACAGGTCATGGGGGCAGGACAGGGCAGGCTAATCTCCAAGGCAACAAGTTCCCCAAAAAAGTTCTGTGAGGTTTCAAAATGTCTTAAATGGCACCCCCAATTTCTGAAAAACAAGATTATTTTATTATTTATTTTATTTTATTTTATTTTGAGATGGGTTCTCACTCTGTTGCCCAGGCTGGAGTGTAGTGAGGAGTGTGATCATGGATCACTGCAGCCTCCACCTCCTGTGCTCAAGTAATCCTCCCACCTCAGCCTCCCGAGCAGCTGAGACCAAATAAGTGCAGGCCACCAAGCCATGCCCCACTAATTTTCAAATTTTTTTGAAAAGACCAGGTCTCGATATGTTGCCAGGGCTGGTCTTGAACACCTGGGCTCAAGTGATCCTTCTGTCTTGGCCTCCCAAAGGGCCGGGATTTCAGACATGAACCACTATGCCTGTCCTGAAAAATGAGATTTTAAATTGAATATCATCCAACAAACAAGGTTATTCATTGCAGCATTATAACACAAAGGATTATAAAGCAAAGCATTGGAAGGAGCCTAAAAGTCTTCCAACAGGGAAAAGGTGAAATAAATTAGGGTATTTCCATATAATAGAATAAGTTCTGTGTAGCTTTCAAAAGAAAAGAAAAAGAAGACGGAAAAGAAAAAAGAAAAAGAGGAAAACTCTGAGCACCGATATGGAATAATGCCATTTGCATAAAAAGTGGGTAGGGGAAGGCTATGGACTTGCATTTATTTATTTATAGATAAAATATCTCTGGAAGGATTTACAAGAAACTTATAATACTGGTTATCAGTGGGCGACCCCCCAGAAACATCCACATTCGAATCCCCGGAAACTGTGAATATGTTGTAGAAGGGACTTTGCAGATGTGATTAAATGCATAATTTTGGCATGGGGAGATTGTCTTGGATTATACAGGTGGTCCCAATGTAATCACAAAGGTCCCATAAAAGGGAGCAGGAGGATCAAAGTCAGAGGTAAGAGATGTGACAACAGAAGCAAGAAGCTGGTTTTGGGGGTTTTGTTTGTTTGTTTGTTGTGTTTTTTTTTTTTTTTTTTGAGACAGGATCTCATTCTGTCACCCAGGCTGGAGTGCAGTGGCATGATCTCAACTCACTGCAGCCTCCACTTCCCCAGGCTCACGCGATCCTCCCACCTCAGCCTCCCAGGTAGCTGGGACTACAGGCATGCACCACCATGCCTGGCTAATTTTTGTCTATTCTTTGTAGAGACACAGTCTCAGTTTGTTGCCCAGGCTGGTCTCCAACTCCTGGGCTAAAGAGATCCTCCTGCCTCAGCTTCCCAAAGTGCTGGGATTACAGGCATGAGCCACTGCACCCAGACAAAGCTGCTGGTTTTAAAGATGGCAGGAGGGGTCATAAGCCAAGGCAGGCAGGCAGCCTCTAGAAGCTGGAAAAGCAAAAGAAACAGATTCTCCCCTGGAGCCTCCGGAAGGAGACAACCTTGCTCACACGATGATTTTAACATCTGCCCTCCAGAATCATTAAGAAAGCAAATTTGTTGTTTTAAGATTGGCCAGCCAAGGCTGCTGTGGAATTTAGATCCGTGTGTCCAGGAAACCCAGGAAAACAACTGGACCTACTTTTGCTCCGTAGGGTGCAGGAGGATGGATTTTTGTGTTGGATTTGTGGTCCCATGGGCCTGGGCTCGCCTCCCAGCTCTGTACACTAGCAATTCTGACACTGGCCAAGTCACTTGACCTGCCTGTGCCCCACTTCCCTCCTCTGAATGGCAGGGCAGTAACACCACCCGACAGTGTTCTGGAGAGGACTGGAAGCAATGCTGTGTGCTGAGTCCCTGGCTGGCAGCATTCTGGAGAGGACTGGGTGGAATGCCATGTGCTGAGCCCCTGGCTGGCAGCGTTCTGAGAGGACGGGGTGCGATGCCATGTGCTGAGCCTCTGGCCCATGTCGGCCTTGACAGTGCAGCTCTTTGCATGGAACAAATCAATCCCTCTGCTGAGTCAGAACTTACTCTCTGTTCCTGGTTGTGCCCAGAGACCGGGGACTTTCCCTCTTCTTCCTACCTGGAAGTCAAAGCAGAGCTGAGCCCTGCGGACCAGAATGTGGGCAGCCTCATTCTGGACTCAGCATCACCAGAGGACACCAAGGCCTGGCCCCAGGAGTAGGGAGCTCAGCCTGGCTGGCCGAGACTGCCTGCCAGCTGGAGCCAGTACGTGGCCCTTAGCCAAAGTGCCCTGTTGCCTCAGAGGCTCCACGGTCCTGCTGGCCACCTTTCATGACACTTTGATTTTAGCCTTCTGACCTCCAACACTGTAAGCACAAATGTGTTGTTTTAAGTTGGCCAGCTAAGGCTGCTGTGGCATTTGGATCCATGTGTGTCCATGAGGGCTCTGGGGGTGACCGGGAACATTTATCCTCACAGCAACCCCGGCCACTTTTACAGATGAGGAAACTGAGGCACAGAAAAGTTCAGTCACTTGCCCAAAGCTACACAGCTGGTCGGCAACAGAGCTGGGATTTGAACCCCAGCACCCACGCTTCTAACCACCACACAGGCTTCCTCTCATGAGGAAGCTCGGAACGTCCTTATTCCTGGCTCTCGCAGTGCTTCCTGGGCCACACAGCAGGTGGTTCCAGCTTCCCCCCAGCCCTCCAAAGAGGCTGGGCTAGATGAGGCCAGACAAGAAGTGGGAGTGAGGTTTCCAAGCCAGGCCCTCATGGCACTCAGCCCTCCTCAGCAGGACATGAACCGCGTGACCTTCCCCCACTGTCGGCATGTGGAGAAAGCGTGACTCCGACTGCCAGATGGGTCACCGAGTGAGGCTCAAGTGTCCCAACCCAGGGGAGCCCCCGTAGGGTAGAGGGGAGCTCTGGACACCTGTGGGGGCTGCACTGATCGTCTTTCTTGTCTGAGCTCCAAGGCCCCGCTTTAACTCTCTCAAACTCTCTGATGTGCATAGGAGGATTTTCCTTCTGAATCCAAAGATTAGAAAGTAAAAACCAGTTACCAGAATAATAATATGTCAGAACCTGGAAGAAGCTCTGGGATCCCCTCTCTGACAGAAAACCAGAAATGGGGTGACATGCTCAAGGTGGCACACGCTGACCCTAAGGCTCGCCCAACACCGGCAGCCCATTCCAGCTTCCCCCACTCCCTCTATGCAGGTTCTACCTTGGGGGCTTCCATAGGGTGGCTGAGGGGTCATTGGTGACAGCCAGGAGGAAACAGGCCTCCTTTCTCCATTCTTCCTCTCTGGAGTCTAGAAAGCAGAGCTGAGCTCTGCAGACCAGAACATAGGCAGCCTCATTCTGGACTCAGTATCACCAGAGGGCACCCAAGCCCAACCCTGGCCTCTGCTGAGGTGGCCCCTGGCAGCTTCCCTGCCCTCAGCACCCTGCCTCTGCCCACCCTCCCCATTCTGCCTCCCCACTCAGGAAGGGCCCATCAGCCCACCCACTCCAGCCCCTCGGGAAGCTCTTTGCCAAGGCAGGGTGAGATCCTGTGACAGGACCCAGCCCAGGACACAGTCACCCCTGAAGGCTCCTGGGCTCCTGGGGCTGCCACTCCCATCTGGGGGCATTTGGCAACTGGCCTTTGCCTCCCTGAACCTTGGATTTTCCGTGAATGAAGGGGACTCATAAACCTCACAGAGTTTCAGCAAGGCACCTGCAGCCCTCTGACCCCACACTGCAGGGACAGTCCCTGCCTCCGTCACCTCTGAGACTGTCCGTCTACAGATGCCCTGACATGCCTATGCCTGGTTAACTCCGCCTCACCCTTCAGAGCACAGACACCTCCTCGGGAGGCCTTCCCTGCTGCACCCAGACTCCCAATAACATGAAACACTCCCAAAGCACCTACAGTGTGTCAGGCACTGTTCAAACACTCTAGATACACTACTTCCTTAATCCATATCCCAACCCTGGGAGTGGGGGGCTCAAGTATTATTCCCACTTCACAGATATGGAAACTGAGGCCCAGAGACCACCAGCCAGTAAATAGCTGGACCCAGGGAGGCCAACTCCACAGTACGCACCCTTAACTACCATGCCGGGTAGCATCCTTACTGTCCCAGAAGCATGCTTGCTTCCTCTTTACACAAACCATCCCACTCTACACCTCTTCCCCTGAGCGCACAGGACAGGACAGGACAGCTCAGCCAACACTGTCAAACCCATGACTCATGGGAGGAGCATCTCTCCAGGCATGAGTGAGCTCAGCATGGCACAGCTGTGCCAGGACGACCCCCACTGACATTTCTGCCCTGCTTGTGTTCTCTTTGGGATGCCCCCACCCCTATCTCCTGCCACCCAGGAGTTGCTTCCTCAGAGCCCCAGAACTGTGTCCCCCTGGCTGAGGCAGCCCTGTGCCCACGGCCCCGGAACTCACTGGGCTCAGATAGGGAGCCTGGCAACCGCTGAAGGCCATCTCTCCACCGCCTCTGTGGCCACCACTGCCTTTGACACCTGCCAGGCAGTCCTTTGCAGAAGGAATGACTTAACAAAGTAATAGAAACCAAAGCAACTTGGCTGTTATTCAATGGGGAGGAGCCGGCAGCAAGAGGAAGTGGGTCCAGAGAGAGAAAGGTAGGGTGTTGGGTGAACTGGGGTGACACTCATAGAGGGAAGTAGGCACTCCCAGCCCCAGTGACCTTTCCCTCCTCCCTCTCCTGTGCTCAACCCAAGCCTGAAGCATATTTGGTTCATAGAGGTCTACAATGCTTGACCACACTGACATGACAGTGAGTTGCCAGATGACACTGCCCAGAAGTATGTGGCTGTGTGTCCTAAGCATGCTTGGCCACTGGTTCCAGAAAATAATGGGGCTGGGTATTGCCTGTGCACAGGGTGCTTGTGGGGAAGGGTGGCTTCAACTCATTTTACATATAGAGAAGCTGAGGCTCAGAGTCTGAGGGACATGCCCCAGGTCACACAGCTAATTCGTGGCAGCCTGAGCTATATGAAGATTCTCAGAATCTTCAAGAAGTATTTCTCCTCTTTAAATTTCTATTCTTCATGTTAAAACATAATTATGTAGAAGGGAATATTTTGCATGAAAAACACTATAATGAAGATTTTTATTCTAGAGTATGGGGTGCCCAGGAGCTTCTGATCCTCCCCCTCAGTGAATCTCTCTTTCTTCTCTTCTCCATCCTTATTTTGTGAGCTTTAGGATGGGGAGAGAAGTATTGGACATAATAGAACATTTCAAGTGACATGGGAGTGGGAAGGAACATATGGCATGAACTGCCTTTAATTGGCTTCAGCACCTAGTTAGGGGAAATAATTGGCTGAAACAGAGAATAACAGGATAGGCTGCAGAGGGGAGAGGGAGCCATGAAATAAACTTACCTGAAGTTGACCAGGTCCCAACGATGTGCTGGCGAGAAGGCCCAGAACTCAAGCTGGGGATGGGCGGGTAAGGACCATACAGGCTCGAGGGGATGGCAGGTGCCCCAGGGCCATACGTAAGTCTGCACCTCTCTTCCTTCCTGTGTTCTGCCTAGATGCACTAGAATTTGCAGACGAACTCCTTTGAGATGTTCCCATAGACTGAGGCCGTGTGTGTCGTCTGCACTCACCATCCCATTATGTTCTGGATCAAGTAGAATTTGACCAAGTTAAGGAGTAGACAGTACAAGGGGAGCAGAAAGGAGAGAAAAGAAGGGAAATTCTTTGCAATCCTCTCGAATACCAGGAATATTTTCATCACGTCACGTCATTTGTAGCAATCACCAATTGATTGGGATATGGAACAACTGGAACTATCATTCATAGCAGACTTGAGTGTAAAATAATCCAACTTAGAAAAATGGGCAGGGCGTGGTGGCTCATGCCTGTAATCCCAGCCCTTTGGGAGGCTGAAGTGGGAGGATCACTTGAGTCCAAGAAGTTGAGACCAGCCTGGTCAAGATAGGAAGACCCTGTCTCTACATATAATTTAAAAGGCAAATTAGCCAGGTGTGGTGGTGCACACCTGTGGTCCCAGCTATGTGGGAGGCTGAGGTGGGAGGCTCACTTGAGCCCAGGAGGCCGAGGCTGCAGTGAACCCTCATCACGCCACTGCACTCCAGCCTAGGTAACAGAGCAAGACTCTGTCTCAAAAAATAAAAAAAATAAAGAGAAAGAAAAACTGCTTGGTGAGTTGTAATATAGTCAAATATCTACTTCAAAGTTGCTGGCTTTTCTACTTCTGAAAAATTACCCAAGAGAAAGGAAAACATATTTGTCTGTTTTTAAAAGCTTTACTCGTCATAGCCCCAGGCTGGTAACAATGCAAATAGTCACCAACAGAAGAAGGGAGAAATGAATTGTGGTTTTCACACTACAGAGTGGCCCTCAGCAATAAAAAGGAGCTAGGCCACAGGAAACGTCAATGAGCCTTGCAACTGAGCGGAAGAAGCCAGATCCAAACAGACACATGCTGTGAGAATTCCATTCGAGTCAAGTTGAACAACAGGCTAGAGTGGCGTTACCCTTGGGAGTCACTGACTGGGAGGGGCACGAAGGAGTCTTCGAGAGGCTGGAAATGTTCTGGATCTGGTTCTGGGTGGTGGTCCCACAGGTGTTTACATCCATTAACAACAGGCTGAGGCTGGGTGCAGCAGCTGACACCTGTAATTCAGCACTTTGGGAGACTGAGGCAGGAGGATTGCTTGAGTCCGGGAGTTTGAGACAAGCCTGGGCAGCATAGCAAGACCTTCTGTGTACTAAAAATCAAAAAAATTAGTGAGGCATGGTGGTGCATGCCTGTAGTCCCAGCTACAGGGAGGCTGAGGCAGGAGTATTGCTTGAGCCTGGGAGGCTGAGGCCACAGTGAGCTATGATCGTGCCACTGCATTGCAGGTTGAGTGACAGAGCAAGACCCTGTCTCAAAACAAAACAAAACAAAACAAAACTCAAACAGAAAACCAGGATCTGTACATTTTATTCTACCTAGACAATATCGCCATAAAATACTGCTAAAAGAAAAAATCTCCCAGAGCCCAAGGAGACACAGGCACAGCTAAGAGTTCCAGCAGTTTAGCACCTTAGCATCACCTTGAGCCTTGGAGGTGAGTCACAGTTAAGCAGCTTCACTAGTGAGTCCAGCCCATAAAGGAGGGCCCTCTGCTCCATGCCCTGTCTGGAGGGGCCCCAGTAAGGTCATACCCAAAGGCTGACATGTTTTTAGACTAATCAACACAGTAGGGAGGCACTTCGAGGCACAGTGCCAGGCCACTGAGAGTTCTGACTTCGGCACCCTTCAGTCACCACAATCCATTCCCAGTGGTTAGCTCTGGTCTTCAGGAGACTAGAAGCAGCCCTCGGGAATGTTCGTGCTCAGAGCTCTAGTGTTCAAAGTCACAGACCCTTCTCAGAGGCTCTCTCTTCTCTGCCCTATAGACTGAGGGAGTCTGCCACCTCACACTCATTAGGATGCCTATGATTAAAAAAAAAATCCAGAAAATAACAACTGTTGGCCAGAATGTGAGTAAACTGGAACCCTGTGAAAACAGCGTGGCTGTTCCTCAAAAACCTCATCATAGAATTACTATATGATCCAGCAATTCCACTTCTGGGTATATCCCCCAAATAACCAAAAGCAGGAACTCAAAGAGACATGTGAACACCCACGTTTGTAGCAGCATCATTCACAAAAGCCAAGAGGTGAAAGCAACACGTGTCCATCAACGGATGAGTGGTCAGCAAAATGTGGGCCAGACATACAATTCAGCCCTAAAAAGGAAGGAAATTCTGGCATATGCCACAACATGGATGGTCCTTGAGAACATTAAGTGAAATAAAACAGCCATAAAAGAACAAGCACTGTAGGCCGGGTGCGGTGGCTCACACCTGTAATCCCAGCACTTTGGGAGGCCAAGGTGGGAAAATCACCTGAGGTCAGGAGTTCAAGACCAGCCTGGCCAACATGGTGAAATCCCGTCTCTATTAAAATTACAAAAAGTAGCCAGGCGCGGTGATGAGTGCCTGTAGTCCCAGCTACTCGGGAGGCTGAAGCAGGAGAATCGCTTGAACCTGGGAGGCAGAGGTTGCAGTGAGCTGAGGTCACACCACTGCACTCCAGCCTGGGCAACAAAATGAGACTCTGTCTCAAAAAAAAAAAAAAAAGAAAAAGAAAAAGCACTGTATGATTTTACTTGTCTGAGATACCTAGAGTGGCCAGAATCAACAAAAGAAAGTAGAATGGTGGTTAGGGGCTGGTAGGAGGGGGAATGAAGACTTATAATTTAATAGGCATAGAGTTCTGGTTTTACAAGATGAAAAGAGTTTTGCGGATGGATGGTAGTGATAATTGTATAACAGCATGAATGTTCTTAATACCACAGGTCTACCACTTAATATTGGCTCTTGGCTAAGATCTTAGCTGAGGCCATTGACTGGAACACCTGCAAGTGGCTTTTCCACATGGCTTGGGCTTCCCCACAATATGGTGGCTGGAGTCCACGGGTGAGCATTCCCAGCGAGAGCCAGGTGGAACTTACATCCCTTTTATAACCTAGCCTCAGAAGCCATCCAGTGCCATTTCCACCACATTCTATTTGTTGAGGCAATCACATGAGCACCACCCAGGCTCAAGGGGAGGGGAAAGTGACCTCACCTCTAGACAGGAGGCAGCAAGAGGTTGAAAGAGCACCTGGGACCAGGAATATTTGGAAAATTCAATGCCTGCCGCAGACAATAAGTAAGTGCTGGACTCCTCTGGGCACTGGGGTACAGAGAGAATTGGACATAGTCCCAGCCTTAAGCATCTCATATTCCAAAGGGTAAGATGGATATACAGCTGGGCTACATGGCTTCAAGGAGGAAGTGCACACAGATTTTTTTTTTTTTTTTTTGAGACAGAGTCTGTCTCTGTCGCCCAGGCTGGAGTGCAATGGCGCCATCTCAGCTCACTGCAAGATCCCCCTCCAGGGTTCAAGGATTCTCCTGCCTCAGCCTCCTGAGTAGCTGGGATTACAGGCACCCACCACCACACCCGGCTACTTTTTTGTATTTTTAGTACAGACAAGCTTTCACCATATTGGCCAGGTTGATCTCGAACTTCTGACCTCAGGTGATCCACCCACCTCGGCCTCCCAAAATGCTGGGATTACAGGTGTGAGCCACCGTGCCCGGCCAAGATTTTTTGTTAAAGTTAATATAGTTGGTTATGTGCTGGACATCATTCTAGGTGTCTTACAATTAACTTTATGTCAGTTTTATGAAGCAGGCACAAATAATAATCCCCATTCTACCTGGAAAGAAACAAAAGCACGGAGAGGTGAAGCAACTTGCCCACAGTCACACAGCGGCAAAGTGCCAGAGTGGGGACTCAGCCCGGGCAGTCCCGCAATGGAGTCTGTGCTGCTCACCACGGCACCACCCCACCTCTCTTCTCAGATGCCCCCTCATGGGATGGACCTACTTTCACGGACCTCAACGTCTTTGCAGGGAACATGGGCCTGAGTGACTGCACTCTGTCCCTAGGGAGTGAGGAGGGTTCTGCCAAGTGGTTTCATTTTGATCACTGTTTTCTGTGCCTGGGGGGTGGGAAGCCCAGAATGGCACAGCTCAGCTCCTAGTCCTATCAACTCACTCTCATCCAGGGCTGATTCCAGAGGGGTGGCAGGGAATGAGGGGTGGGGGTTGCTCTGCTGAACAGGAAGGAACACTGAGTCCATTCTCTTTTGTATCTGGGGATCCCCAGAGAAGAATGCAACATGGTATGAAAGAGTGGAACGCCAGCTTCTAGGGGAGCCCCAGTGTCCAACAAGGGCACACACTTTGGGAGTCAGCCAGGCCTGGCCCCAATTCCAAGCTCCTTCACTTCCAGGCGGGATGATGCTGTGCAGGCTACTTCACTGCAGTAACCCCCAGTTTTCCCTTCTGTACATGGGGGTGATATTTTCTCACATGACTTCCCTGATGTGAAATGAGAGAACACATGTAAAGCACCTAGCATGATCCTGCCACGTAGTAGGCAGTCAGTGACCATCTCTCCCTTTGGCCAGGCTTCCTGGCATGTGCCGGACCTAGACCCTGTCCCCCAAGGAATCTGACCAACACACTGCAGTGTGGGCTTTCACCTCCCTTGTTTCTACACACTCTACCACCAGTGATGTCACCTAAGATTATTTTATTATTTTGGCAGCCATATCCCTCAGTGGTTCTCATCAACTAAAATCCTACAGTTCTTTCCACAGGTAGCAGCTGCTTCTCAGTGTCCTCCCAGCGGCCATCATAAATGACCTGGCTGCAGTGATAGTTGTGCTGTTACAGAAATATGGAAAATCCCAGGCCACTTCCTGCACACCTCAGGACCTGTTTCCTTCCACACTAAAGGCTTGCTCAATACCCCAACGAAGGAGAGATGGGTAAGATTCAGAACCCAGGCCTCCCGCACCCTCCCTCTGATGAGCCCTATTCCTGAGGCATATTGTCCAGCCATTTGCTCAAGGGAGAAAGACAGTAGATGCTCAGTTCCTACTTGGTGATGAGAAGGTGACTGAGAAGGGTGTGTCTACTTCTTCAGTGCGGCTCTGCCTCCCAGCCTAGAAACTGACTGAAATAACAACCAACAATTTTAAAGGTGGGATGTGGGCGGGAAGTGGAAATCTACATTCACACTGGAAACTAGAGTGTTGTCACGGGCCGTCCACATGCTGCGAGCATTGAACGTGATGCGTTGCCAGAGCTCACGTGGGCTGGAAAGAAGGCATCACCGGGTCACTGCAATCAATGCACAACTTCCCTTCTGGGAATGGACTTAGTGATCCTGGAAGGGAGGTGCAGATCCTGGCTGGATGAGGGCAGCCATCAGGCTTTGAACATTCACTTTATGTGCTAAGTGCTTCACACACTTCATTGATTTGGTCATCACCACAAGCCTGCCAAGTAGCAAGATCCCACTTCCCTTATCAACAAGGAGACGGAGGTTCCAGGAGGTGCAGGAACCCGTAGCGGGGCTGAGGGCTGACTTGGTGTCCCCCATGGACTCAGGGGACTGGGGAAAGGGGAGTTAGTGTTTAATGGGAGTTTCATTTGGAGATGAAAAGGTTCTGGAGATGGATGGTGGTGATGGTTGCATAACAGCGTGAATGTACTTAATGCTAGTAATTTGTGCATTTCCAAATGGTTTAAATGATAACTTTTATATTCTGTACACTTTACCACATAAAAAAGGTGGGGGGAGGAAGGGAATCACTGCTAGGTTGCTGTGGTAACTCTGCAAGTGTATATAAAGGTATCAGGAAGAAAAAGCTAAAATACTCACTTACAGTCTCCCATTGTTTTGCTCCAGAATCCACACACCTGCTCTGTCTCTGCAATGTACATAATTAAAAGAATGCAGGTGCTCGGCCTGATTGAATTGAGCCTGCTTCCCCCTCAACTGCTATTATATTCCAGATGGGATAATGTGGTCAACCCAAAGTTCTGAGTCTGAAGCCTGCCCTTTTTGTGTTAAAAGTGAGATCAGACCCAGGCGTGGTGGTGTGCACTTGTAGTCCCAGCTGCTTGGGAGGCTGGGGCAGGAGGATCGCTTGAGCTTAGGAGTTCCACACAGTAGCATGCTATGATTATGTCTGTGAATAGCCACTGCAGTCCAGTCTGGGTGACAGAAACAGACCCGCATCTCTTAAAAAAAAAAAATGTGGCCAGACATGGTGGTTCACACCTGTAATCCCAGCACTTTGGGAGGCTGAGGAGGGTGGATCATGAGGTCGGGAGTTCAAGACCAACCTGGCCAACATAGTGAAACCCCGTCTCTACTAAAAATACAAAAATTAGCCAGGCATGGTGGCAGGCACCTGTAATCCCATCTATTTGGGAGGCTGAGGTAGGAGAATCACTTGAACCCAGGAGGCGGAGGTTGCAGTGAGCCATTGCACTCCAGCCAGGGCAACAATGCAAGACTCTGTCTCAAAAAAAAAAAAAAAATGCAATCAACACCGGTGGAGAGGAGGTACTGGCATCAACCTGAGCCTTTCTCTTTTAAAAAAATTATTTATTTATTTATTTATTTAATTTATTTTACAGACAGGGTCACACTATGTTGTGCAGGCTGGTCTCAAACTCCTGGGCTCAAGCGATCCTCCAACCTCAGTGTCCCAAAGTGCTGAGATTACAGGCTTGAGCCACCGCACCTGGCCTAGCCTTTCTTCTTGAGGTCATCAGAAGGGTTGAAAGACACTTGAAAATAACATCCTCACTGTGTGATGCCAGGGTATTTAATCCTGCATCTGTGAAGGTAAAGTGTTCTAGCAGACTAGCAGACAGGGTCCGGTTCTCACTGGGCAGCCCTGTTGAGGAGAGCAGGAACTGCAGGGGCTGGGGCTGTCCAATGACCAAGAGAAGAACAATTAGGCAGAGCGCACAGAGCTCAGAGCCCTGCATGTGAGCATGTTGTTCCCCACGTCCCCACCCCAACTCTTGTTGCTTCTCGCTGCACTGTTGGGGGAGACCCCCTTTCTACTGAAGCTCACTGACCCCATGTCAAGCTCCCATCATGGACTCTGGGCCTTGGGGAGAGCCACCGTGGTCTGTGGCGGGTCAGAGCATGTAACTAGAGCACACAGCGTGTGGCAGCCGAAAGCTGGAGGGTGAACATACAGTTGACACTTCCTGATGCTGGGCGTAGCAGCTTGGAATCAGCTCCAGATGCCTCCCAGTGACAGTGGAGCTGTCAGAACCTGCAACTTGGTGGCCTGCAGCCAATTCCAGTCTGCAAACTTGTTTTGTTTGTCCTATAAACTGTTTTAAAAATGTAAGCCAACTTCTGAAAATTGGGAGATTTCACATAAAATTCCACACTTCTAGCATCTCTTAAAAAAAAAAAAAAAAGCTGATGCGGTGGCTCACGCCTGTAATCCCAGCACTTTGGGAGGCCCAGGTGGGCAGATCACTTGAGGTCAGGAGTTTGAAACCAGCCTGGCCAACATGGTGAAACCTGGACTCTACTAAAAATACACAAATTAGCTGGGCTTGGTGGTGTACTCCGGTAATCCCAGCTATTTGGGAGGCTGAGGGAGGAGAATTGCTTGAACCCAGGAGGTGGAAGTTGCAGTGAGCTGAGACGACGCCATTGCATTCCAGCCTTGGCAACAAGAACACTCCGTCTCAAAACAAAACAAACAAACAAACAAAAAAACAAACCAAAGACAGAAGAAGTACAATATAACTTTTTAAATTTAATTTAATTTCACAAAGACAGAATTGAATAATGCAACTTATAAAGAATTTTTTTAGAGAACCTCCCTTTTATTAATTTATTTCTGAGATGGGGTTTCACTGTGTTGCCAAGGCTGGAGTGCAGTGGCGTGATCTCGGCTCACTGCAACCTACGCCTCCTGGATTCAAGTGATTCTCTTGCCTCAGCCTCCCAACTAGCTGGGATTACAGCCACCCACCACCATGCCTGGCTAATTATTTTTGTATTTTTAGTAGAGACGGGTTTTCACCATGTTGGCCAGGCTGGTCTCGAACTCCTGATCTCAGGTGATCTGCCCGCCTGGACCTCCCAAAGGGCTGGGATTACCGGCGTGAGCCACCGCACCTGGCCTACTTTTTCTGTCTTTGAATGTCATAGACATTCAAAGGTTGCCAGTGAGAGGCTGGTGTGAAGTGACTCAACAGGACATCTCAAGCCACAGTTCCCGAAGGGATAGCAATGGTGCCGTGAGGGAGGGGTTGTGGTGTCTTCGTTTCTGTCAATGGGGGGAATCTGCTCTCAGCCCCACACCAGTGGGGGAGCTTCCATCTCTACAAAAGGGAGTGGAATAAAAGAATATGCACATCCCAGAATGGCAGTCCCAGGAGAATTCCTGAGGAGAAGGCAGAAAAGGCCCAATGAGCAGGAAACAGGGAGAAACAGGAAGCCACAGGGCAGCCTCCCCAGAGAGAGGGTCCCACTCCTCTCCTGTCCCCTCCCCACCCATCTGGGCAGACCTCATCCCATCTCAGCATAAAGCTCCAACAGCTCTGACCACTCCTGCTCACCGTGACCCATTCTCCACACTGTAGCCCCAGTGGTCTCTCTACCCACGAATGTCTAGTGCCTCCCTCTTCAACCTTCCAGACTCTGTCCTCCTTCATTGTGGATGGAAACCAGGCAGGGCCAGACAGGGCCAGCTGCATGGGCCTACGACCTGTGCAGTCACAGAGGGCCCCGGTGCTAAGGGCCCCACACTTGGTTTAATGCTCTGCTATAACTGCCTTGACATCCTTCATGACACATGACCAAGAGATCCACATTTCCATTTTCGGTGGGCTCTGCAAATATGTAGCCACTTCTGGTACCCAGCCTCACCCACTGGGGATTCATCTTTAAGTCCAGGCTTCGAGGCTCAGGAATGTAAATGAAGTCACATTTCTGTTTAATAACAAAATTACCAGACTTGAAACTCTCACCTCCTTAATCACAGTCTTCAGCCAGGCCCTATTCCTGAGGGTGTCTGGGCCTTCTGGGCCTCCCTTTTGGGAGCCAAGTCTGTTGCACAAACCTGCTGGCTTGGCAGTGTGCCTCAGCCAGCCCAATGGTGCCAGGCTCTGGGCAGCAGACTCAGTGCAGTGCCCAGTCCTCCCCTTGAGCAGGTGGCATCCTACAGTGCCCAGGCCACCTGGCTGAGGTGGGCTCCAAGTTTCTCTGTAGATTTTCTCTCCTGATAGCTAAGGCCATCAGGCAAGATCTGACAATTCTTTAGAAGGTTTAGAGAGAAGATTCTCATGTTTAGCTAACATGCGCTGAGCAGCTCCTACATGCAAGGTGCTGCTCTAAGCACTTTTAGCGCACATTCCAGGAACCTCACCATCACGCTATGAGGGAAGTACTGTTCATGACTGCTGCCTAGTTATTACAAGGAAACTGACGTTCAGGAAGATTAACTGCACCTCACTGGCCACTCCTTCTCATCTTCCTGCTGGGTTTACCTCATTGTCTAACCTCTAAGTGCAGAGGCCCTGGGCAGGCCTCGATTCTCTCCTCCTTTCAGTCCACCTTCTCACCCCTGTTGGTCTTCTGCAACCTCACTCAGCCACCTAATCTATCAAATGACTCTGAACTCCAGATTCCACCTGCCTCTCAGCATCTCTGCGTGGATTTCTAACAGACAAGCTCAAACTCCGTGCATCCAGAACAGAGCTCCTGATCCCCCATCCCCAACTTCCTGCTTCTGTAGGCTTCCCCCATCTTAGACACTTGCTTGACCAAAACCACTGGAATCATTCTTAATTCTTCTCTACCCGAAATCTAATTCATTACCAAATACTGTCAGCTAGACTTTAAAAATATATGCACACACAAAACATTATATGCAGATGCTCCTTGACTTATGATGGGGTTACATCCCAACAAACCCGTCGTAGGCTGAAAATAGGTTAAAAATGCATCTAATACACAACCTATGAAACATCATAGCTTAGCCTAGCCTACTTTACACGTGCTCAGAACACATACATTAGCCTACAGTTGAGCAACATCATCTAACACGAAGCTTATTTTATAATAAAGTGGTGACTATCTTACATAATTTATGGAATACTTTACTGAAAGTGAAAAACAGAATGGTTTTATGGGTACTTGGCATGATTTCTGCTGCATGTATATGGCTTTCATACCACAGTAAAGTCAAAAATTGTAGGTTGAACCATTGTAAATCAGGAAATGTCTGTATGTATAGCTCTATAGATAGATAGATCACAATAAAATTGATAAATTAGACTTCTTCAAAATTCAAAACTTTTGCACTTCCAAAGACATCATTAAGAGAGTGAAAATAGGCTGGGTGTGGTGGCTCACACCTGTAATCCCAGCACTTTGGGAGCCCGAGGTGGGCAGATCTCTTGAGGCCAGGAATTTGAGACCAGCCATGGCCAACATGGCAAAACCCCATCTCCACTAAAAATTCAAAAATTAGCCAGGCATAGTGGCACACGCCTATAATCCCAGTTACTCCAGAGGGTGAGGCATGAGAATTGCTTGAACCCAGGAGGCCGAGGTTGCAGTGAGATGAGATCGTGCTACTGCACTCCAGCCTGGACGACAGAGCAATACTTTGTCTCAAATAAATAAATTAATTAAAAAAAGAAGA
The DNA here is from genome assembly GCF_000001405.40 of Homo sapiens. Taxonomy (NCBI): domain Eukaryota; kingdom Metazoa; phylum Chordata; class Mammalia; order Primates; family Hominidae; genus Homo; species Homo sapiens. The sequence goes on along the minus strand of NC_000017.11, from coordinate 18,465,213 downwards.
CTCCTAGGTATCTGGCCTGGGCAGCAGGGTGGATGGTAGCACTGTTTACTGAGATGAAGATTAAAACAGGAGCAGATTGGCGGGTGGCTATAAGCCAGAGTTGAGTTTTTGATGTGAGATGCCTATCAGATGAAAGTGCCAAGGAGGCAGTTATATTCCCAAGTCTGTGCTTAGAGGGAGACCAAGCAGGAGAGAGGACGTGGGAGGGGCACATGAAGATGCTTTACACAGCCAGGAACATGGATGGTGTCACAGGAGACAGTGTAGACAGAGAAGAGATGAGGAAGCAGGACCACCCTCATCAGGACTGAGCCTGTGGGATTCCAGTTTCTCTTTATGAATATTTTCTTTCTCCTCTCCTCTCCTCTCCTTTCTCTTTCTTTCTTTCTCTTTCTTTCTTTCCTTCCTTCCTTCCTTCCTTCCTTCTCTTTCTTTCTTTCTTTCTTCTTTCCTTCCTTCTTTTTTTTTGACAAGGTCTTGCTTGTTGCCAAAATTGGAGTGCAGTGGCAAGATCTCGGCTCACTGAAGCCTTGACTTCCCAGGCTCAAGCGATCCTCCCACCTCAGCCTCCCAAGTGGCTGGGACCACAGGTGCGCAGCACCAGGCCTGACTAATTTCTTATTTTTCGTAGAGATGGGGTCTTGCTATGTTGCCCAGGCTGCTCTCCAACTCCTAGATCCAAGTGATCTTCCCACCTTGGCCTCCAAAGTGCTAGGATTACAGGCGTGAGCCACTGTGCTGGGGCTTGTAAATATTTATTGAGTGAATGAGACATTCTTCAGCCCTAAGTAAAGTTGATGGCCTCCTAAGCGATTAGATTAGAAACTCCCACAGTCAGATGTGGGCAGAAGACAAGGAGGCAGCCTCATAGGCTGAGAGGAGCTGCCAGTGAGGACAAAGAAAGCCTGCTGCACTGGGATGAACCCCACACTCCTTGGCAGAGCGTAGGCTACCCTGGGCCATCTGCCTGCCGCCTTCCTCTCCACTCTCATCTCTTCCTGCCATCCTTGTTTCCTTTTTGGGCCAATTTTAGTATTTTCCCTAATGCATTCTATTGCTTCAGACCTTCACACATGCTGTCCCCTCTCTAGGATTACAAAAGTCACATGAACTCATTATCAGTAAGTCTAACACAATGGAAACACACGACAGAGTAGAAGCGGGCCAGCACCCCTGCTCTCCATTAGTAAGCATTTGCGCTATGCGTTCGCAGATGTGTTTTCTGCGCATATTCTAATGCACTCTCTCTCACACACATGCATGCCAGATTTTCCTCCCTGCCTCCAAAATGGGAAATACCTCCTTTAATGCACGCTTTCTCCTCTTAATGCATTACAGACTCTTTCCACATACATAGACAGCACATACTTGCTTATGCTTATATTTCAGTACAAATGTACATACAGTACATTTCAGTACACAGAGAGGTGCCTTGTTCTTTAAGATACATCTTTACAGTTTGGTTGTATGGATTAATCACAATATATTTAAACAACTGCATTAATAAAGCATTCCCCCATCCCTTTCTTTCTTTCTTTCTTTCTTTTTTTAAACAGGAGTCTTGCTCTGTTGCCCAGGCTGGAGTGCCATGGCATGATATCAACTCACTGTAACCTTCACCTCCCAGGTTCAAGTGATCCTCCCACCTAAGCCTCCCAAGTAGCTGGGATTACAGGTGCCCTCCACCATGCCTAGATTTTTTGTGTGTGTGCATGTATTTTTTTAATAGAGATGTATTTTTTTCACCATGTTGGTCAGGCTGGTCTCAAACTCCTGACCTGAACTGATCCACCTGCCTTAGCCTCCCAAAGTGCTAGGATTACAGGTATGAGCCACTGTGCCCGGCCACACTTTCTTTCTTTTTCTTCTTTTTTATTCCCCCTCTTCACGTCCACTGTGGAGTTGTAACTGGAGACATATTTCCACCCACAAAGCCTCCAGATGTTAAAACGTTTCCCAACGTCAACTTAATACAGTGATGGCAACACCTCCCTCCCGCCCCTCCCAGTAGGGTTGAGATTATACTGTATTCCCTACTGGTTTACCCTTCCCCCCATGAAGGGTAGCATTTTCCCTGGGTGCAGAGGCTCCCTCATAGTCTCCAAGACTGAAGGACCCCTAATTTTGGGACTGCAGCTTAAGTGTATTACATTAAACACCATAAAAAGCTACAAGATGCTCTTTTAAGGGAAGAGGAAACTGGTCAGAGAAATGCCTCCCATTTTCATTGCCAATTTGATTTTTAAATCCATGAAGGATCTTACAGAACATGTCTCTGAGATAATCTTTTGGGTTAATCCATGATGCAACAGCATCACAAAAAAATATAAAATCTTGGATTATGCCATGGGGATTCACACTGATCATGATGCAGATTCCACGGAATGCTGAATCCTTTTCTCATTGTCTCTTATGTTTCTCAGAGAGGTGCACCAGAGTCTCGTAAACTGCTGTAGCATGGGGACCACCTCTTGAGGACAAACATAACCAAGACAACCAATTGTTACTGCTGTATTCTTTAGCAACGTCTTTGGTGTGTTGGGTCTGTTAATGATTTCTACAAGCTGGTGCAACACCATAGGGATATAAGGCTGCATCTCTATACCCATTTGAATGGAGATTTCTCCAATTGCTCATGTGTCATTGTTGCAGACTGAAATGAATTCTGGAGTTAGGTTGGTTCCCAATATTGGCATGAAATCAGCTACACAAGGCTTAACATGCTGAAAGCAAGCTTTTGTGAGGTCACTTAACAGGGCAAAAGAACTCTGTCGAACTTCCGGCATTTTATCCTGCATGCACTGATATGTTAGTGTTAGGATGTTACTTCGGGCTACCAGTTGTTCAATATTGCCTCCAAGTCCTTCAGCCAGGCCACTCAGTAAATCAAGAGCCACTATCATAAAATCTTTATCTGGAGCTTCATATTGATCTGGTTGAGCATTGCTTAGTATGGCTTGTGCAAGAGTCTTCTGTACTAGGTTTACCCAATGCTGATACATAGGTTCACAGTATGGAAGGAAGCCAGACTGCAGCACCGTGGCAACTGAAAATGGACACTCAGGTAAAGGGAAAAGATCTTTATCTTCATCCTTTAACATGTTCCGTTTCTGGATCAGTAGAGGCATTAGCATTTGAATATATTCTGGTTTGTTTAAATGATGTCCTACTGAATCTGCTAATGTCCCTCTGGCATTGTAAAGAATGAGCAGGTTCTTATGCTGGTATTTACTAAATGCAAAGACCAGGGTATCAAGTATATAAGCAAGGTAAGCAACAAGTTCTGTACAAGCCTCCTCTTCTAGGGTAGCAAAGGCACTGCAGGCAGCTTCTGGTACTCTCTTGTTGCTATCCAGGATGCCTTTTAGCAACTCTGTCATTAATGACTTCAGGTACGTGTCTGGTGGCTGGCTGACTACCCAGTGTGCATAGCGGCTAAGAGTCCAGCATGTTATGGAACGGACAAGAGCCTTTTTATCAGAGAAGCACTGAATAAGGTGAGGAATAAGCTCAGGCAAGCAAGGAATCATGCCCTGCATGCAAACCTTCAGCAACTGTTCCTAAACCCAAGATGGCTAATTCTTTAACAACCCATTCATGATGAAAAAGTAATTCTTTCAAAAGGGGCAATATATATGGCAGCAGTTCATCATGATGCACGTTTGCAAGAACATCTAGGGCAGCAACAGATCATTTCCTTAGATTCCAGTCAGAAATTGTATCATCATCATCAATTTCATTATCATCATCATCTTCCTCTTCAATTCCATCTTCATCATGCTGCTGAGCCACTGTCCTTGATCGGTGAAAACGTGGCCATATATCCTGTTCACTATCAGGAATCATTTCGTCTTCTTCAACATCACCCTTAGGTAGGATAATATCTATATCTGAGTACTTCATGCCATTCACTAACACAGGAATCAACCTGGGAAGATGCCTTACGAATACATCTTTGCATACTTGCTGTTCAGCTAAAGTTAGCCAAAATTCACAGGCTTCTAAAGCCACATTTTCATCTTGATCTTGAGTCCTCTGTAGCATATACTCAACTATATTACGCATGTGAGGGAGCAGGCGATCCACTCAAACTTCGAACAACATCACAAGTGCTCGGCACACATTTTTCCATACCTCTGGCTCACCAGCCAATGCAAAGAGATTTCTCAATAAAAGAATCAATGTGCAACATCAGAGCTTGAGTCCTGATGATAAACTGATTGACACATACAACAGCGTGAGACCTTATTTTTGGACTACTGTGCTTGAAGAACTGTAAAAATTTGGGAATCCTGATGTTGAGAGGACAATCTAAAACATCACTATCTAAAATCTCAAAAGAATCTTCACAAATCTTCTGAAGGGTGCCAAATGCTCCCTCACAGGTGGTGTAATCGTCAGAATCCAACAGGCTACAGAGTTTTGGTAAGAGGTCAGGCCAATTCTGCAATTCTCTCTTGGAGGCTATAGCTGTGATCGAAATACCAACAGTGGCTCTAATCAGAAGAGAGGAGTCACCAATATTATTTAAACATTCACTTTTAATGAAGTTTGTTGCACCATTTGGGAAGTTCTGAAAGTGTGCTTTCACATTATTCTTCAAGATGAGACCACGCAATGATCTTGTGGGTTCATCTTCAGATTTTAATTTTGTAAGAACAAAAATCAAGTAGTTGCTAAAGTCTGGATATTGATTAAGTTGTTCCAGTTTCTAGAATTGTTGCACAGTTCTCTGGATGGTGGTGTCTGGGGACTGGGACTCCTTCAATAGCTGCAGGATTTGCTGAAGCCCTTGCTTATCAGATTTCCATTCGTACTCCACCTTGGTTTGCTGGAGTGCCCCAAAGGAAGTCTCGGACAGTGAAACCCAGTGGAACTGCTCCTGGCAGCCCAGCCGCCGACGTCTGCTGCTGCTGCCACCACGGCTACAGAGCGCAAGGAGCCAACCAGACTGAGTCCGATTTGATGTGTATCCTTGTTTGATGCCCAGGTTGGAAGCATGTCACAATGAGTCAACTAAGCAATAACTAGAATATTATTGATTCCAGAAAGCTTTCTCTTATTTTAACTCTGTATTTCAGAACTTCAAGGTCTACGAATAGTTACCCACCTATAAAATGAATTCAATTTAACTAAATCCTAGTATTGTGAAGAATTAGTTTTTCGCCATTTCTGTTTACTCTTATACTAACTGAAAGACTGTCTCACCACAATGCTTGATGTAAATGGTCTGATCGGTTAGTGACAACCTCATTAATTATTGCAGCTTGCAAAGGGATTGATTTTTAAATTTTTACTTATTAATTATATACGTGCTTATTTGTTTTCTCATTTACTTGCTTTCTTATTTATTTGGTTATTATTTACTTACTTTCCTGTTGTTTTAAAAGAGGATTCTAATTAGATATTATCTAAGTGATTTTGCCAAGTTCTTACATTTTGTTGGTTTAAATTGCTTTAAGATATATGCTTGAAATCATGTTTATTCTTGAAATGTGTGCCATTTGCAGTGTGTGTGTGAAGGGAAATGAGTTATTTTTTAAAGGGAAATGAGTTATTTTTTAAAAAGAGAATTATTTAGATATGGTTTTAGTGATTCCTCAGCATGATAACTGCTGATGAAATGTAGCTTATTGTTTTCAGCTAGTTTACATTGGTCTTGAGACAAACAGAATTTTGTTTCTTAATTACAGGCTCTAGATGAGTTTATAGAACACCTCAGGGCTGTTATCAAGTACTTAACATACGAAGGATAACTCCATTTGATTATATATTTCATACCCCAAAGGAAAATAAGTTTAAATTTAATTTTAACTAGATGATGCCGTCGGTATGGAGTCACTCTGTCGTTGTGTCCACACTGGCCAGGAGGCGTTTTAATGAATGGTGTTTGTTTATTCAGTCTTAGCCAAATGAGCAAGGACCTGGAGACTGGGCAATTTGAGAAGATGTTTAGGAACCACTGGCTTTTCGCTGTTGACGCCACTATGTAAACTAAGGCTGACAGTGGGTAGGGAATGTGTGTGGAATTCCTGTGTGATTCACTGTAACTGTGGTGTGCTGAATGCGTGCTTAAGCTAGTGTCAGCATCGTCTTCCTGTAAGTTAAAGATCCCTTCTGTGAGCAGGACTCCTGAGGACTCAGGAATGTTGTATTTTGAAATCTGCTTTAGAGGATATTTTAAGACTTTTAATAAAAGAAAGATGACTAATGTATAAGGGGACTTAAGGGGAAGAAACACCCTTTCCTCTATAGGGTAGCATATTTGGGATTATAATTTTTGTTTTCTTTAGGTTGGTTTCATTTTCAAGTGAATCCAGAAAACACTGTTTTCTTTGACAATATTGCTATAAAATTACCATAATATGAGGATATGTTGTCAGTCTCAAATATATAAAATGACCAATTTCAGTGAGCATTTATCCTTTTAAGAAAACCTACTCTATTAAAATCCAATTTTGTGCAAAAAGTGGGAAATAAATGGAGACGTAAGTGTTTGCTTTATGAGACTATTTGATTCATGTAAATAGAAAATAGTTTTATTACATGTAAAATATGATTTAAATTGGTCAAAATGTCATTTCCAGAAAGCATACCTTTTAAGCCAGCACTCATTACATAGAACAAGGATTCTATCTGTGTGCCACAAACCACTTCAAATAATTTTCTTTATATGTAATGACATATAAAGAAATATATGTAATGACATGTTCCTTAGAGTCCATCTCAACTCCAATTCCTCAGGAACATTGTCTTTGAGTACAAATTATAATGAGTTTATTTTCTAACTAAAGTATAGTAGTTAGACTAGTTTATTAGCTAGTTTGGTTCTGACCTCTGTGGTTGAGAACAGATACAAGACAAATGCTATTATATCTTCAGATCTTATAGAAAGCAGATAGTGGAAATGATGAAGTGTACCTGGCTGGCTTTCTGACGATTTGTGTGAAATGCTTGGCTTTGTAATTTTACATTTCTTTCTAGTCTGATGCCTTGAGTTTATTTAGATAGAAATGTATTTCTACATGGTTATCTGATTTTTAAAATGCTGCTTCACAGTTGTATACTACTTAAGGTATGTAGCTTTATATTTAATCTAAGTTGGAATTGGGTTTTTGTTATTGTCATTTGGTACATTGGTCAACACTTAATAAATGTTTAACTTTTTGTTTTGAGTTAATTATAGATTTGCATGCAGTTGTAAGAAATAATACAGAGAGGCCGGGTGTGGTGGCTTATGCCTGTGATTCCAGTTACCTGGGAGGCTGAGGCGGGAGGATCCCTTGAAGCCCAGGAGTTCAAAGATGTAGTGAGCTGTGATGGTGCCACTGCACTCCAGCCTGGGTGACAGTGAGACCCCATCTCTACAAAGAAAAACAAAAAGAAATAATACAAAGAAATCTCACGTACGGGCCTACCAAATTTTATTGTGTTTGCTTTATTGCACTTTGCAGATATTATTTTTTTACAAACTGAAGGTTGGTGGCAACCCTGTGTCAAGCAAGTCTTGCGGTGCTGTTTTTCTAACAGCATATGCTCACTTTGTGTCTCTGTGTTCCATTTCAGTAACAGTATTTTAGATGTTTTCATTATTATCATATCTGTCATAGCGATCAGCGATCTTTGATGTTGCTATTGTAATTGTTTACAACCTCAGTGATATAAGAGGATGAACTTAATCAATGTTGTGTATATGTCTTTTTTTTTTTTTTTAAGACAGGGTCTGTCTCTGTCACCCAGGCTGGAGTGCAGTGGCATAGTCACAGCTCACTGCAACCTCCACCTTCCGGTGGAAGATGCCATTTAAGACTTTCATCCTAGAAACGAGAAGTCAGTGCCTGGCTTCAAAGCTTCAAAGGACAGCTGACTGTCTTCTTAGGGGCTAACATAGCTGGTGATGACTTTAAAGTGAAGCCGTTGTTTGTTTACCATCCCAGAAATGCTACAGCCCTTAAGAATTATGTTCAATCTACTCTGCCTGTGCTCTGTACACTTAACAGCAAAGCCTGGAAGACATCTGTTTACAGCATGATTTGCTGAATATTTGAAGCCCACTGTGGAGACCTACTGCTCAGAAAAAAAAGAATTCTTTCAAAATATTATTTCTTTTTGACAACACACCTGGTTACTCAAGAGCTCCGATGGAGATGTACAAGGAGAGGAATGTTGTTTTCACGCCTGCCAACACAGCATGCATTGTGAAGCCCGTGGTTCAAGGAGCGATTTTGACTTTCAAGTCTTATTAGTTAAGAAATACATTTTGTAAGGCTAAAGCTGTCATAGATAGTGATTCTTCTGACGGATCTGTGCAAAGTAAATGGAAAGCGTTGTGGAAAGGAGTTACCATTCTAGATACCATTAAGAACATTCATGAGGAGGTCAGAATATCAACATCAACAGGAGTTTGGAAGAAATTGATTCCAACCACCCTGGATGACTTTGAGGGGTTCAAGCCTTCAGTGGAGAAAGGAACGGCAGATGTGGCAGAACTCGCAAGAAAACTAGAATTAGAAGTGGAGCCTGAAGATGTGACCGAATTGCAATAAGCTCATGAGAAAACGCGAACAGGTGAGGAGTTGATTTTAACAGATGAGCAAAGAAAGTGGTTTCTTGAGATGGATTCTACTGGTGAGGATGCTGTAAACGTTGTTGAAACGACAACAAAGGATTCAGAAGAGGGTATAAACTTAGTTGATAAAGCAGCAAAGAGGTTTGAGAGGACTGACCCCAATTCTGAAAGAAACTACTGGAGGCAAAATGCTACCAAACAGCATCATATGGCACAGAGAAATCTCTCTAGGCCCCAGTTGTTTCTAAGTGAAGAGAGTTTTAGAATCCATCTCATATATTTGTTGCTAGGATGAAGTTAAAACAAGTAGGATATTTAGGATAGGACGTGGCTCATAACAAGCTCTCCATGAATATTAGCTATCGTTATTCTTAACAAAATTACCAGATTAATAGATTGTCTGCTCTGCTCCTTTGCACTAAATTTAGTAGTTTATTTCATTTATTTTATCTTCATTAAGGCAGCTGGCACAAAATTAGTTTGTTAATCTGGGCAATAGAATTCTTTTTTTTTTCTTTTCTTTTCTTTTTTTTTTTTGAGATGGAGTGTCTCTCTGTTGCCCATGCTGGAGTGCAGTGGCACCATCTCACCTTACTGCAACCTCCACCTCCTGGGTTCGAGAGATTCTCCTGCCTCAGCCTCCTGAGTAGCTGGGACTACAGGCACCCACCACCATGCCCAGCTATTTTTCTATTTTTAGTAGAGACATGGTTTCACCGTGTTGGCCAGGATGGTGTTGATCACTTGAACTCAGGTGATCTACCTGCCTCGGCCTCCCAAAGTGCTGGGATTACAGGGCAAGAGCCACCACACCAGGCCAATGGGCATGTTTTTAACAGTTATTCTCCTAGCACTCATCATTTTATGTTTTCTGTCTTAGCATAAATAAGTTTCAGTCTTACTGATGTGTGTTAAACTGTTCCCCCATTTATACTTCAGTTGGTTTATGGTTTTTAATAATGTAGATACACATGTAAGGAATATTTATATGTTCACTTTTAAAACGTTGTGATAGGCCAGGCGCAGTGGCTCATGCCTATAATCCTAGCACTTTGGGAGACTGAGGCGGGCGCATTGCCTGAGCTAAGGAGTTCAAGACCAGCCTGGGCAACACAGTGAAACCCCGTCTCTACTAAAATATAAAAAAAATTAGCCACGCGTGGCGGCGTGCACATGTAGTCCAGCTACTCGGGAGGCTGAGGCAAAAGAATTGCTTGAACCCAGGAGGCGGGAGGTTGCAGTGAGCCAAGATCGCACCACCGCACTTCAGCCGGGGAAACAGAGTGAGACTCCGTCTCTCTTTTTTTTTTTTTTTGAGACGGAGTCTTGCTCTGTGGCCCCGGCTGGAGTGCAGTGGCGTGATCTCGGCTCACTGCAAGCTCCGCCTCTCTAGTTCACGCCATTCTCCTGCCTCAGCCTCCTGAGTAGCTGGGACTACAGGCGCCCGCCACCACACCCAGCTAATTTTTTGTATTTTTAGTAGAGACGGGGTTTCACCGTGTTAGCCAGGATGGTCTCGATCTCCTGACCTCGTGATCCACCCGCCTCGCCTCCCAAAGTGCTGGGATTACAGGCGTGAGCCACCGCACCCGGCCAACTCCGTCTCTTAAAAAAAACAACAACAACAAAAAACTGTGATAAGGTCAGGCGTGGTGGCTCATGCCTGTAATCCTAGCACTTTGGGAGGCTGAGGCAGCCGGATCACCTGAGTTCAGGAGTTTGAAACCAGCCTGGCCAACACGGTGAAACTGTCTCTACTAAGAAAAATACAAAAATCAGGGGCTGGGCACGGTGGCTCACGCCTGTAAACCCAGCACTTTGGGAGGCCAAGGTGGGCGGATCACGAGGTCAGGAGATCGAGACCATCCTGGCTAAGACGGTGAAACCCCGTCTCTACTAATACAAAAAATTAGCCGGGGATGGTTGCGGGTGCCTGTAGTCCCAGGTACTCGGGAGGCTGAGGCAGGAGAATGGCGTGAACCCGGGAGGCGGAGCTTGCAGTAGGCGGAGATCGTGCCACTGCACTCCGGCCTGGGCGACCAGCGAGAGTCTGTCTCAAAAAAAAAAAAAAGAAAGAAAAATACAAAAATTAGCCAGTTGTGATGGCAAGTGCCCGTAATACCAGCTACTCTGCAGGCTGAGGCACCAGAATAGCTTGAATCCGGGAGGCGGAGGTTGCAGTGAGCCGAGATCGCACCACTGCACTCCAGACTGAGGGACAAAGTGAGACTCAGTCTCAAAAAAAAAAAAAAAAAAGAAAAGAAAAGAAAAAAAAGGAAGCAAGCTGGGTATGTGCGTTTAGAGGTGTTGTACCTTTTCAGCATTGTAAATGAATAGAGATGAGTGGCAATAGTTACTTTGGTCCATAGATTTTTGGTATCTTAACTAGTTTTGGATCTCTTCCACTAAAGGGATTGCCTGTTGCACGTTGTTAGGAATGTAAATACTGAAGGCAAACTGCCTGGGTTTGAATTTTGTTCTGTCCCTTGCACCCTGCCTGGGTTCAAATACTAGCTCTGCTTATGAAGTTCTTTTATGGTGATGACCTTTGAGCAAATGTCTTAGCTTCTGCTTTCCCAAGTAAATGGACACAATAGTTGCTACCTTGTGAAAGATTCATGTAATTGACCAGTGTTTACCAAGCAGCATCAGTGTTCAGTTTCAGTCATTGGTGATTCTGCAGTTGGATTGTGAGGTGGTGCTGGGGTGGGGGGTGGTGTGTGTGTAGCACTTAATTGCACGCGGAAAGGAAAAGATACTTTTTATAACCGAGAGGCAGCTTTTCTCTGCTTTTGTGTCAAAAGGGAAGAAGGGAGTTTGGAGAGGGAAACCAATTCTCTTTAATACTAAGCTCTCTTCTTCAAAATCAGAGGTAGATAGAATGTGTAATAATTTACAGAATTTCTAGACTTCAACAATCTGATTTTTTTAAGTATATTTTTATTTTTTCAGGTTGAGACTGAGCTACAGTTAATCTGTGGCGAGGTGCTGGATGCACTGGACAAACACCTCACTCCAGTAGCTGACACTGGCAAGTCCAAGGTTTTCTATTAGGAAATGTAGGTTCTATACTAGAAAGGAAAATGTAAGATTAAAAGTTGGCCTTTTTAGAATCATGACTTTCTTCTATGTAGGTTTCCAACTTTTATTTAAAAATAATTGTTTAATGTTAGAAGGATAGTCAATGTTGGGATAAAAAGATGGTCAGGCTATTATAAAAAATGCATTAGCTTTTGCTTTACCTATTTATATTCTTTTGCTTTCATGGGACCTATCTCATTCCCCTCCCCTAAACGGCCACACATTTCACAGTGCTGGCTGAAAGTTTCATGTAGAAATTTTATTTTATGATTAATACACTTGTGCCATTTCTTGGAACCACTTGCTTGTTTAATTCTAGTCTATCAAGTGATAATTTTCTTGATATTTAGAGGCTCCTCAGTTAATTTCTGTGGGATTTTTCGTTATATTTAATAAGGAAAATAATAGGAAATAGCTAAGAAAAAAAGAAACAAAGCCAATTATTCCTGAGCGTGTTTAAAATTATTGAAGTACACTTGTTAATTTTTAGTATAGAACCTACATTTCATAATAGAAAACCTTGGACTTGCCAGTGTTAGCTGCTGGAATAAGGTGTTTGTCCAGTACATTCAGAATGTCGCCACAGATTAACTTTAGCTCAGTCTCAACCTGAAAAAATAAAAATGAATTTTAAAAAATTCAGATTGTTGAAGTCTAGAAATTCTGTAAGTTATTACACATTCTATGTACCTCTGATTTTGAGGAAGAGAGCTTAGTATTGAACAGAATTAGTTTCCCTCTCCAAACTCCATTCCTCCCTTTTGACACAAAAGCAGAGAAAAGCTGCCTCTGGGTCATCAAAAGTATCTTTTCCTTTCTGCGTGCAATTAAGTGCTACACACACACACCACCCCCACCCCAACACCCCATCACAGTCCAACTGCAGAATCACCAATGACTGAAACTGAACACTGATGCTACTTGGTAAACACTGGTCAATTACATGAATCTTTCACAAGGTAGCAACTATTGTGTCCATTTACTTGGGAAAACAGAAGCTAAGACATTTGCTCAAAGATCATCACCTTAAAAGAACTTAATAAGCAGAGCTAGGATTTGAAGCCAGGCAGGGTGCAAGGGACAGAACAAAATTCAAACCCAGGCAGTTTGCCTTCAGTACTTATATTCCCCAAATGCAGGCCCTCCATTTGGAGAGTGGATGGAGTAGGAGAGAAGGGCTGCAAGGACCCAGATAGGCAGACAGAGGAACAGAGAGGGAACCAAAGACCCTACTTGCAAGGTGTCCCCAGAGGCAAAGGTATCGTCCACGGGGGACATGGGGACCTGGAGGCTGCACAAGGACAGCTTTGCTCTGGTCATGGGAGCCCTCTTGCTTCCCACACCTTCAACTTACTCCCCATTGCTGTCTGTCATTGATCCCCAGGTGGGGCAAGTGAGGGACCTGAGTCAGCATGTGGCTGGCTGCTGGGAGAGGGAGCACCCGCTGAGTCACGGCTCCTCCCCTGGAGCCTCCATGCGCCATCTAGGCAGGTGTGCACTGCCCACTGGTGCAGGGCTGTGGGTACCTGCACCTGTCTGTCAACACTGATTCTTTCTCATACAACAGGCACTTGCCACCACTCTGCCCAGCCAGACCCTATCAGACCACAGTGAGGGGATGGAGTGGGCCCGCATAGGTGCCTCCACCTGAGTCTAGGCACCCCAGGCTTGTGTCTGCTGGGACACACCTAGCAGGGAGGCTGAGAGCACCGGCTTCGGAGCCAGGCAGGTCATAGTGTAAAGCCGGATTCTTCCACTTATTTGGGGAAAGTTGCTTCCCCTCTCTGAACCTGTTTCCTCACTGTAAATTCAGATTCATCCTTTATTGAGCACCTACTATGTGCCAGGCATTGGGTTGAGTGCTGGCGATAAAGTAATGAGCAAGCCCTTATCTTGATGAACAGTTACGGAATAAAATAGACCTGCAGAAATAAACACGCAATTCACAACTGAGGTGAGCATGGTTGGTGGGGGAATGGAGAGCACATAATAAAGGGTGTGGCATGGTTGGGGGCATCAGTGACCTTCTCCCTGAGAAAGAGACACTTGAGTGAAGGGGGAGGAGAAGTGAGCCAGGAGAAGGAAAAAGGGGAGGGGCATACAGCATGTGCAAATGTCCTGAGGTGGAAACAAGCAAAGTGACTGCCAGGGCAGGAGTCCTGTGTGGCTAAAGGGCAGTGAGTTAAGTCAAGCAAAGGATTTTCGGTGGGAGCAGGGAGGAGGGGGCTGGAGCCAGGGCACAAGCCTGCCAGGCTCCCTTTGTGCAGGGCACGTCAAGGGGCCACACTGATTGTCTCTGCAGGCTCTCCATGACTGCCTGGCTGTGGGGAGGGACCAGACTGTACTAAGGCTTATGGGCGGCGGCAGCCACAGCCCAGACTAGTGAGCTAATGAGCGGTTTGGATGTCTTGCCTGCTCCCGTTAGAGCCTCGCTCCTCCCCTGTGCTGGAAGGTAGGACACAAGGGCCCCAGCCTTGGCTCTGCCATTAATTTGCTATGTGACCTGCAGCTGGTCACAGCACCTCTCAAAGCTTCAACTGCTTCCTCTGTAAAATGTAAGGACAGGACTCACTGATCTCACTTGATCTGAGGATTTGACATCAGAAGGGGATGAGCAGGCTGGGGAAGAGAGAGCATCCTCTCACTGATCAGCTCTTAGGGCATCCAAGACCTCGAAAGAAGGGATCTGGGGTGGGCTCTGTCCTATAGAGAAATCTTAAGGTGTCAGTGTCCTGGGGCATCTATTGTTCCCAGAAGGAGCTAGCTGGAATGGCACCTTCTGCTGCCCATTCACCCACCTTGTTCCTCAGATCCTCGATGGTCTTGAAGTAGGGACTGTAGTCTTTGATCTCAGCAGGCCGCTGCCACTGGTACCAGTCATGGATCTTCACCTCCAGGTCAGCGTTGGCCTCCTCCAGGGCACGCGCCTTGTCCAGGTAGGAGACCAGGCTGTCGTTGAGGTTCTGCATGGTCACCTTCTCACTGCCCACCAGAAGCCCATCACCACCAGCAAAGCCACCACCCAAGCCACCACCGAAGCCAGCACCAAGGCCATCACCATATCCTCCCCCAAAGCCACTAGCAAAGCTGCTGCTGCTGCTGAAGCTACCGCCATAGCCGCCCCCCAGCCTGTAGGCTCCCCCAGAGGAGAAGCAGGAGGAGGAGACAGACAGGCCACCCCTGTAGGTGCTGGTGGCGCGGCAGGACCCTCCGGCCAGGACGGAGGAGATGCGGCTGGAGCCGCCCCCGATGCCGCCCCCGATGCCGCAGGAGCCCTTCATGGAGCTGGAGGAGGTGAACTGGCGGCTGCAGGTGCTCATGGTGCTGAGGAGGGAGGTGAGTGAGCGAGCAGTTGGCTGAGTGAAGAGAAGGTGCTCAGGTAAATTGGAAAGGGATGCGAGTGCTTTATACTCATGGGTAGGGGGCGGGCCTGGCACTTTCCATTCCCCTTGGCTTTCATCACCCACAGGCTAGTGACAACTCCCAGCCAGGTCCCTCCTCTCCTCCGCCTCATCATGTCTGTCATATTTTACTGGAAACTCATTGTTTGGGGTGTTTTGGGCTTTCTTGTCCCGCCAGGCATGATTCACAGGGGGAGGTATGGGCCTGCAGGCTACACTTTCCCATGGGGCCCCGGGAGTCCCAGCCCTCAGGAACCCGCACACTGGGCTCAGCCAGGGTGACAGAGAGCAGGGCCTCTGCACCTTAAACCTGGTGACCTGCTAGCTCTCCATGAACTGGATGGGCCTTTACCATCCACTTAGAGGAAGCCCACCACTGCAGGGGACAGATACCCAGCTGGAGAGCACCGGCATGGCAAGGTCACCTTGGGCACAGAGAGGCGTCCCTCACCATGACCCGCTGTTAGAGACAAGGAGGTCTGAGGGGCCCTCCCAGGCCTGACCTGCCATGCTGTGCTGAGAAGCCTGTCCCATCCCTGAAATACACTCAGCCAGTCAGGTGTATGGTGATTCCCACCCCAACACCCCCATCAAAGAGAAATCCAGGCAGCTCTCCCCAGCCCCGGGCACAGACCCTAATTTCCTCCCTACGGTGAGGATCTGACATCCACCACACCATAGGGCGGGTGGCCTCATGGAGGCCAGGAAACAGCCTGGAGTCAGGTGGGTCCTGGCTCTGCCATTTACGGCCCCGTGACCCAGGGCTTGGCGCTTCTCTGAGCCTCAGTGTTCTCATCTGCAAAGTGGGAGTCATACCATCTACTCTGCCTACTGCAGTCAGCTGTGAGAAGCCAATGCGACAGCGTATGTGAAAGGCTTTTGTAAACCGAGTATGGCAAGAAGCCTGGTTGGCATTGTTGTAGCCCAGGCTTAGCCCCAAAGTGGATGGAGCTGCATCCAGGAACAGGCCTAGGGGGGCCTTTTTTTCTTCCAGCCCCAGATATCCTCTCAGACCCCCAGAACATCCCTAGTGTAGGCAGAAGTCTGGCTCAGGTGCCCTCGTTTGAGCCCCTTGTGGAACTGGCCCAGGAGATGTTCTGGGGAGGAGTAGAAGCTGGAGTGGTGCCAGGCTGTGCCAAGGGCAAGGCTGAAGTGGACACGAGGGTCCCTGACTCCTGAAGCCCCAAGGGTCAGGGGACATTTCTAGGAGTCCACTTGGTCCTGCTTTGGAGGTGTGTATATCAAAACTTCAGCAATCTCCCAGACAACCTCCCAAAGCAAACCCTTCCGGCCCCCACCCCACCCTCCCGTCAGCCCCTGGGCTCCACAGACCCCAGCAGGCATGTTGGGAGGAATGTGGTCGTGTCTGGGGCTGCCTGACGCGTCCTATCTCCTCAGACAGGCCCCAACAGCCCCTGCTGGAGGCTCCACTGCTCTTCCTGGGATCAACTGTTCCTAGAAGAGAAGCAGGACCCTCTCTCACCCCACCCCCAACCTTGACTGTCACCAAAGAAGAAGCCAGAGAGGGGAGCCCCCCACTACTGTGGCCTAGGAGCTTGGAAGACAATACTGAGACAGACACCTGTGCTGTGGGCTCCCCAAATCTGCCAGCAAAGGACTCTCGAGGATGTGAGTAAGCCAGGGCCCCACCCCGCTCCACCCACCCCTGACAGACACTCCTAATCTCCCTGCAGAGAATGGTTCCCCCACCCTGACCCAGTCCTACAATTTCCCCAGAGAGAGGCAACAGGGGTTTTGGCTGAGGGGCAGATGCTTTTGTTGGGAGGCATGTTGCTGTTGGCTGTGGGGCAAGGGAAGGCTGTGCTCACTGGAGAAAAATGCTGTGTCCAGAGGGATCTGGGAGTGGGAATGGGGTGCAGGGCCCGGTACTGGCTTCCTCTGTGCCCCGCCACCCCCACCCACCACCACCACCGTCTCCTTCTTCTGCAGGGATCAGGAATAGAAGCTCCAGAGCCCAGGACATAGGAACAGCTTTACTTTCCCTTTCATTTGATTCAATGGAACCCAAAAGAAACTCCTTCCTCCCCCTGCTCCAAGGGGAATCCAAAAGATAAAGATGGCAGGGAACCAGTGACAGATCAGTCCATGCACATAATCTTAAAAGGCACTTCTGCAGCCCCATCCCAACCCCACGCACCGACTCCGGAGCTCTAGCATGGAATATAAGCCTGATCCCCCACACCGGTTCTCAGAACCGTGGCCTAACCTGGAGCCTGAGGCCAACCTCTCTTCCCCTGCAGTCAAGGACTCAGTGACCAAGGAGCTGCAAACAGCCCGGCCAAGCAGGGAGCAGACTTAGAGGACACCACACTCCCGTCCCCTCCCTGATGCCAAAGAAGCATGGTACTCAGACATTTTAAGGGAGGGCATTTTCTGGGTTATCAGGGGTTAAAGGGTTGCCAGTCTTGACAGCTGAGGCCCAGAGTACCCCCCACCTCTGGACTTCCAGGCAGGCTTTGTGTGAGCAGCATTACCTGACCCTCCCTCCAGCCTGCCCCAAAAGGAAGGGGGTAAAGGAGGAGCCCCGGGCAGGACCTCCTGTGGTTAGTGAGTCTCCCTGCACCACCCTACATGGGGGAGCCCCGTGCCAATACTAAAATTATTGTAAATGGATAAAATCCATGGGGTCAAAGAGATCAGGAAAGTAGATTATAGCAATCAAATTTTGGAATCTGGAAAACAAAGACAAAGAAAGCCCAGCGCTTGCCCAGAGAGAAGCCAAGAGGCAAAGCATATTTACACTCTGGAACTTTTTAACTCTGAATTTTTAAGAACTCTGGAAAGTCTCTGGAATAGGGGGCACCAGGTACCTCTGACAGTGAGGAACAAGTGAACTAGAAATAGTAGGGTGAGCTAGAGATCTATATAAAAAGCAGAGAGGTGGCCGGGCACGGTGGCTCATGCCTGTAATCCCAGCACTTTGGGAGACCGAGGCGGGTGGATCATGAGGTCAGGAGATCGAGACCGTCTTGGCTAACACGGTGAAACCCCGTCTCTGCTAAAAATACAAAAAAATTAGCCAGGCGTGGTGGCGGGCGCCTGTAGTCCCAGCTATTCGGGAGGCTGAGGCAGGAGAATGGTGTGAACCCGGGAGACAGAGCTTGCAGTGAGCCGAGATGGTGCTACTGCACTCCAGCCTGGGCAACAGAGTGAGACACCATCTCGGGAAAAGAAAAAAAAAAAGCAGAGAGGCCCCTATAGCTCCTCTCTCCCTTCCTTGTCTGAACCCAACCACTCCACGATTACTCCAGGAGAAACTAGATGTTTATGCTTGAGAATTTCCCCAGAGGGACTCTGAATCCTGAGACACCAAGCAGGGCCAATAAACTGCAATCAACTAGTAGCAGAGTAGCTGAGACTGAGACCTTCTCTGCCCCCTTCCTGCACTCAGCTTCCAGAAAGCTGGTAGCTTTTACAATCCAGACAGGGAATTAGAGGTATTCCTTCTGAGGAAGACCCTCCCCAAGAAAAGTCCTACAGATAACTGTCCCCCAACGAAACAGCTTATTCTCCACCAGATTACTCTATACTGAGACCTACCAGTGGCAAGCTCCCATGCTATCCATACACATATACACATATTCCAATCAGTTTCTCAGTGACTTACTCTTAAATATGAACGACTACCAAGGACCACCATACATCTGAGAAAAGCCTCTGGCATGAAAGATGGAGGCAAGACAAACAGCAAGAAAGAAACTGAGGAAACTGAGCTGATGACAGAAATAGAAGCACTGCTGGAGCCAGGACTAATAGGCTCAAAGAGATCAGAGAAACCATTGCATCTTGAAACAAGAACAAGAGACTGTTGAAAAAACATGCAGAGCTATGAGAGATGAAAAATATAAAAGATTATTGTTGTTTTTAAGACAGGATCTCACTCTGTTGCCCAGGCTAGAATGTGATGGTGTGATCTCAGCTCACTGCAGCCTTGACTTCCCAGGCTCAAGTGATCGTCCCACCTCAGCCTCCCTAGCAGCTGGGACTACAGGCCTAGGCCACCACATCCAGCTAATTTTTATATATTTTGTAGAGACAGGGTCTTACCATGTTGCCCAGGCTGGTCTTGAACTCCTGGGCTCAAGCAATCCACCCACCTTGGCCTCCCAAAGTGCTGGGATTACAGGCATGAGATGCTGTGCCCGGCCAAATACAGCAGATTTTTTAAAACTCTGAATAATGGAGTTAGAGGTCAAAGTTAAAGAAATTTCTCAGAAAACAGCAACAAAGAAAAAAAGACAAGACGGAAAATAAAACAGAATACATAGGAAAAAGAGCCATTTCAGAAAGAGAGAAAATGGAGGGAGGAAATCATGAAACACGAAAATTTGCCAGAATTGAACAACATGAGCTCCCACATTGGAAGTTTCTGCTAGTGTCCAGCCAGTGGATGAAGTCACAGCTGCATCAATTCAACACATGGTATTTCAGCCTGCTGGAGAGAAAGAGAAGAACTGAAAAGCTTCTAGGGAAGAGTGTGGGAATAGGATAATAAGACGTGATCTAGAATCAATATGGCATAAGACTTCTCAACAGCAACACCAGAATCCAAGAAACACTGAAACTGTACCTTCAAATGCTGAGTGCAAATGGTTTCCAAGCTAGAATTCCATACCCAGCCAAACTATCAGTCAAGAGTGAGGATCAACTAAAGATCTTTTTGACACAAACGGTCTAAAAAAATTTAACCCTGATAACTCCCTTCCCAGGAAACTACTTGAGGATGTGCTTCACTAAAACAAAGGGAAAAATGAAAACAGGAAGGAGGAAGACATTGGATCCAGAAAACAAGGAAAGCAACACAGGAAAAAGAAGGATTTCAGGATGATGGTGAAGAGAGATTCCAGGATCACAGCTGAGCAGGAGACCCAAACAGCACCCAGAACAGACAAGAGCAGGACAGAAGGCCCTAGGAGACACATCTTCATGAGGATGAAATTGAAGGAACACCCAGGGTTCTAAAATACTGAGGAGATTTATGCTTCCAGCAGTGAATCAGGAAACAAATTAATCATCAATACATAGAAAGTTTAGGCAAATTGAAAAAGAGATATTTATTCCAAGGAAATTTAATATAGTATAAAATGTAATATAGTATAATATATGATTTGACTATGAATAACATTTAAATAGTCATGATAATGTAAACATTTATTTAACAAAAATATGAATATATTGAGAAGGTGGGAAGAAGATATTTTAAAAAGAAGTGGGGAAGGGCAATGCTGTATAACAGATCTACATCCTCATCCTTCACAGCCAGAAGTCAAGCAATTAAAAACTGAAACAGAAAAACCAAACAGTAACAAGGTAAAGCCTGTTATTTAGAAGTAAGGAGACAAATCCCAAAAGAAACAGCTGAAGTTGAAAAGGGGAGGCAGGAACAGAGCTGTGGTATCCAGTCTAGGGATGGCTTTTTCATTAAAAAAAAAAAAGTCTTATTCACAATAGCAAAGACTTGGAACCAACCCAAATGTCCATCAATGATAGACTGGATTAAGAAAATGTGGCACATGTGCACCTTGGAATACTATGCAACCATAAAAAAGGATGAGTTCATGTCCCTTGCAGGGACATGGATGAAGCTGGAAACCATCATTCTAAGCAAACTATCACAAGGACAGAAAACCAAACACCACATGTTCTCACTCATAGGTGGGAGTTGAACAATGAGAACACATGGGCACAGGGCGGGGAACATCACACATCGGGGCCTGTCAGGGGGTGGGAGACTGTGGGAGGGATAGCATTTGGAGAAATACTTAATGTAAATGATGAGTTGATGGGTGCAGCAAACCAACATGGCACATGTATACCTATGTAACAAACATGCATGTTGTGCATGTGTACCCTATAACTTAAAGCATAATAATAAAAAAAAAAGTCTTGGCCGGGTGCCATGGCTCACGCCTATAATCCCAGCACTTTGGGAGGCCAAGACAGGCAGATCACGAGGTCAGAAGATCGAGACCATCCTGGCTAATACGGTGAAACCCTGTCTCTACTAAAAATACAAAAGAAAATTAGCCGGGCATGGTGGTGGGTGACTGTAGTCCCAGCTACTTGGGAGGCTGAGGCAGGAGAATGGTGTGAACCTGGGAGGTGGAGCTTGCAGTGAACTGAGATCGCACCACTGCACTCCAGCCTGGGCGACACAGCAAGACTCTGTCTCAAAAAAAAAAAAGGCTTATGATGTTATACATACATAACTTTTTTAAATTTAAATATTTAAAATATGGAAGGCATCCAGGAAGAAGGAATGGCAACTGAGAGGTATGGGTCATATCTCAGTCAGGTAGGGGTGACTCGGGGGTTTGGAGCTGGGAGGGACAGGAGGACACCAAGCTGGGTTGAGACTGAAGGCTGAGTGCTGGAGGGGAATGGGATCCATCGCCGGCTGTTAAGCAGGGGAGTCCTGATCTCACCCTTGTTCTTGATCCTGACCACATTCTGGTGGAAATCATTCAGTGGAAATTGAATGTGGATGAGATTGACTCTCAAGGGGACCCAGTTAGGCTGTGCCCAGGTCTAGGGAGAGAGGAAGAAGATCTGAACATGGCAATGGCCATGGGGCAGCAGGTGTTTCCTAGGGTGCTCATCAGCACGCAATTCACCAGCTGAGGGGAATGAGGAAGGAGGAGTTGATGGGGTGTGAGGAGAAGCAGGCTGGGAGAAGGAGGATTTCAGGTCTGACGAGGACATCGTTCTCAAGGCAGATACCACTCCCTTCCACCCTCCAATGTAGAAACTGTGTGCAGATGTGGGGGAGCCCATGGGTAGAGTTAAGATTCAAGCGTGGGAGTCTTCGGGTTAAAATACCTGAAAAGGTAGAGTGGTGTTAAAAGAAAGGCATGGACTTTGCAGACAGACAGAACTGAGTTTGAGCTCCAGCCGTGCCACTTACTATCTGCATGATTTTACGCAAGTTACTGAAACTCTGAATTCTGGGGGTTGTCAAATTCCAAAATGGGCCTGACCACACCCACCTCACAGGGTTGCAAGGGCAACCTCGTAAAATAACCTCTGTAGAATGCCTCCATGGTGTCAGTCAGCACGTGTGGACACTCCCCCATCCTGTGTCCCACCTCCCACTTCCATAGAGCATGGAGGTCTTCCAGGAAGAGCCTTCAAGATCTTCTGAGATTTGTCCCATTTCCCACATCTCTCAGGCTGTGAGGCTCCAGGAGGTTTCTGGAAAGCACCTGCAACTCCCCTCCCATCAGTTCAAGAACAGAGATCACACAGGTTTGCATCAACCAGAAAGTCAGCTTTATTAGCCCATCACCAGTAGAGGAGCAGGGAGACAGCTGGGAACTGCGCTGGGAGAGCAGGGTCCTGACCCAGGCCTTCAGGAGGTGAGGCCAGCTGGTGGGCAGGAGGCTGTGGTAGAGGCAGCTCAGTTCTAGGAGCACTGGCCCTGGCTGAAGCTGGATGAGCCCTGCTCCTTGAGGATGGGCCAGGTCTGACGGCTCGAAGAGGACGAAGAGGAGGTGAAGACTGTGGGAGAGAGAAGAGGAGGTGAGAAGGGGTCTGAGAGCTAAGCCAACTCCAGGGCAGGGAGAAGGGAGAGCTGGGAGCTCTCAGGAGAAGGGCCTGGCCCCCACTCCATGGAAACAGGCAGAGGGGTTGCAGTGCCGGGGAGCCTCAGGAGCCTTACCCACTCGGGAAGAACAGGATTGGCCAGATGCGTGTGGGGAGGAAAGGCTGTGGGTGAGAAAAGGCAGGGCAGTCAGTTGTGCTGAGAGCAGCAGGGGGGCTAAAGGGTCTGGGAGGCAGAACTGAGGGGCCTGGGACTCACTGGGCGTCCTCGCCCTCCAGCAGGTGGCGGTAGGTGGCGATCTCCTGCTCCAGCCGTGTCTTCATGTCCAGCAAGATCTGGTACTCCCGGCTCTGCTGCTCCATCTCACAGCATAGCTGGGCCAGCTGCTCCTCCACACTGCCAATCAGTCCCTGGATCTGGGACAGCTGCATGCAGTGGCAGCCTTTGGTTTCCTCCAGGCTGTTCTCCAGGGACGCTTTCTGCAAGTGAGAGAGAGAAAAAGAGTCAATGGAGGTGGTCACTCCTGTCCCTCCAGGTCTCTGGGCATGTTTTTTGAGAGGTGCCTGGATTTTGATCCCAGTTGGGGTACTGATGGGCCAGACAATATAGAGAAATGCTAGCCCACTATTCTAGGGCTAGTTTCTCTATCTATATAACAGGTCCCGTGAGTCCTCTGGTCCCATCCTGAGAAAAGAAAGGTGGAACTAAATTGTGGCTTGTTGAGGGGGTGGTGGCCATTACTGGTGACCTGGGGGCTGCTGCTGTGCCGGGTCCTTCATACTATGCTGAGCTGGGACTGCAGCTCCATCTCCAGGCCCTGGAACACCCTCTGGAGCTCCGTCACCTCACTGCGGCTGCTCTGTACCAGTTCACTGCTGGAGGCCACTTTTTTGTTCAGCTCCTTGGTCTGAGACAGGAAAGCAGAGTGAAAGGTGAGGCTCTCCCAAAGCCCCCAGCTGGGAAGTGCTGCAGGCCCACTGAGGGCCCAAGCCCCACCTTGCTCAGGAACCAGGCCCAGCATCTCTGTGGTTGTGCTTTGCCATCTGCTCGTACTGGTTGCGCATCTCATTCAGGATGCAGCTCAGGTCCACGCCAGGTGCGGCATCCGTCTCCACGTTCACTTCTCCACCGGTCTGACCTCGCAGAGCAAGCATCTCCTGGGAAGGGATGGCAGGAGGCGGTCAGCTCAGCAGACTCCTCTCCTGGCCCTGGGTGCATCTGGCAACCCCACCAAACCAGCCTCCCATCCCGGAAGCCAGCAGCAACCACACCTCCTAGTGGTTCTTCCTCAGGTAGGCCAGCTCCTCCTTCAGGCCTTCTATCTGCATCTCCAGGTCAGTCCTGGCCAGGGTCAGCTCGTCCAACACCCGGCACAGGCCATTGACGCCAGCCTCCACAGTCAGCCGCAGGGCCAGCTCGTGCTCCTAACTGGCAGGACAGAGGTCAGGTCCTTAGGCTGCAGCCCTGAGGATTCTGAGGCTCGGGGTCTGCTGGCCCTGCTGGGTGGACAGCTCCACTCTTTGTCCCTTGCCCTCTGCCCCCAGCCCACCATGCTGGCTGCTCACTTGGTCCTGAAGTCATCAGCTGCCAGCCTGGCATTGTCAATCTGCAAAATGGGCTGCGCATTCTCAATGGTGGCCGCAATGATCTGGAGTGGGGATGGAGGACAGGAGCCCTGGTCAGGCAAGGACCTTACTACTTGAGCGTGAAAGGCAGAAAGGGGCAAAAGGAACCTCCTCAAATCTGGAAGTCTTCTGGCTGGCAGGGCTGGCATGCCTTCTCCACCAGCTCAGGGTATGCAGGGATGCACTCCATCCCGATCACCCCCTTCCTGGGCCCAAGGCAGGGAAGCGGAACTTGCAGCTGAACCCTTGCAGGAAATAAGAGATTCAGGGTAACAGCCCCAGTCCGGGCACAGAGATGCTGAAAAGGGACCCTCTGCCACCACTTCCCTGGATGATCCTGGCTACTCCCCAAAGGTGCCCAGTCTCCCTGTTTGTAAAGTGCAATTGCTAAAAAGAGGTATCCCAAGGGACACTATAGCCCCAGCCTCTCTCAGTGCTCCATACACCAAAGTCACCCACCTTGTGCCTCAGGTCCTCGATGGTCTTGAAGTAGGGACTATAGTCTTTGATCTCACTGGGCCGCTGCCTCTGGTACCAGTCACGGATCTTCACTTCCAGGTCGGCGTTGGCCTCCTCCAGAGCACGCACCTTGTCTAGGTAGGAGGCCAGGCGGTCACCGAGGTGCTGCATGGTCACCTTCTCACTGCCCACCAGAAGCCCATCACCACCAGCAAAGCCACCACCCAAGCCAGCACCCAAGCCACCACCGAAGCCAGCACCAAGGCCACCACCATATCCTCCCCCAAAGCCACTAGCAAAGCTGCTGCTGCTGCCGAAGCCACCGCCATAGCCGCCCCCCAGCCCGCAGGCTCCCCCAAAGGAGAAGCGAGAGAAGGAGACACACAGGCCCCCCCGTAGGTGCTGGGGGCATGGCAGGACCCTCCGGCCAGGACAGAGGAGATGCGGCTGGAGCCGCCCCCGATGCTGCCCCCGATGCTGCAGGAGCCCTTCATGGATCTGGAGGAGGTGAACTGGTGGCTGCAGGTGCTCATCGTGCCAAGGAGGGAGGTGAGCGAGCGAGCAGTTGGCTGAAAAAAGGGAAGGTGCTCAGGAAGGCTAAGAGCATGCTGTGGCTGCCTCCAACCCCAGAGACCTTTATATGCACCTGGGGAAGGCGGGGCCCTCCTAACTGCTGACTCCAGGTTCCCCTCTGGATTTCATCACTCCCAGTCCCGTCCAACTCCTCACTCTGGATTATTCAGCCCAGGATCAACTCCGCTGTGTGCTGGCTCAGAGTTCCCACCCAGCTTTGAGAGTGTGGAGCTGAGAGAAAAACACACAAATGCGAGTCGGTGGTGACTCAGGCTAGGTGGCCGGGAATCAGGCTCCCGTTCCTGGAGCCCTTGGGGCCAGTGGGGCCTTGGCACAGGTGGCTTTGTGGCAACTGCGTCCCCAGGCAGTGAGTCAGCCCTTCAGAAGAACTCCCTGCCCCACAGTGACAGCCTTGGCTGAAAGAGACCTCAGTGATGCCATCCTGGGCTGTCTTGGGGAGCAGTTGCGGGGATCCTACATGTCCCACTCTGGGCAGGGGCAGAGTTCGTGTCTTCACTCTGCTTGCTGTGTGGCCTGAGGCTCCCCACCTCCCACCTCTGGGCCTGTTTCCCCTCAGTGGTGACCAGGCTGGACTGGGTGATTGCAGAGTCCCTTCTGGTTCTAAAAATCCTATGACTCTCTTTCCCCTCTTGGATCTAATTCCAGTTCCGGAGGCTGCCTTGAGCCCCCGGGATCTCCAGAAGTGTGTGCACCATACAAACAGCACTGGCCATGGAGCCAGACAGGCGGCACTGAGTCCCTGCTCTGCCCTTACCAGCTGTACAGCACAGGCTGGTCTTACAGCCCCTTGGTCCTCAGTTTTCTCATCTGTAAAAGGGGATGACACACCACTAGCCACAAAGAAACATGTGCGAAGCGCCCCACTGGCCCTTCCCCAAGGGCCAGCCCTGCCCCTCATCCTCCTCATCCTCCCCCTCCAGCCACCTGCTCCTCACACTCACCTCTACACACTGGCACCCTCCCGAACCGCTACGCGGGGCCCTGCGTCCCCCACACTCCCAGCAGAAGAACACCACAGCCCCACACCTAGCTCCTCCACTCCTCTACCGCCCTCTCCTAATCACAGGCACCCCACCTGCAGGCCGGTGGGAGGGAGCCCCGTCCTGCCACTGCAGCCAAGTGTGACCCCTGACCCCGCCGTGGGCCTCAGAGTTCCCCCCTACCCTGTAGAAACAGGACTGGCTGGGGATCCGTTCCCAGCAGTTCTCTCTCCTGTGTCCACAGATCCCACGCTGGGCCTGGCAGCTCCATTCATCCAGCTGAGCTGGGGGAGAGCACCGGTCATGGGCCCACTCAGGCACGCATGGAGAGCCTGGTGTGTGTTGTACGGTTCTGTGAGCAGGGATGACGGGGGCGTTATTCCTGCCACCAGTCCTCAGGTGAGGGAGCTGGGATTCAGGGAGGATAAGTGGGCTTCCCAAGACACCAGGCACTGGAAGCTGAGATGTGAACCTGCCTGCCTGTTCTCCTTGCCTAAGCCTGTTCTGTCATCCTGAGCCCTCTCTCTGTGCATCTCAAATTTATATCATTTTCTTGATCAGAGGGGACAGAGGGGTAACCAGAGACAGGTGGAGATTCACTCAAAGTCACTCTGCTTTAAGCTGCAGAGCTGCAACTAGAACCCAGACCTCAGCCCTCTCCAGGCTCCCACCATGCCTGCAGGCGGGGCCAGTATACCCAACTCTCACCCACCTCCCCACGATCACTGGCATGAGGTCTGCCCAGGGTGGGCGTGGCCTTGGCCTGAGAGGCTGGTGCAGCACCGAGGACTGGAGGGAGGAGGAGGGATCTGGGCACCAAGACGGGGCCTCCTCAGGGTGCCGTGGGGCATCCCTTGGTGCTGGCCACTGGCCTTGCTCTGCAGTGCCTCTGTTGAGGTGAGGAGCCCAGAGACAGCCTGCCTCTGCCTGGGCTCCACTGGGGCAGGCAATTCCTTGTCTCAGCAGAACCAGGGTTTTGTTGCTGCTACATCTCCCCTGGTCACTCTGGGATCAGAGGTAAGAGCAGAATGGATGCACATGCCTTCAGAGCCAAACCTGGGAGAGGGAACCCGACACTCCCCACCTGAAGGGGTGGCCTGCCCCTCCACACCTGTGGGTGTTTCTCGTGGGGTGGGATGAGAGACTGAGAAAAGAAAGAGACACAGAGACAAAGTACAGAGAAAGAAAAATGGGCCCAGGGGACTGGCGCTCAGCATACAGAGGACCCACGCTGGCCCCAGTCTCCGAGTTCCCTCAGTATTTATTGATCATTATCTCTACCATCTCTACCATCTCCCAGAGGGGGATGTGGCAGGACAATAGGGTAATAGTGGGGAGAGGGCCAGCAGGAAAATGTGAACAAATGTCTCTGTGTCATAAACAATGTTAAGGAAAAGGTGCTGTGCTTTGATGTGCACATACATAAACATCTCGGTGCATTAAAAAGCAGTGTTACCGCCAGCATGTCTCACCTCCAGCCCTAAGGCGGTTTTCTCCTATCTCAGTAGATGGAATATACAATCGGGTTTTACACCGAGACATTCCATTGCTCAGGGATGAGCAGGAGACAGACGCCTTCCTCTTATCTCAACTGCAAAGAGGCCTTCCTCTTTTACTAATCCTCCTCAGCACAGACCCTTTACGGGTGTCGGGCTGGGGGACGGTCAGGTCTTTTCCCTTCCCATGAGGCCATATTTCAGACTATCACATGGGGAGAAACCTGGCTTTCCTAGGCAGAGGTCCCTGCGGCCTTCCTTCCGCAGTGTTTTGTGTCCCTGGGTACTTGAGATTAGGGAGTGGTGATGACTTTTAACAAGCTAGCTGCCTTCAAGCATTTGTTTAACAAAGCACATCCTGCATAGCCCTAAATCCATTAAACCTTGAGTCGACACAGGGCATGTTTCTGCGAGCACAGGGTTGGGGTAGGGTTACAGATTAACAGCATCTCAAGGCAGAAGAATTTTTCTTAGTACAGAACAAAATGGAGTCTCTCATGTCTACTTCTTTCTATATAGACACAGTCCGTATAGAAAGAGACACTGATCTCTCTCTTCCCCACACCCACCCCCACCCCAAAGAGGGACAAAGGGGACCCCGGAATCTTGGACAAAAACCTCAGCGTTCAGGTGTCAGGGTGGGCCTGGAGTTCCAGTCCAACCACAGACCCATCACCCTCAGAACTGAAAATGGTCTTCAAGGTCACCAAAGGCTATCAATACCCCAACCGGAGAGGGCGAAAGCCTTATCCAGGTTAAGCAGCACAAAAGTGAGAGAGCACAGACCGGAGCCAGCTCCAACTCCCAAGCCAGGATTCACACCGACTCTCACAGTGGAGTCTCCGAGAACTCTTCACTCTCTGCCCCCACCGTGTGTGCGTGCACACACACCCCTTTCTCATTGGCTCACTGCCCCCCGCCAAGTTCCCCATTCCAGGAGGTGTCAGGGTGGGATTATACACAAGCCCAGCACTGCAGACCTGAGGATCTGCGTGGGCTGAGAAGCTGCAGGAAGTTGCTGACCAACGCGCCAAACTGCTCAGCCAACTCCATAGATCACGCAGCTGCTGTGTGCACAGCTCTCGGGGGCTGGGGGTGAAGAGGGAAATGATGACGTAGTCTCTGACCTTAGAAGAACTTATCATTTGACCCTGGAGGGAAAACTAACGCTGGAAAATGCAGAACCTGGCTAGAAACCCTAGGGTGCTGGGCTTGCCTGCCACGCCCACACCACCGGAGGCAGCTGGGGTAAGCATTACCCCGCTGAGCCTCAGCAGTAGAGGAGGGGGCTGCCCTCCTGGCCTTGATCCCTGAAAGGGTCCCAGCAGAGGGAGGCACCAGCAGGGCCTCAGAGGATCTGAGTTGACAGAAGAGGAGGAGGCGTTTCCTCTGCATCAGTGATGCACACTTGCCCCAAGGTGGCCAAGAGCCAGGACCTCTAAGCCTGGTGAGCATAGAGAAGCCCAGTGGGCATCCTCCAGGCAGAGGATTCCTCCCCGCACCCTGCCTCCTTCCTCCCTCCTTCGTCCTGCCCATGTCAAGCATGAGGCGGAGATCATAGCATACCTGAGGAGGCCGGGAATCACCATTGGCCAATGCCACGCCTTGGCTTGCAGTGATTCTCCAACCAGACAGATCATCAGAGTCCCCAAGAAGATTCGCAGCCCTGCTCCAACTCCTGCATCAGCACCACTCAGGACAAGCCTGCTGGTGGGGCTGTTTTACAAGCTCCCCAGCCAACTCAGACTGGGAAGGCAGGAGGCAGCTTAGGGGGCTGAGGAGGGGGGCAGAGAAGCTGAGGGGAGAGAGGGGGCTGCTGCAGGGCCCCCAGCCCTGGGTGGACAAGCCAGAGCCACAGGCTTCAGGGCAGGAGGAAGGAAAAGTAGAGCCCCACTGAGCCAGGACAGAGCAGCCTGGAATCGGGGCAAGCAGGGGCAAAACCTTGGGCAGGATATTCAGCCTCTCTGAGCCTCAGTTTCCTTGTCTGGGAAATGGGAATAACAGCCCTGCGTCACAGGCATATTAGGGGATTTGAGGCCAAATAAATAAAGCACCTGGCAAAGGCTGGTGGCTAGCGTTATGTTTATGAGCAGGTGTTTATAAAGCACCTACTGTGTGCCTGACACTGTGCTGGGCACTCAGACTCAAAGAACAAGACAGAGAAGCCCTGGAGACATAGTCTTCTGGGGGAGAAGGTGGTAAAGACAATCCCAATACACTAAAGTCAGGCCACGATGGGGTGCTGGGGCCCTGCAGAGAAACAGAGGGAGCAGGGTTCCTGGGGGAGAACGAATGTCCAGGCCCAGGCTCTGCCCCTGTGACGGCTCCAGGGATCTGGGGAAATCTGTGAGTGCCAGGCCCACCTTCGGGGGTCCTCTCCCCTCCTGCAAGTTTGACGCCCCCCTTCTGAAGGTGGGGCTGTCATAGCCCTTCACAATCCAACCACAGATCTGCAGCTTCTGCCTTGATGATGGGGTGAAACATTCTGTGCAGTGGGCAGGGTGGCTGTGGACGAACTGTGAGTCCTTCCATGAGTCCCATAGCTGGGTCCCCAGTCCAGCCCAGGCACATGTCCTCAGCAGCCTGGACCCACTTGGGGTGCCTGTTCTGCACAAACAAGGGGCCCGGACTCCTGTATGAGTCTCAGGAAACCCCCAAGAGGGGCTCCCATTGCCCCCACCCCAGGAGTGTGAGCGGGAAGCTGGTGCCTCCAGGGAAGGCTGCAGACCCCAGGGGTTGTGGGAGAAAGAGTGGGCCTCTCTCAGGGATGTTTCTTCAAATGGTCACTACAGCTCAGGGTGAGGACGGGTCTCTGTCAAGCTCAGTTATCCCCTCGGCTCTGTGCATGTGGGGAGACCTGCCTGGCTCTGCTCCCTCTGTTCCCCTCATCTCCCCAAAACCTTGGTTGCCACAATAGACCCACACTGCATAAGGGCTGAGGGACTGTTGTCAGTCCCTCAGGTCCCCTTGGGGCAGGCACTGTCTCTTGGGGTCAGGACCGGTGTCTCCTCCTTTCCCTGGACTCAGTGCAAACCAGACGCAGAGCGATGTCATGCCATGGATGAGTGTCCCCCACCACATCCGTCTCCGTAGAAGACATGCTGCCAGGTCAACCCCTGCAAGGGGGGTCCGGAGGCAGCTACCACTGGCATGGGTCTGGCCTGAGAGTCTTATATGTGTGTCCATCACACGAGACCAGGTGTGGCAGCTCTACAGGGTAACCACATATCCGCAGCTTCTGCCTTGAGGACATTCTGTGCAGTGGGCAGGGAGTGTGTGGACGAACTGTGAGTCCCTCCTTGAGTCCCATAGCTGGGTCCCCAATCCAGCCCAGGCACATGTCCCCAGCATCCTGGGCCCACTTGGGGTCCTTGGACAAAGTCACTCAAGTCTCCCCACCAGCCCCTGGCAACCACTGCCTCTACTGGCTCAGCTCTCTGGGCACACCGGGGGGCTCCCCCATTCTGGCCTCCTGAGCCTCCCACCCACTCACTTTGTGGAGAAGGGCTTCTTCCCCAGCAGAGGGGCACAGTCTGGGGCTGTCTCTGGTCCTTCCCACACTCTGACCCCTCCTCACTCACGCCATCAGTAATTGTGGACCCCAGGCTCTACAGGAGGGAGAGATAGCCCTGCCTGGAGCCTGAGGTGGGGGAGGAGCTGGGGCTTGGCTCCTCTTCCCAGCACGGAAGCGGGGCCCACTCCCCTCCCGTGCCCGTCTCCACTACTGACCCCTCAGGCTGTGGGACAAGGGCTGAGTCACTGCTCCTTGGAGCCTCAGTGTCCCCATCCACACAACAAGGCGCCTTCCCCTAGACCCTCCCTGCTTCCGGGGACTATTCAGACAAATGAAGTCACCCTCCAGAATGAGCCATCTGCAGCCCAGGGCTGTTCTTCTGGTTGTGGCGGGGTGTATGGTGGGGGCCTGGTGCAAACAGTGCCTCCCTCCTGCCCTCCATGGCCCCACATTTGCTGCCAGAGAGCAGGGAGACGTCAGCCTCCAACGGAGCAGAGCTTGCCCTTGCTTTGAGTCGTGCAGATGCCGCTGCAGGTGCAAGTCCCCGACTCCAGGCAGCCATCTACCCTGCAGAGAGAAACACTCTCCCGGGATGTCATAGCTCCAAGGTCCAGGGAGGGCTTGTGACCAGCCCAAAGTCACCCATACCCC
This sequence comes from Homo sapiens, assembly GCF_000001405.40. Lineage (NCBI taxonomy): Eukaryota > Metazoa > Chordata > Mammalia > Primates > Hominidae > Homo > Homo sapiens. Next base: position 18,433,282 of record NC_000017.11, on the reverse strand, counting down.
AGTGGTCAGTACCCACCCCCATCCCTGGCCTCTGCCAGTCCCAAACCCCCACCAACCCAGGCTCAGAGGGCTCTGGTCACTCCCATTCTCCTCGGACCTGGGCCCCACCCCCAGCCTCCAGGCACCAGGAGAGAGAGGGTGTTTGGGGGCCTTGGTCTGATTCCGCAGCAGCAGAGACACCACAGGTCCAGCAGTGAGGACGTGGAGGCACCCTCCTCCCACTAACCCCCTGCTTGAAGAAAACCAGGAAAGCAGGCCAACCCACCTGGCAGTTTCCAGATTTACTACAAGGAAGATTTCCAGGTGTCAGGCTCACCTCCCACAGACTGCTCCCCACAGCCACGTTTGCTGCCACCAGCAAGAGCTGGCGTTGGTCAGCTCATAGAGGGTGCCGGGAGTGGCTGGAGCAGGACTGTTCCTTCTCATTTTCCTAGGAGGCAGTTTCTACCCTCCCTCACACCACCCCTGTCCCTAGTGGGGAACCAAAGAGGATCCAGACCGCCAGGGAGAGTGGCACTGCTCCCTGGGCACAGCCACCCCATCTGCAGTGCCCCCCACTCTGCCCTGTCCGCATCCTGAGCAACAGCTGACCATGTGAGGAAACATCCTTGAGAGAGGCCCCACCCTTTCTCCCATACCTGCCTGGGGTCCGCAGCCTTCCCTGAAAACACCACCCTCCCGCTCACATTCCCAGGGCAGAGGCAATGGGAGCCCCTCTTGGGGATTTCCTGAGACTCACACAGGAGTCGGGGCCCCAATCACCCAGCCTGCCTCCCCCACCCACCCTCCCTTTGTGCTTATCCCAGCCCTTGCCCACCTCCTGCCCCATCTAGGGGGAGGGCACAGCCCACAGGACAGGAAGGAGCAACTGATTGAGTGAGTCATCTCTGAGGATTCGGGCTCCCACACCTGAGATCTTCCCATCCATTTACGGATGGAAAAGCAAGGCTCAGTCAGGGGAAGTGACTGCCTAACTTCCCGAGGTCACAGAGTTACTCACAGGGCAAGCAGTGGCGACCTAGGACCACACCTGATACACCGCCTCCACCCCGGGTCTAGCGCAGCCTGGACCACCCCCTGAAAATCTCCAGCCCTTGGGAGATGCGAGCACCCCCCTCCAAACTCTCCCCAGACTTACTCTTTATGCTGGTCTAAGCTGACCTCTGACCTGCCAGTCAACAACGGGGTCTCCACGCACCATCTCCCCCCACCCTCACTCCTTCCCATTTCACCCTTTTGTCCCCAGTGCCCACTTCAGCGGCCAGAACAAGGACACATTTCATAGCTGAGTCAACGAGCTTTATTGTCATCACGCAGGGAAGCATGGCGAAGGGACTGAAGCAGGGGGCTGAGGGTGGAGAGGCCGGAGACCGCGGGGCAGATGGGACCGCTGCCTCCCTGCCTCCTGGGGGGCCGGCCGGGAAAGCTGAGTCCTCAGCGGGTGGTCTGGCGGACCTGCTCGCGGGAGGAGATGACCTTACCATCCTGGACCTCTTCCACAATGGTAGGCACCTGACAGGTGGTCACCGCTGCAGGAGAAGCAGGCAATTTAAAGTGGGTAGGGGCCAGGAGGCCCTCGCTTGCCCCCTAGCCCTCATGGACAGGAGCCGGCTCTCTCCCTCGTCCTCCCCCAGGTGCTGTGAGTGCCTCCACTGGCACCTCAACATCACACTGCACACACATCCCTCCTGTCCCTGCCACCGCCTCCCTTCCATCCCATCCCTCTGCCGGTGGCCCTGTGTGAGTCTTGCCTCCGCAGATGGGTTATTTGATTCTGACCCAGTGTGTCCTGCCAGGGAGGAGCCATGTAGACTCCATGAAATCCATCTCCATTTCTCTGCAGTCTCCAGGGCATAGATTTGCTCCCATCTCCCCCATCAGACTGGGATCGCCAAGACAAAAACCAGGCCCCTATCTCCTCCATTAGACTAGGAACCCTGGGGCTAGCATCATATCTTCTCCATCAGACTGGAATTTGGAGGACAAGGAGCATGTCCCTATTTCCCATCAGGCTAGAGTCCCCAGAGACAGGACTGCTTTCGCTCATCCAAAAGCTGTCAAGAGCATAGATCATGAGACCATGTTCCTATCTTCCCATCAGATGACAATCTCCAGAGGTGGGACCTGTCTCCTCCATCAGACTAGGATCTCCAAGGTAAGGACCAGTTCCCTGGCCCACCCCATCAGACCAGACAGCATCTCTCTCATTTGATCTTTTCCTGAGTATCAATCCTCAGTGCTAACGGGTCACTTCTCCCACCCCTGCTGAGGGACAGCCATCAACTCCTAGAACTCCTGGGGACCCAGCTCCAGCAACGTGCAGGTGGGCTGCCTGTCCCATGCACCCAATCCCCAAGGCCTCAGCCACCAAGATGCTTATGTTCTTTCTTGTACTGAGTCAGGCTGAAAGAAAAAAAAAACAGAGAGGAAATTAGATGTGAGTCTGAGAGCCCCACCCCTGCCAAGAGGCCCCCAGCCCTGACCCCAGGCTCCCCCACTCACTGGGCATCCTCGCCCTCCAGCAGGCGGTGGTAGGTGGTGATCTCCAGCTCCAGCCGCATCTTCATGTCCAGGAGGATCTTGTACTCCTGGTTCTGCTGCTCCATCTCGCAGAGAAGCTGGGCCAGCCGCTCCTCCACACTGCCGATCAGTCCCTGGATCTGGGACAGCTGCATGCAGTAGCGGTTCTCTGTCTCCGCCAGGTTGCCCTCCAGGGATGCTTTCTGCAGGAGGGCAGGAAGACCAGGGGTCAGTGAGGGTTGTCAGTGTCCTCTTCTGGGCCCATCCCCATGCACAGGACTGTTCCTACCATGCTGAGCTGGGACTGCAGCTCGATCTCCAAGGCCTGCATGGTGCACCGGAGCTCCGAAATCTCGCTCTTGCCGCTCTGGACCAGCTCACTGTTGGTAGCCACCTCGCGGTTCAGCTCCTCTGTCTGCAGACAGAACACAGGACAGGGTGGTGTGAGCCTGGATCCCTCTCCTCAGTCAGGCCTCCTCCCAAATCTAACTGTGGACAGAGTGATGCCTTCTCACCAGCTTCCCACGTCCCAAAGCCCAGAAACATGCCATTTGAAATGTTAACTTTTTATGGTTAATCCCTGCGTGTGGGAGGCACAGACCGGAAACTTGAGAACCAGCCAGAACATGTAGCCTGGCTCTTGGTGCTAGTTTCTGACTTCTTGAGAGAGAGGTGGGGACTCCCAAGGTCTTTACCCTCTGCCTTTATTCTGTGGGGGCTCCCTAGCTCCCCACTCACCCCCCAGATCCCAGCTTGAGCTCAGCTCCAGGTCTGTTGATGCAGTGGGTGACCCTGTGGTCCATGCAGCTTGCTGAGGAGGGAGCATCTCCAAGACACCTGTCCGTGGGCCTACTGTCAGTGCTAAGGCCCCTGAGCCCCAGCCCCGAAGAGAGACCTCTGGCCTGCAGCAGCTCCCACCTTGCTGAAGAACCAATCCTCGGCATCCTTGCGGTTCTTCTCTGCCATCTTCTCATACTGCTCACGCATCTCGTTCAGGATGCGGCTCAGGTCCACACCTGGGGCAGCGCCCATCTCCACATTGATCTCACCGCCCACCTGGCCTCGCGGGGCGTTCATCTCCTATGGAAAAAGGGGATGTGGATGTGCGCATCTGGACCCATCCTGATCTCTCACTCCCAAGCCTTCCCCCACGAGGTGACCCCATTCCCCACAAGGACCCCTCCTTTGTTCTTCCTCTGCTCTATCTGACCCTCTAAATGATTTTTATTCATCTGCTCAGTATTGCCTCCACCATCAGACTCTATCTCCCCCATTAGACCAAGGGCTCTCCAAAATAAAATCTAATTATTAGGCCTATGCCCCAAAAATTTCCCCTCTAATTTCCAAGCTTCTGTGTAGATGTTCAGCTTTGAGAGTTTGAAATGGGACAAGAAGGAGACTTCCTTACTTATCCCCTGCCCTCATCAGGGAGGCCAGGGCAGGTAGAGGGAGCCTCTGCGGGCCCCTGGGAGGTTCCTTGGGTACAGAGAAGCAGTGTGGTACAAAGAGGAGTCTGCCCTGCACGCTGGACCCCAAGGATCAGGGCTCCGCAGACAGGGAAGCCCTCTAAGGTGACTAATCCCAGTGCGCCTGCTGTGCTCTCTCGCACGGCCTCAGCCATGGCCCAGCCCCAGGGCTCTGCCACCCACTCCTCAGCATCTTTGACCTTCTGCCCCAGCCACCTCACCTCGTGGTTCTTCTTCAGGTAGGCCAGCTCCTCCTTGAGGTTCTCAATGTGCATCTCCGGGTCGGCTCTGGCCAGGGTCAGCTCATCCAGCACCCTGCACGGGCCATTGATGTCGGCCTCCACACTCAGGCACAGGGCCTGCTCTGTCTCAAACCTGCCATGGGAATCAGGGACTTCAGCCCAGGCTGCTTGGAATTGCAGGTCCAGGTCCTGGCTGCTCACCTGCCTTCATTTTGCCAGGACTCTAAGGGGTTGGAAGGGCTGATGAGAGGGTCGAGTGGAAACGAATTCCAGCCCCGGGGCCTTGGGACCATCACAGGGCCAGATCCTACGCCCACCAGCTTCCTTACTTCTCTCTGCCTCCTGCCTCCCCTCCCTCTCTTCTATTCCCTGCCTAAGCCCAGCAACCTTCAGAACTGGCTGCCTTCACTGCATCCTGGACTAAGTAGTGGGGCTCCTAGGATTGCCCCACCCTGAGCTCCTGGGCCTTGCCACAAGCAACCAAGGAGTCCTGGGGTCAGGAGGGGTACCCTGAGATCCTCCCCCAGCTGACCCAGGCTGCCCAAGCCCACAGCTAGGACTCACTTGGTGCGGAAGTCAGCAGCAGCCAGATGGGCATTGTCATTCTGTAGCAGGATGTTGGCATTGTCCACGGTGGCTGTGAGGATCAGCGGAGATGGGAGAGTAGTCAGGTCATCGGATGGGGGTGGCTGAGCCCACACCAGAGTTCTGAACAGATCTTCCTGCCTGGGGGCCTCTCTTCCCGCCCAGCCCCTCCCTTGCCCCGTGCTGTATTATTGGCAGAGGAGGGGCAAGCAGGAGTCTGAAGGGCTCAAAGGTGCCTCTTCTTCCCCCGCTACTCAGTACCCCACCAGACCCCCATGCCAGGCTCAGCCTTAAAGGAGAAGAGACAGCTGGCTGGGAGTATGAGGCAACCAGAAAAGAAAGGGAAAATGTCCCCAGGGCAGAAACTGTCCCAGAATTCTAGAACAAGGGAGGGGATGTGGGCAACCCCCTCGTTTTACAGTCAGCTAGAGGGTGCCCCTGACAGGCTCCCCCAAAAGGAGGCTAAAGGAGCCCTCACCAAAGAGTGGTCCCAAATCAGAAGTCAGGACCCTTCCTAATCCCTAACCCTGGGCTCCAGCCAGCAGCCCCGCCCCCTGCGGTTTGCTGAGCCTGTCTTAAGGGACAGCAGGAGGAAAGGAGAAGCCAGAAAAATCCCCAAATAAGGCACATCAGAGGCCTTCCCCACCCTGAGGTCCCACCCCCTCCTTTCTGCCTCCCACCCGCAGCAGGTGCTATCGGGAGCTCACTCAGACACCCCCACTCCACACCTCCCAAAACCCCTTCCTGCTGACCCCTGCTCCAAAGGAGCAAGACACCACGCATCCAGTGGCCCATGGGCCCAGCCCTCCATCTGCATCCTCCTGCCTCATCCTACAACCTCTCCAGGTGGAGGAGCTCCACGAGGGAGAAACTGAGTCTCCAAGGGGCTCCACGAGGCCTGTTTGTTCCTGACTCAGCCTACTGCCCCCAGAAAAGGGGGATGTGGGCCACACAGGGGCCCCAAGGCAGGTTCCCAGAAGCTAAGCCACAGCCAAACCACCCTTGGCTCCCTGAGACCCTATGGCTGGACTCCAGGCCTTTGGCCAGGGCAGGAGTTGGGGGGAAAAAGTCATGCCCCCCGGAGACCCCTCCCACCAGCAGGCCCTACCTTGTTCTGCAGCTCCTCGATTATCCTGTAGTACTGGCTGTAGTCACGGGCGGGCCCCGGGGCCTGCCTCTGGTACCAGTCACGGATCTTTACCTCCAGCTCAGTGTCGGCCTCCTCCAGGGCACGCACCTTGTCCAGGTAGGAGGCCAGGCGGTCATTGAGGTTCTGCATGGTGGCCTTCTCACCTCCGACCAGCAGCCCATCAACGCCCTCAAAGCTGCTGCTGCCATAGCCACCGCCAGAGCCAAAGCTGTAGCAGCTGGAGTAGCTGCTACCCCCGAGGGCGCTGCCCAGGCCACCAGCAGATCCCGGCCTGCAGGAGCCGGCACCCAGGCCGCCAGACAGCTGGCAGGAGGTGCGGGACGAGCCGCCCCCCAGGCCAGAGGAGCCCTTGATGGAGCTGGAGGAGGTGAACTGGCGGATGGAGGTGGTCATGGTGGCGGCGGCAGGAGGCAGGCACACAGGAGAAGGGCTGGAAAGAAGAGGGGCCCCAAGTAGTGTAGGGCTGCCGGGGTTCACAGGCTTCCTTTATAGGCCACCAAGTGGGCGTAGCGATTACAACAGGCTCCTCTGTTTCCCTTCCCCTGGGCTTTCATCACCACGGGCCACCTGCCAGCTCCCAGGTGGCTGGGGACCCCCTCCCCACCCATCATCAGGAATTTGCCTCATTTCTCCAAATCCTCGTGCTGGGTGCCACGCGTGTGCGTGCCACTGCTCTGAGGCCCGTCACCTGTGATTTGGGCGGGCCCTCCAGCTATGCTTTCCCATGACCTAATATGGGAGAAGAGGAGAATACAGGACTTCACCGTCCCCAGGCCCTCCCAGGCAGCCACCACCCCAGCCCGGCCCACCTCAACCCTGTCTGGTGGGGAAATGGGTTGCAATGTCAGGTGACCACCCCCTGAAGTTGCTGTCTTTCACCCCACACTGCTCCACCCAAGGTGCTGGCCCGGGGCTGGGTGCTGAAGAGAAAGAAGGGACCGAGAGCCTATCCTGCCTTGGAAACTGAGCCCAAACCCACCAGGCCCACCTCACAGCATAGAAATGCCATCAAGCCTCGGAGACCAACCCACATCGCAGATAAAGAAATTGGGGCTCCAGAGGGGTGCAGTGTCCACACTGGCCCCTTCTGCAGAGTCTGACACCCAGGAATGCACTCTAGGGGCTACAGTTCCATCCAGTCAGCTTCTGACCCTGCCCCATCCCTAGAAGCCCTTGCTAACCCAGTCTCCTCGTGTAAACCTTTCCCCAGGTTTACACTCCAGGCTGGGGTGGGCAAACAGGGGCTCAGCTATAGGATGGGGGAAAGGTGGGCCGTGCTAAGAGAGGATCTAAACCAACTGAGAGGGGGATGCCCCCTTCCACTCCTCTCACCCTTCTGTACCCCAAGAGACCTCAGGGTCAGGGGAGGGGCATTTCTCTCAGGTCTCAGCCCACAGGAAACCTAAAGGACATTGCCCAAGAAGAGGCTCTTACAGAGACCCCAGCCAGCCAGCCCCCTCCCCACTCCAGGCTCCCCAAGATGTGGCTCCTCGGGCGGGCCAAGTGCCCCACTCCACAGCCCCACCCTGCCCTGCCCACCACCCCAAGCCCCGCCCTGGGTCCCAGGGTCCTGCCAGGCCCGCTGGGTGGAAGGTGGTCATGTTTCAGACTGCCAATGGCTTCCACTTCCCAGACAGGCCCAGGTAGCCCCACCAGCAGCGGAGAGAGATTCCTCAATAGCCCAGTGGCTGCCAAGCCACCAAAGCAAACAGGACACCCCCCATGCGTACACGCACAGCGGCCACCCTGCCCCACACACACCCCGAGCTGGGCAGAGCCGGTCTGCTTTCCTGGGCTAGCTGCCTCGCTCTCACCCCCTCACTCATCAGTGCCCTGGACCACTCCTTCAGAAGCCCCTCCCCACCGAGCCCCTCTCCTTCTGCTCTTGAACCCACCCTGGGCTGAGGCAGGGAGTGCTCCCCAACAGGTGTGGTCCTTGGAAAGTATGTGTGGCCCTCCCAGGGACCAGCCACAGGTGACAGGGACTCAGGGGCTGATTCTTAGAAACTTTTCCCAATACAAGGGGCTGTCCCTTCCCTCCACCCTTAATCCTTCCTCCTCCTCCCCTCTGGTCTTCTAGGAGCCCCAGGCCTGGATGGAGTGGGCAGAACAGATTGGCAGGTGACAAGCCAATACCCAAACACTCAATAAACTCTCCACCTATCCCAGTCCCTCAGCCCACACTGCCCCAAACCAATGAACAGACCAGATCACACGAGGCATTGAACTTGGAGCAAAGCTTTAATAGCAGGCACTGGACAAACCCAGGAGGCCTCCTCAGTGAGGGGCTGCAGAAAGTAGATACAGAAAGACAACAGGTCATGGACCAGTGCCCAGACGGACACTCGGGGCGTGGCAGTAGCATGCTGGGAGCTGCAGCTGATGGCTGTGCCATGACCCTCGAGGTGGGGCTGTCACAGGCAGAAAGGGGCCTCAGTGGGTGGAGAGATGGACCTGCTTACAGAAGACCACCTCTCCAACCTGGACTTCCTCCACGATGGCACACCTGGTGGCTGGTCACTGTGGCTGCAGGCGATGGAGGAGGGAGGCACAGGGAACATCAGGCAGGAGCTCTTCCCCCCACCTGCCCGAGTCTGTGGTCCCCCCAGTCTCCCACACAGAAGGGTCCTCAGCCTCTCCGCCGCCTTGGGGTCCACACAGCAGGACAGGGCAGCTTCTTACCTTCCCAGGTGGGCTGCGAGGCCAGGGACAAGGAGTACTGAGTGGCCAGCCTGCAGGGAGAGGAGCACCCATCGACCCAGGGATGCCAGCCAGCCCAGGCCCCTGCAAGCACTGCTGGGGAGAAGCAGGCCCTGGCAGAGGAGGTTCCCCTAAATTGGTGAAAAATCACAGTTGGGAATGCACAGAAATTAGCACAGGCCCAAGAATGAAAGGGCAGGGGTTCAGTGCAGCAGGAAGAAGAAAAAGAAACAGCACAGCAGTAGGCCTGGAGGCACTCACCAGGAATTTACAAGGAGAAGCTGAGCAAGTGGTTTTTCCATGTCCCAGAGGACCCAACAAATAGACCCAATTAAAGCAGGAGAGACTGTCGTTAGACTATAGATGGACTTCACCATTTTCGGGGAGCAAAAAGCTGCAACGTGTGACTAAGCATGGAGACTCCAGGACACACTCAGCTGAAGGCCTGATCACCCTTCCCAACTGCAAACCCGACCACCACCCACCATGCTCTTCACCCTGTGGCTGATGGACTCACACAGTCATCGGAACCAGAAACCCAGGGCCATCAATGCCCACTCCTTCATATGTGTTCACCCAACGCTTACTGAGTCCTGACCGTGAGCCACGCTTACCCTGAGATCCAGGCATCCAGTCCTGCTGTTTTGAGCTATAACCTCTCTTCTGCGTGCACCACCTTCCTTCCCCTGCCCCCCCACCCAGCCTCCACCCCGCAAGACTTCTCTGGCCAGACTCCCTGCTCTAGCCCCCTGACGCGTCTCTCTGGCCCCACCCTGACCCCTCTGATCCATTTCTCCCTCTGTAGCCAGAGTGAATGTTCTAAAATATCTTGATGTTCATTCCCTTCTTCTGCTCCAAATCCCTCCATGGCTCCCCATTGCCTACGTGATCTAGTCCAGACGCTTTAACTTGGCAGTCAAGGCTCCTCAGTCAGACTCCAGCCTGCATCGTCAGTTTCACCTCCTGCAAACCCCACAGGTTCCCACATTCACACCTCCTGAACTTTGCTGGTGCTCAGACACCAACTTCTCCCTGGGTGAAGTGGGCCCCCAGCCCGCCCCAGCAGGTACCTGGGTGCACACTCACTGGGCGTCCTCAACCTCTAGCAAGCGGCTGTAGGTGGCGATCTCCTGCTCCAGCCGCGTCTTCACGTCCAGAAGGACCTGGTGCTCGTGGTCCTGGTGCTCTGCATCACAGCAGAGCTCGCACAGCTGCTGTTCCATGCTTCTGATGAGCCCCTGCAGCTGGGCCAGCTGGGTCCTGTAACACACCTCCGTCTCCACCAGGCTGCCCTCCAGCGATGCTTTCTGTGGGCCAAGAGATAGGTGGTGCGATGAGATGGACGTGGGACCCTTCCCCATGGCAGAGCACTAGAGAGGAGCCCCTCCTGTATGGAGCTGTGGGTGCTGCCGGCACAGTTGGGTGGTAGTGCACCCAGCCACTGAGTGTGAAGGGACAGGCTGGGTGGGGACTCTGGTTCTCCAAGCAGGGGTCTATAAGGCTGCGCTCACCCTGGGGTGACAGGTACAGGGTGGGGAGGGGACAGGGGCCCTACCTTGCTGAGCTGGGACGGCTCAGGTTCTGCACAGAGATGTAGAGCTCCACATCTCCATCCTGCCGCTCTGCAGGGCCTCTGTGTTGGTGGCCACCTTGCAGTTCAGCCCCTCTCTCTGGAAGGCAGAGTGGGCCACAGGGGTTTATGGAGACTTTCACAAGTGGGGCACAGGAAAGGGGCTGTTCCTGAGCCCTCGCCTCCCAGAACCATCCCCTAAACCCTCCCTGGCCTCTATGGGGCCCCAAAAGCACCTGCACACAAAGACTCTCTGCACCCATGTTGGACCTTGGAGGAATTCAACCTGCTCTGCGGTCGTTTGCATTTCTTACTCCTACCGAACTACAGCACCTCAAAGACAGGCACTGGGTGTTATTCTTTTGCACCTGTTGCTGTCCCTAGGACACCGGACACACTCAGCCTGTGCTTGCCAAGGGTATGTGTATGTACTCAAATACACACATCCTGTAAACAGCTGTGGTGGAAACCCAAGACCAGACTTGCAGAGAACGGGATCTATTTTGCAGGCCACAGTGAAGGGCTGTGTGAGCTTGAGTCCTCTCTGAGCCTCACATTTTACATCGAAGACATGAAGGGCTGGTCCGACTGGTTTCCAAAAGTCCTTCCAACTGGGACAGCCTGTGAATCTGCCGGTGTTCCAACTGCACCAGCACACGGCGTATGTGCCCACACGTGTGCACACCTGCTTACACACGGCCACCCACCACGCTGAAGAACCAGCCCTGGGCATCCTTGCAGCTCTTCTCCACCAGTTTCTTGTCCTGGTCACGCATCTCATTCAGGATGCAGCTCAGGTTCACTCCAGGCACAGTGTCCATCTTCACACTGACATCCTTGTCCACCTGACCTCAAAGGGCGTTCATTTCCTGGGCAGAGAGGACAGTAGGAACTCACCCAAGGCCATCCTGGGGAAAGACCCTGGGGCCTGCCTTCTCTCCCTGGGAGAGACAGGTACGGATGACAGACAGACAGACAGACAGACACAGATAGGCCAACAGCTCCTCACCCTGAAGGTGGAGATGGATGTTGTCATTACTCAAACATACAGGGCTATGAATATCAGCAACCTCCCCCAACACACACTGTGACTCGGGACTGGACTTCACCCATCCCCAACAAGTGCTAAGCCCCAAGAGATGACAACCCCCCAGCACGGCAGAGAATGACCATGGGCGACCTCACTCACTGCCCTGGCCTCGCCCCTACCACCGCCTTGCCCCCACCACCAACCCCACAGCACAGGCATGCAAAAAGCAACCTTACGCTGCTGTCACCGCGCCAGGCCCTGTTAGCAAATGTTAATCTGCTAGAGGAAAGGAATTGTATAACCAGCCTCAACGCCAGGGGGAAACACCTTCCGGGTGTCCTGCTTCTCAGGGAGTAGGCTCCCCCAGCTTAGAGCAGCACAGAGCTCAGCTGAGAAGGAAGCCACAGGACAGGGCATGTAAGACCTCCTGACCGCCCCGGCAGGACCTTGGATCTCTATCCTTGGGTTGGAGTCCCTGGGACCTAGAACCTTCTGGAAAGGAGGGGCAGGAGAGGGGCAGAGAGGTGGGGTGGATACGAGTCCGACAGACCTGAAGGAGGGTCCCTGTGCAGCCATAGATATATCCCTTAACCTCTCTGAGCCTCAGTTTCTTCACAGGTCAAAAGAAAGAAACAGTACCTTTCTCCCAGTTTTTGTATCAGTTGAGATAATGGCTGTGAGTCACTTGTAGTGCTGGGCAGAAGTTCCTTGTTTTAATGACTATCACTATTATAATTAATTATAGTAATTAGTATTGTGTGTTCTTACACTGAGTTACTCATTAGTTAGTTAACTGCAGTGAGCTGAGCCTCAAGGGACAAATGAAGTCTATTTGAGAAGAGGGCTCCTCCAGGCCTCACCCAGGGTCCTCTGAGGGTCAGAGCTAGGCATCCATAAAGGATGGGAACTGGACTGGAAGCATGGCCCAGCCCAGGGAGGTTCTGGGCCCCAGCCTCGCTTGCTTCCAGGTGAATTTCTGCTGCATTCCCTGAGCTGAACTCACCTCCTCATGGTTCTTCTTCAGGTAGACCAGGTCCTCCTTGAGGTTCTCAGGCTGCATCTCCAGGTTGGCTCCAGGCAGGGTCAGCTTGTCCAGCCCCTGGGGCAGCTCCAGAGACCCAGCCTCACTTGGTGCAGAAGTCATCGGCAGCCAGGTGGGCATCATCCACCTGTAGCCAGTATGAAGCTGGAATTACCGATCACAGCCACCACGATCGGGGAGAGACGTGGGCTCCATGAGAAAATGCCCTTGGCGGCCTCCAGGAGACCCTCCAACATCCTTCTTGCAGCCTTTTTGGAAGTGAGCCAGGGTGGGGGTGATGAGAGTCCCCGTGGTCTTCTCTGACCCTCCTGGGAATTTCTGGGACCCAGCCAAGGCCCTCGGGGGTTAAAGGGTGATGGGGGTAGGATGCCCAGGCATGGGTAAAGACGGATGCCAGGAGAGAGACCCTTATGCAGCCGTCTCCCACTATGGGGGTCATGGCCTAAGCTGCCTAGGCCTCACTCCCTCTTCCCCAACGAAATTCACCTCTAGGCTCAGCTGCCACCTCCTCCAGAAAGCCCTCTTGGATTACCTTTCTGTGTCTCTTTTCCGGGCCATACCTCCTGCCTTCTCCAGCCCGGGTGCACACTCACTGGGCGTCCTCAACCTCCAGCAAGCGGTGGTAGGTGTCAATTAGTTCAACTTCTATGGAAAAAGTAGGGAGGTATCTCAAAGAACTAAAAGTACAACTACCTTTCGACCCAGCAATCCCACTACTGGGTATCTACCCAAAGGGAAAGAAATCATTACATAAAAAGGCACTGCACTCCCATGTTTATCGCAGCATAACTTACAACAGCAAGGTCATGGAACCAAGGTAAGTATCCACCAACGGTTCATTAAATAAAGAAAATGTGGTGCATATACACCACAAAGTACTAGGCAGTCATAAAAAAGAACAAAATCATGTCCTTTGCAGCAACACAGATGCAGCTGAAGGTCATTATCCTACGTGAATTAACGCAGAAACAGCCAAATATTGCATGTTCTCATGTATTAAGTGAGAACAATGGGTACACAGGGAGCCCAGGCTATTTATTTGTGCTCAAACAAAGAAACAGGTGGTGAGGCTGTGGGGGTTTAAAGGAATCAATGTATCAAGTGAGTGAGCTACAGCTGCGATGGTGTAGCATTTTCTTTGAAACATGTGGCTACTTGAGATAATGGGAGTGCTAGAAGCAAGGAGTCAGCAAGTCTAGCAGACATGCAAGCCCTGCCTCAGCTTCTCTCCCAACACTCAGCTTTTCTCCCAACAGGACAGAGTAAGCAGCAGTAAGTCTCGAGCCTTAGGACCAGAGGGGCCCCAGTGCCCCTTGGTCAGGATGCTGAGCCCAGAGAGGGCAAGATCCTGACTTGAGGTCACAGAGCAGCAAGCCCTGGCAGAACTAGCATTCCTTTTGGAGAAATTCAGAGTTCATGGTCCCCAGGAGTCATTCATTTACTCATGCATTCATTCGGCAATTACATATTGAGCATCTACTATATGCCAGGCCAACTTCTAGCCCCAGCATACAGCAGTGGATAAGACAAACCAATTCCCACCTCAAGGAGCTGATGCTCTGGTCACAGAGACAGAAAACAAGTGAAGAAGATCACATTACATGATGCTAAAGGCTAGCAAATAAAATTACACCACATGGAATGTTGGAGTCACTCTGTCCAAATGGTGGCCACTAGCCCCATATGGCTATTTGAGTTTCAAGCAATTGGAGTAATTGAAAATTAAAGAGTTTAGCGGCCGGGCAATGGTGGCTTACGCCTGTAATCCCAGCACTTTGGGAGGCCAAGGCGGGCGGATCACGAGGTCAGGAGATCGAGACCATCCTGGCTAACACGGTGAAACCCGTCTCTACTAAAAATACAAAAAATTAGCTGGGCGTGGTGGTGGGCGCCTGTGGTCCCGGCTCCTCGGGAGGCTGAGGCGGGAGAATGGCACGAACCCAGGAGGTGGAGATTGCAGTGAGCTGAGATCACACCACTGCACTCCAGCCTGGGTGACAGAGTGAGACTCCCTCTCAAAAAAAAAAAAAAAAAAAAGAAAAGGAAGTAAACTGGGTATGTGGCAATAGTTACTTTGGTCCACAGATTTTTGGTATCTTAACTAGTTTTGGATCTCTTCCACTAAAGGGATTGCCTGTTGAACGTTGTTAGGAATGTAAATACTGAAGGCAAACTGCCTGGGTTTGAATTTTGTTCTGTCCCTTGCACCCTGCCTGGGTTCAAATCCTAGCTCTGCTTATTAAGTTCTTTTAAGGTGATGATCTTTGAGCAAATGTCTTAGCTTCTGTTTTCCCAAGTAAATGGACACAATAGTTGCTACCTTGTGAAAGATTCATGTAATTGACCAGTGTTTACCAAGTAGCATCAGTGTTCAGTTTCAGTCATTGGTGATTCTGCAGTTGGACTGTGATGGGGTGTTGGGGTGGGGGTGGTGTGTGTGTGTAGCACTTAATTGCACGCGGAAAGGAAAAGATACTTTTGATGACCCAGAGGCAGCTTTTCTCTGCTTTTGTGTCAAAAGGGAGGAATGGAGTTTGGAGAGGGAAACTAATTCTGTTCAATACTAAGCTCTCTTCCTCAAAATCAGAGGTACATAGAATGTGTAATAACTTACAGAATTTCTAGACTTCAACAATCTGAATTTTTTAAAATTCATTTTTATTTTTTCAGGTTGAGACTGAGCTAAAGTTAATCTGTGGCGACATTCTGAATGTACTGGACAAACACCTTATTCCAGCAGCTAACACTGGCAAGTCCAAGGTTTTCTATTATGAAATGTAGGTTCTATACTAAAAATTAACAAGTGTACTTCAATAATTTTAAACACGCTCAGGAATAATTGGCTTTGTTTCTTTTTTTCTTAGCTATTTCCTATTATTTTCCTTATTAAATATAACGAAAAATCCCACAGAAATTAACTGAGGAGCCTCTAAATATCAAGAAAATTATCACTTGATAGACTAGAATTAAACAAGCAAGTGGTTCCAAGAAATGGCACAAGTGTATTAATCATAAAATAAAATTTCTACATGAAACTTTCAGCCAGCACTGTGAAATGTGTGGCCGTTTAGGGGAGGGGAATGAGATAGGTCCCATGAAAGCAAAAGAATATAAATAGGTAAAGCAAAAGCTAATGCATTTTTTATAATAGCCTGACCATCTTTTTATCCCAACATTGACTATCCTTCTAACATTAAACAATTATTTTTAAATAAAAGTTGGAAACCTACATAGAAGAAAGTCATGATTCTAAAAAGGCCAACTTTTAATCTTACATTTTCCTTTCTAGTATAGAACCTACATTTCCTAATAGAAAACCTTGGACTTGCCAGTGTCAGCTACTGGAATGAGGTGTTTGTCCAGTGCATCCAGCACGTCGCCACAGATTAACTGTAGCTCAGTCTCAACCTGAAAAAATAAAAATACATTTAAAAAAATCAGATTGTTGAAGTCTAGAAATTCTGTAAATTATTACACATTCTATCTACCTCTGATTTTGAAGAAGAGAGCTTAGTATTAAAGAGAATTGGTTTCCCTCTCCAAACTCCCTTCTTCCCTTTTGACACAAAAGCAGAGAAAAGCTGCCTCTCGGTTATAAAAAGTATCTTTTCCTTTCCGCATGCAATTAAGTGCTACACACACACACCACCCCCACCCCAGCACCCCCTCACAGTCCAACTGCGGAATCACCAATGACTGAAACTGAACACTGATGCTGCTTGGTAAACACTGGTCAATTACATGAATCTTTCACAAGGTAGCAACTATTGTGTCCATTTACTTGGGAAAGCAGAAGCTAAGACATTTGCTCAAAGGTCATCACCATAAAAGAACTTAATAAGCAGAGCTAGTATTTTAACCCAGGCAGGGTGCAAGGGACAGAACAAAATTCAAACCCAGGCAGTTTGCCTTCAGTATTTACATTCCTAACAACGTGCAACAGGCAATCCCTTTAGTGGAAGAGATCCAAAACTAGTTAAGATACCAAAAATCTATGGACCAAAGTAACTATTGCCACTCATCTCTATTCATTTATAATGCTGAAAAGGTACAACACCTCTAAAGGCAGATACCCAGCTTGCTTCCTTTTTTTTTTTTCTTTTCTTTTTTTTTTTTTTTTTGAGACTGAGTCTCACTTTGTCCCTCAGTCTGGAGTGCAGTGGTGCGATCTCGGCTCACTGCAACCTCCGCCTCCCGGATTCAAGCTATTCTGGTGCCTCAGCCTGCGGAGTAGCTGGGATTACAGGCATGCACCGCCATGCCTGGCTCATTTTGTATTTTCAGTAGAGACAGAGTTTCTCCACATTGGTCAAGCTGGTCTTAAACTCCCGACCTCTGGTGATCTGCTCGCCTCGGGCTCCCAAAGTGCTAAGACTATAGGCGTGAGCCACCGCGCCCAGCCGAACATGTTTCTTATGTTTTGCAATATAGACAGGCTGAGGATTTTTCAGATATTCAAGCTGTGATTTCCTTTTTTTTTTGACAGACTCTTGCTCCATCACCCAGACTGCTGTGTAGTGGAGCGATCTTAGCTCACTGCAGCCTCCACCTCCCAGGTTCAACTGATTCTCATGCCTCAGCCTCCCGAGAAGATGGGACTACAGGTGCATGCCATCACACCTGGCTATTTTTTGTATGTTTACAAAAATAGTAGAGGCAGGGTTTCACTAAGGTGGTCTCCAACTCCTGACCTCAAGTGATCTGCCCTCCTCGGCCTTCCAAAGTGCTGGCATTAGAGGAGTGAACCACTGCATGTGGCCTGTGATTCCTTTTTAAGTATTATTTTATCTCTTTTCTCTTGCACTTTACTATAAGTGGTAAAGAGAAACCACACCATTCATTCATCACTTTGCTTAGAAATCTCCTCAGCAAAATATACAATTTCATCACTTGCAAGTTCTACCTTTCACAAAATATTAGAACATGATACATCCAAGTTCTTTGCCACTTTAAAACAAGGATCACTTTTCCTCCTGTTTCTAATAAGCTGCATCTCATTTCCATATGAGATCTCACCAGAATGGCCTTCAGCTTTCAGAATTTTACCAACATTCTATTCATGATGATATAGGCATTTTCAAAGCCAATGGAGAAATGCTTTTAAAAAATAGTTCACCTCTTTTCTTTCTGTAGCAGCACCGTAACTTAATTGGAAGGGGATACAATCCAGTCTGTCCGTAACAGTTGGTCACTATGGTTCCAAGCTTGAGTATAACTACAAAACATCTTTTTAAATCTCAAGACATTTAATAAAAAGAAATAATGTAGTTAGAGCAGATTACTAGATGAAATGCATGACAGATAAGGAATTGATGTAAGCACTATATTTCACTCAGGTCATTTTAAAACCACCATAATAACTATCAAATCATTGCACTGGGCCGGGCACAGTGGCTCATGCCTGTAATGCTGGCACTTTGGGAGGCTGAGGCGGGTGGATCATCTGAGGTCAGGATTTCGAGACGAGCCTGGATAGCCTGGTGAAAATCCGTCTCTACTAAACAAAAAATTAGCTGGGTATGGTGGCACAAGTCTATAATCTCAGCTACTCAGGAGGCTCAGGCAGGAGAATTGTTTGAACCCAGGAAGTGGAGATTGCAATGAGCCAAGATCGTGACACTACACTCCAGCCTGGGCAGCAAGAACGAAACTCTGTCTCAAAAAAAAAAAAAAAAAAAAAAATCATTGCATTGAATTGAATGCTCCAAAATTTTCTTCATTCTCAACAATAAATGGAGATAGGTGATTATAAGAACACAATTCAATATTGCTTGAAAACATTCCAGTAATTTCACTGGAAAAATGTTTATAACATAGAATATGAGCTTAATGATAAGAAACTTGTTTGCTCTGTTCAATACTGAATACTCAATTCCAATCACTGGGCCTGGTATGTGAAAAGAGCTTCTTGGTTTAAAAAATTTACTTAAATTGTCAATGAGTGAGGGAAAAATAAGACACATTTTATGTTATACTACCTACAATAGCAATAGAAATTGTTGAACAGATTTTACTTTTTAAATGCCGATTTTACTTGTAATCTATACATAAAAGGAAAATGGGATTAGGTTTTTATTAACTAGAAGAAGCTGTTACGAGAACGTCGACAGAAGTCTTCTATTTTCAAGTGCAATGTTATTCACATTTAAGAAACAACTTAGATATATAAATAAAAAATTTGTTGTGCAATAAAATTACAGTGCAAGACGAACCATAATCTGTACAAAGAATTAAAACCTAAATATGTCAACGGATCGTAAGTATCAAGTGACAACAAATGAATAGATTAATTTTTATAGGGCTCATGACCTCTGCTTATTACCTTTAAATGACTGCAAAAGATAAAATAACTCTTTTGGCAGGTTAATATTTGGATTTTATCGATCATAATCACTTATGCCATGGGTCCCAAAAAATGTTCCGGGCTGCATATATGTTCTGCATATGAATCTTGGAAGAATACTCATTTACTGTCAACAGTAGTTGTTTTAAAAAGTAAAATGACATTTTATGCAGAATTTTCTTCTTTTCCCTTAGCATGCTGTGTTAGTTTCCTAAGGCTAGGAACAGAACAAATGACTACAAACCGTGGGGCTTAAGACGACAGAAATTTATTTTTTCACCATTCACGAGGCCAGAAATTCAAAAAGGAGGTGTGAGTATGATTGATTTCTTTGAGAGGCTTTCAGGTAAAATCTCCTTCTTAGCTTCTGGTGGTTTCCAGCTGTCCTTGGCATTCCGTGACTGTAGGCAGCGTAACTCCAGACTCTGCCTCCCTTGTCCCATGGCCGTCTTCCCTGTAGGTCTCTGTATGTTCCCATGACCTTCCTGAAAGGACACAGCCATTGGCTTTACAGCCCACCCTAATGCATTGTGACCTTGTCTTAACCAAGTGTTATCTGCAGAGACCCTGTTTCCAAATAGTTTAACATTCCTGGGTTCCAGCTGGACATGACTTTCTGCGGGACACTATTCAACATGGGAAACATGCGTGTATTTTTTAGAACATAATGAGTTCTGCCTCTGTTATAAAGCCCCCTTTCTTTTCATTAGTGTTGATTATTATAAAATAGCATGGAGAGTTGACAGAGCTCTAAGTAGTTTTGTACAGCCACAGCATGGGAAACAAATGGGGGAGTGGGAAGAAATAAGATTTGATAAATAGTTCAGGGCAACATGATAGAAGGGCATGTACATCATGCTAAAAAAAAGTGATTGCTTTTTGTGGCAAGGAAGAACAATAAAAATTTAGAAATATTTATTAGGTGTCTATTCTGTGTTAATAATGTACAAATACATTCTGGGGATAATGAGCTGAAAAAGGTATATGGCTTCATGTGTATCACAGTGCAACAAGAAACCAATTCCTGAGACAGAAACAATTGGTAAAGGAGCACATTTGGTCATGCCTGTAATCCCAGCACTTTGGGAGGCCAAGGCGGGCGGATCACGAGGTCAGGAGATCGAGACCAGCCTGGCAACATGGCGAAACCCCGTCTCTACTAAAAAAATACAAAAAATTAGCCGGGCGTGGTGGCGGGCGCCTATAGTCCCAGCTACTAGGGGGGCTGAGGCAGGAGAATGGCGTGAACCTGGGAGGTGGAGCTTGCAGTGAGCTGAGATCTTGCCACTGAACTCCAGCCTGGGCAACAGAGAGAGATTCCGTCTCAAAAAACAACAACAACAACAACAACAAAAACCAGGAGCATATTTGGGTTTCTCAAGCTTGAAGTTGAAAAAAATTAGGTGGAAAACAGGTCTAGCCACGCTGAAATGTTCCTAGTGTAAACAAAGTAAAAGGAAAATCTCCTGATATCTCAATGGGAAAGCATGAAGAGATGACAGGAAATAGGTTCAGAGCTTTGCAACATTGTAAAGTGTTACCAGCGTTAACAATGTTCTTAGAAGAAAGAAAAACATTGGAAAATAAAAAGAGAAAGGTGGTTGGAGGTATAAAAAGGAGATGGAGGAAGAAAAGAATATACCAACTGGAAGAGCAAAAGTTGAAAACACACAAACTTATGAGAACATTTTAACTTTAACTGAGGAATGTTCAGTGACACAATAGAGCTCTCCCCATCTCTTCTCCCTTTCTCGGTGCTCTTTTTCCCCCACTATCTTCTTCCCCTCGCCCTCTCCCCGCTGTAGTTTGTTCTTCTTTTTTGAGATGGAGTCTCACTCTGTCATCCAGGCTGGAGTGCAATGGTGAGTTCTCAGCTCACTGCAACCTCCGCCTCCGGGGTTCAAGCGATTCTCCTGCCTCAGGCGCTGGAGTAGCTGGATTACAGGCGCTCGCCATCACGCCCAGCTAATTTTTGTATTTTTAGTAGAGACTGGGTTTCAGCATGTTGGTCAGGCAGGTCTCGAACTCCTGACCTTGTGATCCGCCCGCATCAGCCTCCCAAAGTGCTGGGATTACAGGCGTGAGCCACCGCGCCCGGCCTTGTCCTCATCGTCTTCTTTTCCACCCTCCTTTCTCCTCACCGTTTTCCTCCACTGTCTTCTCTACCACACTGTCTTCTCCCTGCACTTTCTCCCCACTGTCTTCTTCCCCACCTTTCTCCCCATCCCACTTTCCAAGGTCTTTCCCACCCTCTCCGTCCCCTCCTCCCCCTCTCCCCGCAGTCTTCCGGGCCCCACTGCCTTTCGCCCGCAGCCAACACTGTTCAGTTCTGAGGTAGCGGCGGGGGCGGGGGCGGCGGCAGCCGTGATGGCCCTGGCAGCGACTCTCCTGGGTCTCCTGTTGGCTGTTGGGGCGGAGCTCAGGGGCCCAGCTCATGGGGCTGGCTGGGCGCACAGACACACCAGGCGCAGGGACACAGGCGGGCGCACGCGTGGAGCGCTTCTAGGTGAAAGGCAGTTGGAGAGCGCGAGAAGGGGGTGGGCAAGAAGACGATCGGGGGCGAAGACGGTGGGGAGTGGAAGAGGGGAGAAGAGGGTGCGGGGAGAGAAAAACGCGGCAGGAAGTCGCTGCTGCGAGAAGGTGGGGAGGGGAAGAAGATGGCGGAGAATAAGAGGCTGGGGAAAAAAGACGATGGGAGGGGGAGAGAAGAAAGTGGGAAGAAGATTGCGACTGACAGACGCTGCTGCGAGACGGTGGGAGGACATGGGAAGAAAACGGTGTGAGGGGAAGAAAACGGGGGAGAAAACGGTTGTGGGGAAGGCGCGGGGAGAAGACAGTGAGGAGAAGAGGGCGTGGGGAGAGGACGGTGGGGAAGAGGAAGAGAAGATGGTGAGGGGAGAGAAAAGCGCGGCAGGAAGACGCTGCTGCGAGAAGAAGGTGGGGATATGGAGGCGGCAAGAAAATGGAGAAGAGGCTGGGAAAGAAGACGATTGGGAGAGGAGAAGAGGGTGGGAAGAAGGCGATGGGGAGAGGAGAAGAGGGTGGGAAGAAGGCGATGGGGAGAGGAGAAGAGGGTGGGAAGAAGACTAAGGCAGACATGGGAAGAAAAGGGTGCGGGATGAGGAAGAAAACGGTTGGCGGTAATAGGCCGGGAGAAGACGGTGAGGAGGGGGAGGGGAGAAGAGGGAGCGGCGGGAAGACGCTGCTGGGGGAATAGGCGGGAAGGTGGAGACTGGAAGCCAGCGGGTGGAGAGAAGGAGATGGAAGGAAAAGCTGCCGCCACAGGAACCCGTGCTGCGAGGAATGGGAGAGACTGAGGGGAAGAAAACGGTGGGGAAGGGGAAAAAAAAACTGCGGGGGAGAAGAAGGTGCGGGAAGAAGACAGTAGGGAGACGGCAGAAGAGGATGCGGGAAGACCGCAGTGGGGAAGAAGGAGGGGAGAAGACGGAGAGGGGAGAAAAAGGTGGGAAGACGTTGGGAAAGGAGAAGGGTCGGGAAGGAGAGGGGAGGGAAAGAGCAGAAGGTGGGGAAGAAGACTGGAAAAGGGGTGAAGGGAAGAAAAGGATGGGGAGGGAGGAGGGAAGAGGGTTGGGGGGAAGAAGAAGGGAGTGGAAAGCGGCGAAGACGACCTTGGGGAAAGAGATGGAGAGGGGAAAAAGATTGGTGGGAGAGAAGAGGATGAGGCAGGGAACGAGGTGGGGAGGGGAAGAGAAAGGCAGAAAGACGGGCTGAGAAGAGTGCTGGGAGAAGAAGGGGGAGCGGAGGGAGGGAGAAGGGAAGCGGGGAAAGACGATGGGAGAAGGTGGGGGGGGAGAAGAAGGCAGTGTGGGAGAAGAGTTGAGGGAAAAAGAAACAATAGTGATGCTAATGTTAAACGTCGTCGTCTTGGAGCAAAAGAAGCAAGTGCTGCTTTAGACTCCCGGCCTAACTTTGTTCAATAAATCCCCACTTCCAAATATCTTGTGATTGCAGTGTGGGTCATTTTTAGTACTTAGATCCAGAGCAGTCTCTGATTGTTAGTGACAGTGCTGTCAAATTGCATGCTGTTCACCAGCTATAAACGAAAACATCACATTTCCTTGAAGTGCACTTTAACGTGTAATTCAAAGACTTTTCCAAGAGGCTTACTGGGGAAAAATAGAGGTGTGTACCTTTGGCATTGGACATGGAGTCTCTGATTTTAGATTGTAGTTGTTTCCCCAAATCTTTAAGATTGTGGCAGAAACATGATTGTGACTACGGCATTCATTTTGTAGGGCAGTGCGTGTTATTTTAACAAAGGGTAAACTGATATGCCTATAAGAAAATGTAATTCAATTTAATTCACTCATACAAATTTAGGTTTCCTTAATATAAAAAAACCCAAAAACAGTTAAATTGCCTTAGTCTTTTAACATAACTTCATGCTTAGAGTCAAGAGAATTTGTAAATGCAATCCTGTAATGCTGGTGTTGCGTTATGCCTATATAAAATACATGTTAAACCTAAATGTTGCTTTTTTATTTGGCATTATGGAACTTCATAGAAGTTTATGTGTATTAATACAAGTGAACTTGACATAAATTAATTGGTGAATGATAACTTATTGCTTGTAAAATAAGCAGTTAAATGTAAGGATGTAAATACATTTTATATTACCCTATAGTTTATTTTAAATATTTTCTTCTTTTGTATTCTAGTTTAAAATCCTGGAATACTTACTGATATCTTATTTCCCCATGAAAAGGCTTCCGCTAACTATACTGTATTTCCAAGCAAATGTCTGTACCAGAACATCAAGTGTAGAAATTAAGCAAAATCTGTCTTTCAGGACAGGTGCAGTGGGTCGCACCTGGAATCCTAGCACTTTGGGAGCCCAAGGCAGGTGGGTGGCTTGAACTCAGGAGTCCCATACCAGCCCGGGCAACATGGTGAAACCCTGCCTGTACAAAAATAAACAAATTAGCCGGGCATGGTGGTGCACATCTTGTATTTTATTCAATCAAATTGAAGGCTTCATTTACCCTTGGAAAAGAAAATGATTTAATGTACTCATATAGAAAATAATTAACCTCATGCCCAGAACGGGTTCACTTACAGGACACGTTCATTTATTCTGTCAGACAGTGGGTTAAATGTGTCTGAGCACCGCCTATGAGTCAGGAACACAAGTCAGTATCCGCACTGAATATTACCCAAGCTTTTTCCATCTGTTATATAGAGTAGCATAGATAACTTCATGGACATCATCTCTTTAATTTGTTGTGGAATACTTAACATGACCTCCTCGTATATAATTATCAGTGCTGTTCTTAAATAGATGTTATCATCTGGATATTTACTAGACTTAAAACAATGACTTACTGCAGAAATGTCATCCATATCTAATGTGTACTATGCTAACTAAGTCTCACATGGTGGTTTTGGTTTTAAATAAGCTCTTGGAAATCAGGCGGTTTGCGTTTTGTTTTCATCTTATTGTACTATGAAGTAAAGTCAATAAAGATTCTGGAAACACAGTTGTGAAAAGGTCCATTGTTAGGTCCCTCCATGCAAGCTTTGGGTATTTGACACACCATCAGGCATAGGCAGCCTTTGCAACATTAAAACAGGAAGTTGCAATTTGGGTCATCCTCAGTCACTGACAGTCTATGTGCAAATTTAACGGCATGGCCACTCTATATACACATAGGACAGGTTTGGATTGGCTTTTTAAAACAAATTATATCATTTTGCCAAAAAAAAGATATGCATGGTAATAACTGCAAGTTACCATGCTTTCTTAAGAAAGAATATCTGGAAAATATATATGAAAACAAACTACATTTGCCTTTTTAAAAACATTCTATGTTATTGTGGAAGCAAAGTCACAGAAAAAAATGGTTAGAGAAAATCTGAATCAGCATGAAATAAAATATTTTGAGGGTTATTGAACACTGTTCATTTTCATGAAAATAGGACAAGTTCATTTAGCACAGCTATTTCTGTAATTGTGATACATTAGCAAAATTAGCTGTGTTCTGCGGTGCTCGAACTTGCTCTGTGTATGAAATGGCGTACCGTTAATACAAGGAAATTTGTTGTGAAACACATACTGTAGAATTAAGTTCAAAATCTCTCTGTGCTTAAATCACTTAATTTTGTTAAATAAAACTTGGTTTCCAACATTGTTTTTTTTTCTCCAGAAAAGCACAATCTGCTAAATTCTTAACCAAGTGGAAAAGAAAATATTCAAGAAAAATAAAGCAATTGTGCATGTCACACTATAGTTGAAAGTGTTCTGATACTGAAGCTATGTCCAGTATTTTAAGCTGCTTTTATGCACCGTGATTACTTCTACATTAATCTCAGAAGATTCTAGATGGAAATTCAAACGGGCCCAGCCAATTAAATGTGACTCTCTGAGAGAATCCTAGTGATACTTACTGACTTTTCCGTTTTCTGATCATTGATCAGATGGTTACAGATGCATGAAAGATACATGATTTTTAAAAACAAGATGTTATTTAAAATACCAGTGTTCAGTGCTTGCATTTGCAAGAACATAAATATTAGATGATACTGAGAACATTCCTTAATAATCAGCAAAGGTAAAATGTTGTTGTTCTGATTTTGAAAAAAGTGAAGAGGGTTACCATGAAATTATTAATTTTTTTTTTTTTTTTTTCTGAGACATAGTCTTGCTCTGTTGCCCAGGCTGGAGTGCAGTGGCGCGATCTCAGCTCACTGCAAGCTCCGCCTGCTAGGTTCACACCATTCTCCTGCCTCAGCCTCCAAAGTAGCTAGGACTACAGGCGCCCGCCACCACACCCGGCTAATTTTTTGTATTTTTAGTAGAGACGGGGTTTCACCGTGGTCTCGATCTCCTGACCTCATGATCCGCCCAACTCAGCCTCCCAAAGTGCTGGATTACAGGCATGAGCCACTGCGTCTGGCTGAAATTATTAATATTTTACTTACATTTTTTACCAAATAACTGAATTCTAAAGTAGAATTGCTGAAGTCACTGGAGTTTGATACTTCAGGATTGATGGTTTTGGTTAAATTCTTAAAAAAAGTCAAACTATAACTATATGGTATAAACAAATATGTTCATTTGTTTAATAGAAATTAAATATATATACATACAACATTCTTAGGTCAAATAGTCAATTGAATGGTTAACAAAACTACTTCCCAGTCAATTGCTTTGTCATTGTTAAGATAAATCTTCAAAGAATTTGGATTTTTTAAAAATAAGATTTGACTTGTAACTAACATAAGTATGAATTTGATAGTTATATTTTGATTTGTCAGAAATCTGAATGATTATAGAAAATTGTTTCAGTATGTCAAATTAGTTCCATGGCACCCGTGGTTATGTAACTGTTGGTACCTGTGGGGAGGGGTCCTTTTTTTCTTAATTCTCAAGCCCATAAGCAATCATTGACAATACTCAATTCTGATTCCTTTTCTTGGGGCCACATAAAGTTTTATCCCTGTCTCTATTTCTAGAAATATCTAGAAAACCTTCCTATCATGAGAGAGTCTTTTGCCAGACAATATAATAGTTTTTCAGGAGTGCAACTGCTTGGATAGATATTTTCAGTTTGGAGTTGTCAAATCATGTTCTATCATCTCAACTATTCCATATGCCAGCAGTGTTTTGGGATTGTGACACAACATTTCATTTTTCATTTTATTCACTTGGAAAAAATCAAATAATAACTATGCTGTTGCCTTAGGAATCAGAGGTATTTGCTGTTTGATACAGAGTAGGAACATTGCAATTACCTCAAGAAAATGATGACATTCTTCTAGACTGAAAAATGCACGTGTCCTTGACCAAATAACAACTCTCTTTCTTGTACAGATGGCCCAGACACTCAGAAACTGCCTATTCAGAACATGGCACATCATAGAGATGAATTTTTAATAATTTTATTTGCCCATGTTTTCTGATGGTTCTATTTCACTGTGAACGCTCAGTACCAACAATTAATAACAGGTAATTTGGAGGCTGGTGTTTACAACTGATTGATCACACCGGTTACAGATTTCTTTGTTCCTTCTCCAATTCAGTCTACGCTGTGACAAAAAATAAGACATTTATAAATATAAACATTTTATTTGCAGTGTAGCATACATTCAAATTAGGTGGTTGTGTAGACATTTTGACAAATAGTGCCATTTCTCTTTTAACACATAGGTCCTTAGTAAGCACTGCTTTCTAACACCAGTTTAAGATAGTTCTTAATTCTTTTCATCTAACGTTACAATATAAAAGTTTCAAGAATGGCGCAAAGAAAAAATTATTTGTCAAAACAATATTATCAGACATAATCAAGAACATTTTTATAAGATAATTTTGTGAGGTCAACAACAAAACAACACAAGTGAGAGAAAATTTCAAATACCATTTTTTATGATGAATAAATGTCAGACTTTTGCTTCTGATAAAGACAGATTAGATATCCGAGAATAATTTAAATTAGGTTTTGTATGTAAAATAACATTTTAAAACAAATCAGGTCCTGGCACAGTGGCTCACGCCTATAATCCCAGCACTTTGGGAGGCCGAGGTGGGTGGATCACTTGAGGTCAGGAGGTTGAGACCAGCCTGGCTAACGTGGCGAAACCCCGTGTCTACTAAAAATACAAAAATTAGTAGTGGCGTGCGCCTGTAGTCACGGCTACTCGGGAAGCTGAGGCAGGAGAATCCCTTGATTCTCAGAGGCGGACGTTGCAGTCAGCCGAGATTGTGCCACTGCACTCCAGCCTGGGTGACAGAGCAAGACTCCATCACAAAAAAATAAAAATAAAATAAATAAATGAATAAAATAAATAAGAGGTAATAATTTATTATTATTTTTTAACACTAACTGAGTTAATGCACAGCTAAGAATTGTCAGGCTAAGATTTGGAGAGAAACAGCATTTAGAGAAATAAGAGCTGCTTTGCCCTGGAGCCATTTATTACTTCAGATGGGATATCTACCAGGTTGTGTTAAACCTCTGCTAGTCTTGCAGAGGCTCCCAGTTTGGTCATGGATATCAAAAGCTGCTGGTACATTAAAGCAGTGAGAAGGAACCAGAATTCACCCAGTCACCACAGCAGGCTGGCTGCTCTCCAACTGAGTGCCCAAAAAGGTTCCAACTCCAAATTTTTATGAAAGTAATTCAGAATTTGACTGTCCTTATACTTCTGGCATGAGCAAATAGCAATCATTTGAGAAAGAAAACATTAGTTGGGCCTCTAAAGACAGACAAAACCAGTTGTTCACCCACTATATTTTGTACATTTGCTCAAAGATGTGAGGGTCAATGAAGAAAAAAGACACTGTGAGAAGGAATAAACAGATGCCAAGGAAAAAGAAAAAAATGTGTCAAAGCAACTAGAATTAGTATATTCAAAGGCATGAGGTCAAGTTTGGAAACTTCAACAAGAAAGTGGAAACTATGAAATTGACAGGTTAGGGTAAATAAAAACACACAAAAATTCTAATACTAAAAAGTGTGAGGAAGAAAAAGGTGACTCAATAAATGAGTTTAACAGCAAATGAGGCTGGGTGCCGTGGCTCATGCCTGTAATCCCAGCACTTTGGGAGGCCGAGGAGGGTGGATCACAAGGTCAGGAGATCGAGACCATCCTGGCTACACAGTGAAACCCTGTCTCTACGAAAAATACAAAAAATTAGCCAGGCATGGTGGTGGACAACTTTAGTCCCAGCTACTCCGGAGGCTGAGGCAGGAGAATGTCGTGAACCTGGGAGGTGGAGCTTGCAGTGAGCCGAGATCTCGCCACTGCACTGAAAAAAAAAAAACAAAAAAAAAACAAACCTTTTGTGAATCCAAGCATCTCTTACAGGTCTACTGCTTCCACCCCTTCCCATCTGTCATCTCAGGTCTCGATTAGTAGCCTGTCCTTCTAGATGCTTTTTACTCCTTCTATTGTTCCTTTTGTCTTTCCATGAAGCCATCTAGCCGATTTTTCAAAAATATCATTTAAAATGTCACCCTTTGGCTCAAATTCTTTGAATGAGGGCAAAACTCTTTTCTTTTTTTAAAAAAAAATTTAACTTTTAAGGTCAGGGTACATACGCAGGCTTGTTCCATAGGTACACTTGTGTCATGGGGGTTGTTGTATAGATTCTTTCATCATCCAGGTATTAAGCCTAGTACCCACTATTTTTTTTTTCTGCTCTTCTCCCTCCTCCCACCCTCCACCCTTCGAAAGGCCCCAGTGTTTGTCATTCCCCTCTATGTGTCCATGTGTTCTCATCATTTAGCTCCCACTTATAAGCTTGCTAAGGATAGTGGCCTCCAGCTCCATCCATGTCCCTGCAGAGGACACGATCTCATTCTTTTTTATGTCTGCATAGTACCCCATGGTGTATGGTGTGTATATACCACATTTTCTTTATCCAGCCTATCGTTGATGGGTATTTGGGTTGATTCCATGTCTTTGCTATTGTGACTAGTGCTGGAATGAACATACACATGCATATGTCTTTATAATAAAATGATTTATATTCCTTTGGGTATACACCCAGTAATGGGATTGCTTCATTGAATGGTATTTCAGTCTTGGGTCTTTGAGGAATTGCCACTGTCTTCCACAATGGCTGAATTAATTTACACTCCCACCAACAGTGCCTAAGTGTTCCCTTTTTCTCCACAACCTTGCCAGCATCTGTTATTTTTTGACTTTTTAGTAATAGCCATTCTGACTAGTGTGAGGTGGTAGCTCGTTGTGGTTTTGATTTGCATTTCTCTAATGATCAGTGATGTTGAACGTCTTTTCAAAAGAAAACTCATTTTTCTTGCACTGTTGAGCTGATTGCCATCAGTTCCAAACCTCCCCCCTTTACCTTGCTTGCCGGCTTTGCCTTTTCTGTGGCACGGTGTGAAACTTCATCTGCAGCATCTGCTAAAGGGACGCTGGAGAAGGTTGGGGCTCTTTCTAGTTCTGAGTGCTCCTCTTACCTTGCTCTTGTGGGGGACAGCAGCCAACCCTGGCCATCACCTCTCTGGGGACAGAGCAGGTCACAAGCAGCACTTAGGGGAGCAGTTTTCCAGTGTTTTGTCAGTGTAGAAACTCAGCAAAATTCTCTGCTCTCTAGCAGGCTACATCCTCACCCTCTCCAAGGAGGTCTAGCACTCACTTCTGGTGTGTGTGGGAGATTCTTCCAGATTTGTTTCTTCCTGCAGTGCTTGCCTAAAGCTCTGGAGAGCACACTGGCAGCTCCGTGAATTTGCTGTCCCTATTTTGTGTGTGTGTTTGCTTTGCCTTTCCTAAGCTTGTCCAACCCACAGCCTAGGGCTGCTTTGAATGAGGCCCAACACAAATTTGTAAACTTCCTTAAAACGCTATGAGATTTTTGGCTGGGTGCCAGCGGTTCATGCCTATAATCCCAGCACTTTGGGAGGCCGAGGCAGGCAGAGCACTTGAGTTCAGGAGTTCAAGACCAGCCTGGCCAACATGGTGAAAACCCGTCTCTCTACTAAAAGTACAAAAATTAGCCAGGTGTGGTGGCACATGCCTGTAATCCCACCTACTCAGGAGGCTGAGGCACAAGAATTGATTGAGTCTGGAGGCAGAGGTTGCAGTGAGCCGAGATCATGCCACTACACTCCAGCCTGGGTGACAGAGTTAAGACTCTGTCCAAAAAAACAAAACAACAGGCTGGGTGCAGTGGCTCACACCTGTAATCCCAGAACTTTGGGAGGCCGAGCCAAGCAGATCATGAGATCAAGAGATCGAGACCATGCTGGCCAACATGGTGAAACCTCATCTCTACTAAAAATACAAAAATTAGCTGGGTGTGTGCCTGTAGTTCCAGCTACTCGGGAGGCTGAAGCAGGAGAATTGCTTAAACCCAGGAAGCAGAGGTTGCCATGAGTCGAGATGGTGCCACTGCACTCCAGTCTGGCAACAGGGCGAGACTCCGTATCAAAAAAAATCCCAAAAAACAAAAACCAAACCAAACAACAACAACAAAAACCCAAAACAAACAGAAAAACACTATGAGGTTTTTTTGTGATTTTTTTTTTTAGCTTATTGGCCATCTATTAGTGTTCATGTATTTTATGTATGGCCCGAGACAATTCTTCCAATGTGGCCCAGGGAAGCCAAAAGATTGGACACCCCTGCTTTAAGAGAGATTTCCCTGAAATAGTTAAGTTATTTACTTTCAATTTTCCTTATTCAAATTACTGTGCAGTTTCAGCCTCCTGGTTGGACAGTAACTGACCACAATGTCTCCCAAGGCCTGGCATTATTTAGCTCCTGGCATTGCTCTGAAACTGTCGTCTACCATCCTCCCGTTGTGCACTTTGCTCTGGCCTCACTGATGGGCACGTTCTTCCCAGAACATCCTCCTACTTAACTTTGTCTCACTTTTTGCCTAGAATCTTCTTCTTGCTATTCAAATGTCTCATTACCAGAATTTTCCACATATGATGTAAAATGTGCTTCTAATACAACACTTTCTCTCTACTTTAGCCTACTTCATTTTTCATAAAAGTTCTTGTCACCACATGACGTTACAGTCATTTATTTCCTGGCTCTCTGACTCCTCTCATTGGAAAGTTATGCCCTTGACAGCACACACAGTCTGTTTTCTTCCTGGTTAATCCTTGTGCCTGCACCTCTGTATAGCCTAGCACGTGGTAGACAATGAAACGACTGAATGAATTAATGAACAAATGAAGTAGTGTACTTCCTAGATGAGAAAACTGAGACTCAAAAGTGATAAGTACCAAATCAGTATAACATAAAAGTTAGGAGTTTAAGCTCTTTGGGGAGAAATGTGGGTTTAAATGTGGGTTTTGCTACATCCTACTAGTGTAACTTATATATATTTCTTAAATTCTCTGTGCCTCATTTTCCTTATCTGAAAAATGTGGATTATAATGGTAACTACTTTATACTGGGCTATATAGAGTAAATTATGTATATAATATGCCTAGTACAGCGCTTGACACAAATTAACAATTCCACATATTTAGTTACTTGTACAATTATCTGTAGCTGCAAAACTATAAATGCAGGTTTGTCATCTTTCTGGGGAGATAGCAAGAGAAAGGTTAAGTTTATAAAATGCCTAAATAATAAAAACTATATTATCAAAGTAAAATGCCTAAACGAGGGCTGGTTTTAATATCAACTAATTAGTAGCTGCCTAATAGTAAGAACTGACTCTAAAATCAAGTAGACAAGAAAATGGTCCTGCCTGTGCCCTCTCCCTGAATGCCCTGTGGGTCAGGGACACCCAATTCCCTTGTCTCCCTTGCTCAAGGCTTGTTGTCCTGGCAACCTTGGAGGAGGTGCAGGAGTGAGGGGCCTCTGCTGCTCTCTGAGGCTGTGGGTGCTTGTAGGGAGGGGGGGGTCTCCCACAAATGGGCCTGGCTCCTCTAGTAACTTTGAGGGCCCTGTGAGGGGCAGAGCGAGACACCGTGGAAAGTGGGAGGGGGCTTGTTGGAGGGTCTTGCCCACATCCCCCTCCTGCGTGCACAACATGTCCAGTATACACACACTGAGCGCCTGCCCTGAGGACTGGTGGGCCTCCTGTACTTTCTTAGAGTCCAGGAGGAAGAGAAGGAAGAAAAGGTGAAGAGGAAGGCCCAGGTAGTAGGGTTGCTGGTCCGGGGCACTCGCCCACTATTGACTGCCCCAGAGGGTGACATGGGAGGGGACATGGCACTGGAGCCCACTTGGGGGTGGCAGGTCCCCTTGCTTCCTTGTTAGTTTCTTCGTAGAGGCCCTAAGATGCTTGAGCACAGTGTCATCGTCCGTGGCCCAGGTATGGAAGAACTGGTTCCGAAAACATGCCAAAAGGCCAGACCTGGATGTCTTCATGAGGCGCTCTAGGGACAGGGTGGATATCAGGCCAGGACAGTTACCTGGGAATGGTCACAGCTCATACCCCGTGGCCACTTCAGTCTCCCACTGGGCCGTGCCGGATCCTTTTGTGGCCACCCCAGGCGTCCAGATGTACACAGGAGACTGTGGCTGGGGGGTGATCTGGACAGGGAAGTGCTCACCACACTCCTGACCTTCATCTGGGTCATGTGAGGGATGGGCTCGGCATCACAGTGCCCTTCCCAGCCCACCTGGCCAGACCTCCCTCTGGGCCAGAACAGAGGATCATGAGGACAGTGTGAGGAAGCTGCCCTTGGGCCAGTCGGGTCTGACCGCAGGGCTCCCCAGGCCCCACTGGGTACACATAGACTTACTCTTCTGAACCTTAAAAGCAATGCTTCTGATCGGCATCAACACCTGTCCTTCCAGCAAATACATGTCCCACAAGCGCAGGGTGAGCCCGAGAGAGATCTGTGGGGACAGCAGGTGTGAGACAACCTGGCCCTTCCAGGCTGGGGCTGGTGGCTCAAGCTGCACACATTGGGGCTTCAGTCTCCAGAGTCAGTGACCTTCCCCATGAGGGTCGCCTGAGCCATCTAGAATGGTGGGTCAGACAAGGTCTTGCAGCTCCTCATAGGGGGCACTCATTTGAGTGGGGATGTGGCTCCTGGACAGAGGGGCTTGCCCAGGGCTTGAGGCTTCCCTGAGCCCTCTCAAGTTGGGTCCTGGCCCAGTCTGCCCATGAGGCTGGGCCTGAGCCCCAGCCATTGCCCTGGGATGACCCCTCTTGGGCAGAGGGTTTTGCTTGTGTGTCCTTCGGGGACCCGCCTGAGCCTCCTGTGGGCTGGGAGTGAGCCAGACCCCCGGACTGGGGAAGCAGGGCACTGCAGGGCAAGGAGGGTCCCTGAGCCAGGGTCTCCCTATGCCTCCTTACCCCTTGAATCAACATCCGGAGAAGGCAGCCTAATGAGGAACACTGTCCGCATAGACCTTCCTTGTCCTGATGGGAGGAACAGAGGTGCTCAGGGCCCCCTGGGCTGCCCTAAAAACCTCCATCTTCCAGGGCCTCTGAAGACCCTTCCCCTAGTGCAGAACACTGGGCGGTGTCCAGAGCTCCCCACAACACTGTCCCCTTCCCACACTCTCAGTGGACACACTGACCTTTGACTTGCTCTGCGGGAGCTGGGCCCCCATCCCTGTGCCTCTGTCTCCTCCAGGGCAGGAAAGGAAACAAACTCCCAGCCCATGGAGAACCCGACGTCTCAGGTCAGGCCCTGGCTGGGACTCCGCCAGTCACCAGTCCCACGAGGGTCTCCAGTCCCCCTGCTCCTATAGCCCCACGGGAGGCAAGGCCTCTGAGAAGAGCCAAGGGGACAATAAACTCACCTGATGCCACATGGTCTTGGGTTGTGACTTGGGTACCACATGCTCCTGTTGGTCTTGGAGCCCCTGGACTGTCCCGCCATTTGGGCTGTGGAATCCTGAGAAGCCCCCAGCCCATCATGAAATCAGAGCCTTCCCCCAAGATGTGGAGCCATCAGCTGCAAGAGCTGGGCAGCTGCAGAGGCCCCCAAACCTGAAGGCCTCCCACCCTCCCATCTGGTGACCCCACCATGCGGCCTTTGCCCTGGGGAGGTAGGACAAGAACATCCCCTGGAGCCTGGCTGGAGGTTCCCCTGGAGGCCTCCTGGGCTAGGGTGCAAAAAGGGCAAGCCTGACTTTGAGGTCACAACAGAGCGGCCAGAACACGGTGGGTGCTGGGCTTCCTGGTCATCTTGTGGAAGTGGGGTTGGGCCAGGGGACACGGGATGGGGAGATGCTGCCACCTGGGCTTGGTTAGCCCATTCGTGGGCACCAAGGGCAGCAGGAGCCTGGGCAGCTGGAGGGCAGGAGGACTCTCAGGGAGGGGAGAGTCAGCTGCACAGAGTCAGAGCCGGAGGGTGTGGCTCCAGGACACAGAGGGTGGCCACGGGGAGGATGAGATGCCCTCTGCTGATGGGGATGAAAGGCATTTGACTTGGGCTGTGGGGGTCAGCTGCGGACTCCTGTGGGACCCTCAGCAGAGACGTCCTAAAGGCTCCCAACAAGCTGGCGACACAAGGATGGTGCCTTGGCTGAAAGCCGAGATCACCTGGCCACGGTGGCTGTCCCCAGATCTGGCTGCATGAGGCCCCACGGGCAGCTGTTCACCTACCCGGCAGGGAGTGCCTCTCACTGGCCAGCAGCTGCACCAGTGCCCAGAATGCATCTTCCTCAGGCAGATAAAGGAGAAACAAGGTGGCAATGTGGCTCAGGTCCCTGCAGTAGCCCACCTCCTGCAAGAGCCAGAGTCGCCATGGAAGGACATCACCTGGGAGGGCCGAGGTCACCTGGGAGGACTCATGTCATTGGAGAGGGCAGAGGTGACTGGGGAGGCTTCCTCTGAAGAGGCTTCCTCAGGATGCAAATTCATTTCATGACAAGAGCCAAGTCCATCAGGCACTTCAGCACCTTGTCCAAATTGTCTCCTGAGAGCACCGTCCTGCATGTGACACTGCCAAGCTCCCAGGCTTTGGGGCAGCCCCAGGAGGAGGGTGTCATTTCTTGTTCTGAGAAGTGCCCAGGTGACAGGCCCAGGTGACACCAGGAGTCCAGGCCCCAAGTCCTTTGTGTCTCAGCTTGACCCCTTGAGACCACCCCCTTGCTTGGAGGTTTATGCCAGCAGTGACCTGGAATCCTACCTCCTATATCCTGGTGGGTCACAAATACTAACTTTAAAAGAAGCAACGACACCCCCATCAGACACCCACTCCTGTGAATATGGAAATATGGCCCAGGAACCTCACTGCCGGGAATACTCACCGGGTTATACTCTGAATATGCCACAAGGATGTAGAATAGTTCCCGCTGCCTAGGAAACAGAGAAAGGGGGCTAGGGTTTGGTTTGTGCAGATGCTGTTAGTTTCACTTTGTCTACAAATCCTAACAACAAATCCCATTTCAGGTTCAGATGATTCACCAGATAAGCAGTGAACTTTCAGGGCCTGAGATTATTGAAGAAATGTTTCAGTAAAATCCACATCTGTGACATGCAAATAGCCCAGTTGTACAGGGAGTTGACCGATCCTTTTCACTCTGAATGATTTTTTTTTTTTTTCAGTTTGCACACACGCCAGTTCAGTCTTTGGGTGTACAGTTCCTCCACGGTTCCAAACCAGTGTGCAGAGTCTCCCGGCCACCACTCCAGCCCCTCCTGGAGTGACTCCTGATCTTTCAAATCTCCAGGGTTTCCCCTATGCACCCAGCCTCTCCCCGATCCGTCAGCCCCTGGCCACCCAGACTGCTTCTCAGTCCCTATGGTTTGGTCTTTTCCAGAATGGCCTAGGAATGGGAATCCTACTGTGGTAGCTTATTGGGTCTGGCTTCTTTCCCTTAGCAAAATGCATCTAGGATCCACCCACATTCCTGCGGGCATCACTGGCTCATTCCCTTTTCTCACTGGGTCTTCTGTTTGAAAGGAGGACCAGACTGTCTCTCCCCATTCCCGTGTTGAAGGCCATCCCAGAAGGCTTCGTGTGTGACTGATGAGGAATCAAGCAGTGAACGTGGCATGCAGGTTTCATGTGGATGTCAGTTTTCAAATCAGTGGGTTCAATATCTGTGACACCTTGGGGACGTGTGGTTCAAGTCCATTGAGCTTTGTGAGCCACTGCCCAACTGGCTGCCAACGTGGCTGTGCCATGTCATATTCCCAGCAGACCTGGATGAGAGTTTCCAGGACCCCTAATTCTCCCAGCATTTGGTGCTGTCAGTGTTGCCTGGGGAGGCTCATGGGCTCTCCATCCTGCCACCCTCCCGTGGGTCCTACCATGGGTCCCCGTGGGTCAGGGAGAGCACCTTTCACCATTATGCATGATTTTGTTTGCTGTCTTCTGTCTCCTCAGGATCCTCCTGGGTTCTGGCCCCACATGTTCCAGCCTGGCCCAGGGCTTGGAACCAGGGAGGTGCTTGGTTCATGGTGCCGGCTGCTCCCTGGGCTAGGAGAGCTCTTGGCAGCCTGTCATCCCTCCTGGGTGATCCTGGCTTCTGCTCTGGGAAAGTCCCCATCCCTCTCATTCACCCCATCTCCTCTGGGACCCTGTGGCTCTCGTAGGCTTACTTCACTCCATATCGATCCCTGAAGAAGACATGGTTCTGGAGAGTCCTGCTCACGTCCAGTTTGATCTGGTGGATGTGTTCAGAAGACCTCTTGCCCTTCTCCTTCATGATCTGTAGGGCAGGGCCAAGAGGAGGAAGCAGCCTCAGAACAGATGGAAGACTCCCTGCCCCAAATGGCAGTCAGCCCACAGTCAGCGCTTTGGGAAGGAAGGAAAGAAGGAAGGTTTCCTTGTGCAGAAAGCTGCTTTTTGGCTTGTTACTGAAGCCAGGGAGGGTCACCAGAGCCGAGTTCATCTGTGGTGACTATGTCACCGTCTGTGCCCAGGAAGTGCATCTGACCATCCCCCCCACCCCCCCAGGCTGGGCTTGACGTTCCCTCCAGCTGGAGGCCTGGGCCCCTGACACAGCCTGTCCTGTTTGTTGTGCTCTGGCTGAGCGTACCTAGTATTTTTTGGGGTGTTTTGACTTGATTTCCTGAATGTTCAGGAGGACTGACAACACCAGGCCCCGGATGTTCATGGGAATGCCCTTATAGATGCGATCTATGAGCTGTGGGCAGAAAACAATCTGGTGTCACAGGCCATGGGGTGACCCCAGTGAGGATCAGAGCCCAGGGATTCTGGAAATTTTTGGTTTTGGCCCCATGATTCCTCAGTAGAGGTGAGATCAAGCTGGGACAGGGTCTCCCTTCCCAGGACTGAAAGAGTGGATGGACACTCAGAGTTGAAACTGTGATCCGAACCTTTTTCTTCCTTCAGGTCACCAGGGCATCCCTAGCCTTGAGCTCCAGGTGGTCCCAGCCCTAGATTCAGATTCCCTCCCAGCAAGGTGACGCTTGCACGAATAGGCAGGCAATCTGACGACCAGGCCTGCAGTCTTCTGTGCAAGGACAGTGTGCCACCCGCCCTCTGAGAGGCTGACGGTGCCAGGCCACAGCCATGGGTGCCTCTCTTCTGTCTCTGCAGAGAGTACTTCCGGGGCCTCTCCCTCCACACATTACCTTTTTGCTGTTTTTATATGTCTCGCATTTGCCCAGCATTTCCAGCCACTTGCTCTTTCTTTTTTTCTCCTGCCGAATTTGCTGCCAAATGAGGAATGTTGGAGTTAGCGGAGCTGCCAGGCTTCCCAGAGCCGCCCGTGGATGCTGGGTCTTGGGCTCTGGAGCCCTGGTGGGACCCAGCTGGAAGGAGCCAGGGAAGGGCAGACCCTAAGGGCTGAGAGCCTTTGAGCAAATGAGCGCCAGTGGGCTGGCTTTGGGACCCCAGGATGTGCCATCCTTAGGCCACAGACACACCAGTCTTAGGTCCCAGCCTCTAGGTGGGTTCCTGACACAAGCGGGCAGCCACCCCCAAGCCAGGACTGTGGTTCTCACTTTGGAATTTTATCAAACTGCCAAAGTTACAGCAACTGGGGTCAGGTCTCTGCTGCCCCTCCCAGTGACAGCGTGTTGCCCTCACCCGCCACCGCCCAGGCCAGCTGCTTCCTCTGCCTCACTGACCACCCGCCCAGTCCCTACGTCCCTGGACCAGCCCCTCCATGCATCAGGCTCTTACCTTTGCCTCCCGTGCAGTCACAGGAGGCAGCTCCGTCTCACTGTAAGGCAACTCAGGCAGAGCTGAGGACCTGCACAGGGCCTGGAGCCACCCAAGCCTGGGAGCCGACCCCCAGAAAGGACTGGCACTGTCCCTATCCAGCTCAGGGCTCAGCCCCGGAGAAGTCACAGGGAAGGGAGGACAAGGACCTTCCTGTGGGGCTGACTCCCAGGAGGGGCAGGACCTGGGAGAAGGAGTGCAGGGACAGCCTGGCTGGGGTTACTGGGGCCCTGGCATGGGGGGTGGTCAGGCTGCACAATGGGGCTGCGCGTCCTGGACTCAAGGTGGTGCTTTCTGCTGGAGCTGAGAAAGGTTAGCCCTGAGATGGGATGGGGGCCACCCAGGGTGGGCGACCGGGCCCTGACAGGAGTCCCTCAGGGAGTGACCACATCACCCCGCCAGGGTCAAGGGAGCCTGCCCTGAGACCTGCCCGGTGTACTCTGGGTGCACCAGGGGCCCATCCCACTTGACAGCCCCAAGGCTCTTGCAGGTTCTGACCTCCCAGCATCCACCTGCCTCTCCCTGCATCTGAGCCACACACCCTGCATTTCAGAAGTGGCACGGCTCATCAGCTCCCTCCCACCCTACCTCCCCCGGGATCCTCTGTCTCTGCATCCTATGATCCCCGAGGGATGGGCTCCTGGCTGGGCTCCTCTTACCTGGCCCCAGATCCCTTCCCAGCACCAGACCCAGGTCTTTAGCCACAAGCCCTGCTGCCTCTCTGGTCTCACCATGAGATGCCCAGAGCGGGGCCCTGCCCGTCTTCTCCCCCATTCTCTTTGGGCCAAAGCCCCCACTGTCCCCACACCTTTCCCCCTTCCCCATGGGGACAGTGAGGGCTGTAGTTCTAGGGAAATGGGGGAGGACAGGGGCAGGTGGGCTCTGAGAGACCTGCTGGACAGCAGCCCTGAGGCTGGGCCAGGTGTCTCCTCACCCTGTGGCCACAACCCTTGGATCTCACTGGGGTTGTCTCCTGGTAGACAGGGCCAGAACCTCAGGCTGCCCCGCTCCTCTTGTGCTAACTTGCCGACAGAACTGCTGAGAGCCCAGGGGCCTGGCCTAGCCCCCTCTCCATTCCCACCGGCTCCCTAGATGGGCCTTGCACCTCTGGCCTAACAACAATCTCGGGCTGGACCTGCAGGGGAGCCAGGGAGGAGTTCTGACCCTGGAAAAGAGGTTGGCCCGACCTGGCGAGACATGTCCTGCGTCAGAAAGGCCTTTCTAAAAGCAAACCCATCCCTGAGCTGAGACAGCTGCTTTAGGGGTGAGGGGAGCACAGAGGACTCACTGCAGAATCCCAAAGCGATCAACGCTGCTGTAGATTCCAACAGGTTCAGGCCCCTTGTCCTCTGGCAGCCCAGCTCGGTGTCCCTGTAACCCAGAGGGAGCCTTGGTGAGGGGTCCAAGGTAAAGGGTGCAAGGGCCTGGGGGTATTGGCCACCTGTCCCTGCCCTGTGCTCGGAGGGAACCCAGGACCCTTTGACCAGGGCGCACAGGAAAAGGCCTCCCTCCAAGGAGCAGACCGAACTGTACCTTCTGATACTTCATAATTATGTCCTCCCGCTCCTATGCCTGCACACTATCCGCGCCCTCTACCATGTCCATCCTGTGAGACAAAGTTGTCTAAAGGTTACACTGTACCCGACAGCTTCAGAGAACCCCTGAACTGCTCCCGCTGGGCTCCCAGATGCTGGCTGGTTGTATAACCTGCATTCCACCACTGCGCTCTGGTAAAAAGGGTCCAAACCCCGTGGCCCACACATCCATGGGTCTCTGCAGTCTGAAGCCCTAAGCAGGGGTGGGCATCTTCCCAAGGACTCGAGAAGAGTGGGACCTGGACAGAGAATCCCGTTGTCCCCATATGCCATGAAACGGGCACACACCTGCCCTGGCAGGTTGAATGGTGTCCACCTGCCAAGGGTGAAGAGCCTGTGATGGGCTATTCCAGGGATGTGGATGTGAACTGCGGTCAGGCACCAGAGGTCTCTGTACGATCGGCCTCCTGGGATGCTCAGGGCCACAGAGATGCCCAGTTTCCTATGAGGAACAAGATCTCTCCTGATTGCTCCGTTCTACCCCGCTCATCACTTGGGCTACCATGGCCCTTCAGTCTAACCAGTGAAGCTGCTTTAAGAATAACGCCATTTGAGCAGGAGTGTGTTTGGTTTTGGGGATGAAAATGATCTACTGTCTCCAAAGCAGCCACTGTGCTCATGGAAACCATGTCTCTCGGGGACGGACTGTGGACTCCACCATTCTGAGCTGTCCCTACAGGAGGGGGCTTCATGTTCCTGTGTCACTGATGTAGAAGAGTGGGTCCTTGCTCCTGGAGAACATCTAGATGGACCGTCCCTCCTGATAATACTCAGGGCAAAAGGAAAGCGAGGCCAGACAGAATAAGAAATACTTGGGGAGAACCCCAGTGCCCGGACCCCTTTGAACACAAGGGAAGTTAGTCTCCCCTCAGCCAGTCCTCCAGGGCTCCTTCACTTTCCACAACTGCCCAAGGGCAGAAGCCTCCCCATGCCACTCCCAGACAAGGGACTATGTGTGTCCAGTGGGTCCCACGGTGACCATCAGGACCCAGCTTAGGCCCCAGGTGTGTTCTGAGGACCCTTCCCTCCTCCCCACCCACAGTGGATCCATTCCAGTGTCTCTGCCAGGGCCAGGCTCTGCCCCATCGGGATCGGAAATCTGGGCAGATTTGGGATCTAGAGCAGGGAGGTCTCAGGGTTGAGGCCTGAAGTCTAGCACGGCACACAGCAGGGCTGAGAGCAGAATCCAGGGTCATGTCTGATTCCCAGGCCGGTTACCGCCTCTCTGACCCCAGATGTCTCACCTGTCGAATGGGTACATTTGGGAACAGCACCCACTCTACGAAGCCACCATGAGGACGAAAGAGAAGGGTCACTGAGCAGGTTTTTTCAGCTCTGAGCAGCTCTCCTTTTTCAGCTCTTGCCGCATCTCGGACTGTCCCAATGACAGCCATAGCAAGAAGAGATAAGAAACAAGACAAGTTCATGTTGTCCAGTTTTGAGGTCTTGAAAGAAGTTGCACCAGTATGAGAATAGTGGATCAGTTTTCTCTAGGATCCAGAAAGCATATCAGGCAGCCTTGGGGTGAGGAAAGGAGCCCGGCCTCTCCAGCAGCCACACAGGCCTGCAGTAGGATGGGGTTGGGGCTGGCCATGTGGATCACTTGGGCCTCATGAGGGGAAAGGAAATACCAGGGGGCAGAGGAGGAGCATGGGGGCAGCTGGTTGCCTAAGGAGAAGGCACCTCAGGGAAGGGGACTGTATTCGTTTGTTTTCACACTGCTATAAAGAAATACCTGAGATTGGGTAATTTATAAAGGAAACAGGCTTTATTGACTTGCACTTCAGGAAACTTGCAATCACGGCAGAAGGTGAAAGGGAAGCAGGCACCTTCTTCACAAGATGGCAGGAGGGAGTGAGTGGAGAACCAGTAAGTGCCACATTTTGAAACCATCAGCTCTCCTGAGAACTACCTCACTATCCGGGGAGCAGCACGGGGGAAACTGTCCCCAAATCCAATCCCCTCCTACCAGGTTCCTCCCTTGACACAGGAGAATTACAATTCCAGATGAGATTTGGGTGGGGACACAGAGCCAAACCTGTGAGGGTCTCAGTCTATCTTGCAGCTCCCCTGGGGCTGAGGCTGAGTACAGATCTGCTGGCCTCGCCCTATAGCACGCGAGGGCTCTGCCAGTGCACCCCCATCTGCTGCTTCCTAGGGATGGTGGTGACTTCCTCAAAAGGAGCGTGGATTTGCTCTCCTGCTGCCCCTGCAGGGCCTTGTGGAGCCCCGGCCAAGTTCTCCCAGGGTAAGGGCAGGAAACAGGCCTCCTTGCCCTTCTTGCTACTTGAGTGACAACCCTGGAGTCATCCCTAGGCCCCGTCACTGCCCCTGCTTCTAAACTGAGAACATTTTGGCAAATCTTCCTGGCAGAGGCTGGGGGCTCATCCCTGCTATCTGTCCTAGCTTGGTAAAGCTGGGTTAAGACATCTGGGCAAGCAGACAGTAGAGTGGACCCCAGGAAGGGTGGGTGGAGGGCGCTGGCCTTTGGGCTTCCCTGGACCAGGGTGGGAAGGAGGAAGTTTACCAGGAAATAGAGCTCTCAGGACTATGTTTAGGAGGAGGTGGTAATGCTGGTGGGGGGATGTCCATTCATCCATCCATTCATCCATTTTCTCCCCCCACCCCCCATCTCAGACTGTCCCCATGACAGTCCTAGCAAGAAGAGACAAGAAACAAGACAAGTTCACGTTGTCCAATTTTGAGGTCTTGGAAGAAGCTGCACCAGTATGAGAATAGTGGGTCAGTTTTCTCCAGGATCCAGAAAGTATATCAGGCAGCCTTGGAGTGAGGAAAGGAGCCCGGCTTCTCCAGCAGCCACACAGGCCTGCAGTAGGATGAGGCTGGGGCTGGTTTGGGGTGGAGGATAAGTGATAGCCAAGGTTTGTCAGCATGCAGAGGGGTGGCTGACTCATGGACTAGGGGCTGCGGAGCCCAGTGGTTGCCCTTAGTTCTTGGATCCTGGGAGACTTCTGGAGCCTGGATTTGGACAGCCTAGGGGTGGAGGTGGTGAGGGGCAGGGGTGGGGCGGGAGGAGAGGCCTTGCATGACAGGGTGCAGGGCAGGAAGCCAGCCAGGGACTGCTTTGCAGTGGCTGTTCCCATCCCCATTCCCACCCCCAAACCCACCCCTCCCCCCACCCTGGTGCGGGGTCGGTTGTGGGCAGGTGTCCTCTGCTTTGGCCTCAGCAGATCCCAAGAGGGAAGCTGGCAGCCACGTGGGCATGTCACTTGTGTCAGCTTTGTCCTGCAGTTTCTGCTTCCTGGAGCGTGGGGCGCCCACCCAGGAGAACACGGGCACACCCCACACCTCTCATTTTGAGGGTGCTGGGAGGTGGGGGACCTAGGTCCTGCAGCCCTGTGCTTGTGCCGTGAAACTTAGCCTAGGAGTCCCGTGTCCGCCCATCCACGTGGAGCCCCAGGAGCCTGAACAGTGGCATGCAGTGAGATGAGGAGGGAGAGAGAACTGGAAAAGGAGACAGAAAGAGATGTGGAGCAGGGAATGAGAGAGAGGAAGAGACAGAATAAGAAATACTTGGGGAGAAGTATTTCATCCCTCTGGGGTGCCATGACTCCTCCCTGCTATGGATGGAGGAAAGTGATTGATCTGCCGGAGACATGAAACCACATGATACTTCCTTCCACAATAAACTGGAGGGTCAAAACAGGCAAGAGTAGGTCCAGGTCTTCTAAAAGCCATACCTGAAATGTTTCCAATAACAGTTGATTTGGTGGTGGTAACTCAATCACACAAACAACCACAACAAAAGACACAACTATCAGAGATTTTCAGATAGCCTCAAAAACACCATCTAACATTAGAGAGTTCAAAAAGGCATGAAGTTTCAAAAAATTGAGCTTTATTTACATATCATTTGCATAAACTGGTAATTTAACAGTATGAATAAATTCTAGGGCAGAAGACAGTTTGGAGACCCCAGGGCACAAGTGCTGAGTTTGGAAGATTTGGTACTGTACCCTTTGAAGCCCTCACCTGGTCCCCGCACCCCTTGCCTGCCTGTTAAGAAGAGCCCGTACCAGGGAGCAAATCAGGGGCAAATAGCCCAGAAGCCCAGTAGTGGACAGACCTCCATGCCTGGAGGAGGAGGCCACCTCTGAGAGCAGGAGGAGCTGCCCGAACCCTTCCTCACAGCCTCCTTTTCCTGCTCTCAACACCTCCAGCTTGCAGATAGACAGCCCCAGCACCGGCAGAATGAAAAGGTCCTGAGGCAGCAGGGCTGTGGCTCTGGTAAATAAAAGAGGCCTCTCTTTAGTAAGGTAGAGGAGCTCAGACTGCACACCCTGGTCTCTGACACCAAGGCTCGCTCCATGCCCAGGACTAGGGGCAGCGTGGGAGCTGCTGGCTGGGGCCATGCTCGCAACCTCTTCTCTGCCACGTCTATCTCCAGCGATGCTCTCAGCTCCAGGGCTGAGCCCAGTGGCTACAGCAGGTGGCATGAGGTCTGGCAGCTTGTCGCTTTGCTGGTCTTTGGCTGTATCGGTGCAGGGCCCGGAGGACTCTGGAGCTACCTCTAGCTGCAGCACTGCCTCTGGATGGGGACTTCCCCATGCTGTGGG
Organism: Homo sapiens; assembly: GCF_000001405.40. Classification (NCBI taxonomy): domain Eukaryota; kingdom Metazoa; phylum Chordata; class Mammalia; order Primates; family Hominidae; genus Homo; species Homo sapiens. The sequence goes on along the minus strand of NC_000017.11, from coordinate 18,388,912 downwards.
CTGTGGCTCCATAGCGGGCACTGGAAGTTCCTCTCTCTCTGCACGTGCGGCAAGAGCTGAAAAAGGAGAAAGGGTCACTGAGCAGGTTTTCTGTGTCTGAGCCCCAGAGTTCAATCTCTGCTGACCAGACCCCCACTGACCAGACCCCTGAGCGGTGGTGTTCAGAGTCCCCTACCAATGGCCCTTCTCAGTCCACAGACCTCTCCCTCCCCTCATCAGCACCCACAGGTGACTGAGAGTCTTCTCGGGACCGGACCCCAACTCCAGGACACAGGGAGGGGCAGTTTGTCCCAGGCTCCGGGTGCTGAGCTTCACGCTTGTGCCACAAGGTCCTCTGGGCCATCTCAAAGGGGGCAGTGATGTGGCCTCACACATCTGGATGCACTGTCTGGGCCTATTCCTGAGCCACATAGCCAGAGGAACAGGAAGCTGTTTGTCAACCCAGGTACCCCACTCTGCTGGGTCTCCCAGGGTCCTTCCCATGGAGGCCAGATCCAGAGACACAGCACAGAGGCAGCAGGGTGACCGGCCCAGAACCCTTGAGACTAGGCTGGGGATGACAGGAGGACTGTCCCCAGACAACCAGAAGACCCTTTGCTAGTTTCTTGGTACTTCATTTCTCACCTGCTACCCTTACTCCACCAGAAATCCCCTTCATGCAGAGTCAATGAGGAGAGGAAGATGGACACAGAATCTGTGGAAAGAAAGAAAACAAAAGATGGGTGGGGAGAAGAGTTGGGAGTGTAACGTTGTAAGGGTCCTACACTATGGGTATTATTTGAGGGTTGGCTGTGATTAATTAAAGGTGTGCCTTGTAGACAACCATTACACACACTATAAATAAATTTTATATATATATACATATATATGTATATATATATATATGGAGAGAGAGAGAGAGAGACAGGGTCTTGCTCCATCACCCAGGCTGAAGTGCAGTGGCCCAAAACAGCTCACTACAGCCTTGACTTCCCAGGCTCAAGCAATCCTCCCCACCTCAGCCTCCTGAATAGCTGGGACTACATGTGTGGGCCCCCATGCCTGGCTGCTTTTGAAATGGTTTCTTGTAGAGACAGGATCTCGCCGTGTTATCCAGGCTGGTCTGGACCTCCTGCCCCCAGGCAATCCTCCAGCCTCGGCCTCTCAGAGTGTTGGGATTACAGGCATGAGCCACTGCACTCGGCTTACACATGTTTTTAAGAGGCATAAATACGAAGGTCAGTGTTGTCATGAGGTCAGGCAGGGGTGGGCAAACTATGGCCCACAATCCAGATGAAGCCCCCCTCCTACTGTGAATAAAGGTTTATTGGAGCCACAGTTCCTCCCCTGTGTTCACTTCTTGTCTGGGGCTGCTTTGGGGCTGCAGTGGAAAGCTGAGTAACTGCTGAGTAGGTGCAACAAAGACCACAGGGTCCACGAAGCCCAAGATGCTTACTACCAGGTCCTTTGCAGAAAAATCTTGCTGAGCCCTGGGGAGGGGCCAGGTGGCACCAGGGAGGCCATTGGGGAGGCTGGTACAGTAATCCAGGTGAAAAATGAAGGGAGCTCAGATTAAAGCGGTCATGACAAATGGCTGGAATCAGGATATATTTTGGGGGTATGACCAATATATGGATAAAATGGACAGTATTTAGAGTTTCAGATTTTCTTTCTGCCAAAGGATCCCTTTCTTAAACAAAAAAATTATACAAAAGATCAATTAAAAAACTGACCAGGCCAGGCGCGGTGGCTCACACCTGTAATCCCAGCACTTTGGGAGGCCGAGGCGGGCAGATCATGAGGTCAGGAGATTGAGACCATCCTGGCTAACATGGTGAAAGCCCGTCTCTACTAAAAATACAAAAAAAAAAATTAGCCATGCGTGGTGGCGGGCACCTGTAGTCCCAGCTACTTGGGAGGCTGAGGCAGGAGAATGGCATGAACCCAGGAGGTGGAGCTTGCAGTGAGCAGAGATCAGGCCACTGCACTCCAGCCTGGGCGACAGAGCAAGACTCTGTCTCAAAAAAAAAAAAAAAAAATTAACCAAAAATCATGTCAACAAGATTATTTGTGTGATTGAAGCTGGGGTTGAGCCTAGGCACCCTAACACCTTTTCAGCACCCCTAACACCCCGGCTGTTCCAGAAGCACCCTATAGAGCCCCTTGGGTTCAAGCAGAACTTGAAACCACAGATTGGAAGGAATAGAAATCTGCGTATCTTTCACACAAGCCGTAACATTCTAAGCTGCATCTTTGCAGCACACTGACATGGGGCTACTTCACCCACAGCCGGCAAGCAACTGCACCAGTGCTGGGATTTGTGTCCACCGTTATAAGAAGGCAGCTGCTTGCATGAGGCATGGCGGTGAGGAAACAATGCCACCCGGATTTCACCATTGGCCGTGTGGACTGGCTGTACCATGGGCCAGACGCATGTCTTGGGCAGACACTTTTTAGATGCCAACTTGCCTGTAGACAAAGATGACGCAGAGGTGGCCTCAGGGAGGGCCTATGTGGTGGGTTGAATTTGTCCCCTGAAATTCCTATGTTGATGTCCTTAGCCCCAGTGCCTGAGAATGTGATCTTATTTGGAGACAGCGTCTTATGGAAATAAGTTAAAATGAAAAATGAGATCAGTAGGGGGTGCCCAATTCAATATGACTGATGTCCTTATAAAAGGGCAAATTTGGACACAGAGACATGCATAGAGGGAAGACCAGGTGAAGAGACACCGGGAAGGCCACCTACACGCCAGGAGAGAGACCTGGAACAGAGCCTTCCCGCACCGCCCTGGAAAGGGACTTTCCCTGCCGACACCTTGATCTTGGACCTACAGCCTCCAGGACTGTGAGACAGTGAGATTCTGTTGCTGAAGCTGCCCAGTCTGTGGTACTTTAAGGAAGCCCTAGCAAACCAATGCAGCCTGGTAGCCCACAGCTGGTGAAAAGATGGAATGAGCGATGGAGACTCAGGCTTCCTGTCTATACCTCCCAAAGTGCACTATGGGATCTTTTGCTGGGTGTAGGTTTGCAAGATAGTTCTGGCCAGGGTGGGGACGGCGGGGTGCAGGGTGCATAATTTCAGTGTATATTATCATATGTTTATCTTACTGTGTAAATGCTTGTAAGAACAGTTAACCAACTTAAAGTTTATATGCTACTCAAGATACAGGTTTAAATGCTAATAAAAATGGATGCAAATGAAAACACTGTCCTGCTGTGGTCCAGGGAATCTTGATCTTTCCTTCAGAGAGACTTGCAGCTTTGAGCAGGAGCTGCCCTTTCCTTGCTGCCTACTGCATGCTCCCACAACACACATGCACACACACATGCCTTTGCACACAGCTGGACACACGCATACTGTGCTTCATGCCCTCATTAAGGAGGCACAGAAGGGAATGTATCTGTTAGGAAATGAAGACGGCTCAACTCCCTGGTTCCCTGGGTGTTTGCACAGGTGCCCTCTGTGCAGACCATTCTTTGGTCTCTTTCTTCTCTTAGTGAAGGGAGAAGCAGAGCCCCAGTGGGTACCCGGCTACTTTGGGCCCAAGCCAAGGTCACAAGCTTCCTTGGGAGCCTGGTGAGATGGGGGCACCACTGGTCCTCCCGAACCGAGGGGGCAGCGTTCAGTGGAGCCATGAGCCCAGGAAGGTGATAGACAGGATGACTCAGTTCATTAGAAACAACCAAAATCCAGTGAGGAAGGGCAGCCCTCAAAGGTTTTATTCTCCAGGAGGAAGGACTCTCAGGGGCTGCGAGCAGCAGGCACGAGGGCTTTATTGCACCTGCAGTTAGGTGATGGTGACCTACAACTGCACCGGAAACTGGGACCCAGAGTGCCCCGACCTCCTGCTCTGTCTCTCTCTCCCTCTCTCCCTTTCTCCCCCTCTGCCTCTCTGGCTTCTCTGTCTCTCTTGTCATCTCTTGCCCCTTTCCCCATCTCTGTTTCTCTCTCTCTGCTCTCTCCATCCTCCTCTCCCTCTCAGCCTCCTCTGTCTCTCCCCCATCTCTTTCTACCCATCTTTCGCTGCTGCCTCCTCTGCAGACGAGCTGAAGCCAGTGAGTGGGAGGAGCACCACCCAATCCATCCACAGAGAGCTGAGGCTGGGCCCCAGAGAACCGGGTGGTCCAAGGGAGGCCCAGTGCCCCCTGCACCACACCCACTGGAAAAGGAAGCCCCAGCTCTATTCTGTTTTGTTTTAACAGACAGGGTCTTGCTCTGTCACCCAGGCTAGAGTGCAGTGGAGTGATCACAGCTCACTGCAGCCTCGACTTCCCGGGCTCAAGTGATCCTCTCACCTCAGCCTCCCAAGTAGCTCTGACTACAGGCATGCACCACTACATCCAGATAATTTTTGTATATTTTTTGTAGAGACAGGATTTCGTCATGTTGCCCAGGCTGGTCTCCAACTCCTGGGCTCAAGTGATCCACCCGCCTCGGCCTCCCAAAGTGGTAGGATTGCAGGCATGAGGTATTGCACCAGGATTTTTTTTTTTTTAAGACAGAGTCACAGTCTGTCACCCAGGCGGGAGTGCAGTGGTGTGATCATGGCTCACTGCAGCCTCAAACTCCTGGGCTCAAGCAATAGGCACGAGCCACCATGCCTGGCTAGTTTTTATTTTTATTTTTTATAGAAACAAGATCTCCCTATGTTGCCCAGGCTGGTCTGGAACTACTGGGGTCAAGCAATTCTCCTGGCTCGGCCTCCCAAAGTGCTGGAATTACAGGTGTGAGCCACCACACCTGGCCCCCATGAAATATTTATACCACAGATATGCTGTATACAGCTTAGGTGCTGTATGTGGATCTGTACTTCATGCATAAAAACAGTTACTTTTCTGCCATTAAGAACGAATTTTCACCCCCCTGGGAACGGCTTCACCCTGTTGAGAATGTGCCCATGCCTTTCCTTCCCTCTGGGACCGAGTGGCAACCACACAGCTCTATTTTATTTTATTTTTTAGGTGGAGTCCCTCTTTGTCACCCAGGCTAGAATGCAGTGGACCATTCTCGGCCCACTGCAACCTCCGCCTCCTGGGTTCAAGCGATTCTCCTGCCTCAGCCTCCTGAGTAGCTGGGATTACAGGCGCGTGCCACCACCTCTAGCTAATTTTGGTATTTTTAGTAGAGACAGGGTTTCACCATGTTGGCCAGGCTGATCTCGAACTCCTGACCTCAAGTGATCGGCCAGCCTCAGCCTCCCAAAGTGCTGGGATTACAGGTGTGAGCCACCGCGACTTGCCAGCTCTGTCTAGTTGAGAGGTGCAGTGCCTCTCCTGTGGGCCGGTGTGCTGTGGGACCTCCCGCCCTGCCGCCCTGCCGCCCTGCCGCTGCCCGAGGGCTCACCCGGCTGTAGTCCTCCACGTGCTGGAGCTGGGTCTCCTGGCAGATGCACAGGTTCAGGAAGTTCTGCCACTCCATCTTCAGGGCCTCCTGGTGGGCCTGGGTACCGCAGCACGGAGCCCTCGGACCACGCCCCGCCCCCGCACCCACGTCCACCCCCCCCTTCCCCGCCCACCACGTCCCTTCTCACTCTCGCCCTGCCCCCAGCGCACCTGGATGGGCCCCACCGCGGGGTGCCGCAGCTCCACCATGCGCTTGCCGTCCTCCTCCAGCTGGTTTACGCTCTGCTCCTGGCTCAGCAGCTCGTGCTGCTTGAAGTGCTGGGGGCGAGTCGGGTGGGGAGCGGCGGTGAGGACCAGGATGGCCCTGGTCGCCCCCGCCTGGCCCCAACCTCTGCCAGCCGACCTCGTATTCCCGCCGCACGCCCGCAGGGTCGGCCATGAGGTCGCTCCAGTCCTGCTGCAGGATGCGGCGCTGCTGCTCCGCCAGGGCGCTCAGCTGCCACGTGCAGCCCTGCAGTGCGTGTACAGGCTGCCCAGGCTCTGCCCGCGCCACGACGCCGCCCTCTGTGCTCAGGACCCGCCGCCAGCAGCAGGGTGGGGAGAGAGAAAGTGGGGGGCAAAAGGCGCCATTGGGCGGCGCTCAGGAACACTGGCCCCGGGCAGGGTCCGGGCGGCCACCCAGGCCCACCTGCAGCCACCCTGCCCGACCCTCCCTCCTGCTCACCAGTAGGTCTCGGTATTGGCTCCGGATGGTGGCGGCATCCTGCCTTGACCAAGGGGAGAAACAAGCCCGTGAGAGGTGGGGCACAGGGAGACGGCCCCCTAAGATCTGGGCAAGCCATACCCCACCCACCCCTATCCCCAGGGCCCAGCCGATCTAGCTCCGGCTCTGACTGGAAAAACAGGGGCTGGGGCTGGCCCCGGATGTAACATCTTCCCGGCTCACCCACCGGCCCCACCAGGCTCCGCAGCTGCTCTCCTTGGTCGTTGATCTCCTTCTGCACGATGTTGAGCTCCGCGATCTGTTCCTCCAGCTCCGCCATGCCCGGCCCATACTGGCCTGCGCAGACCAGCTTCTGCAGGAGAGCCGGCGGCTCAGTCACCACAGGACCAGGGTGGAGAGCCAGAGAACCCCACACGTCTCCCACCCGGAGAAGTGGACTTGGTCATTTGGGCAGAGCGTGGACGAGCCTGAGAGCAGCCCGGGTGCACGCCCTGCAGCTCACCCAGGGTGAGCCATTCTGCTCTGCAGGGTGGCCACTGCAGAGGCCATTCTGCAGTGGCCCCTGAGTCCCACTGGTTCCCAGACGCTGGGCTCAGCCTCAGAAGTCTCCAGCTCCATCCTGCCTTGTCTGTGACCCAGCCTCAGTGCTTCCTGCCTGGACACCTCCAGCCAAGCTCTAGGGCCCTCAGAACGCCCTGCTGCACCCGGGCCCTTCCCCACTGTTCCTCTATTGTCATGATGACACCCCTTCTGTGTGGCATCAAAGCACAACTCCTCAACCAGGGATCAGAATGCCCCATGTCCTGGCTCTGCCCACCTGGCCAGAAATCCCCACTTCCCATCGAATCCTAGGCTTCCTCCTGGCAGGTGCCTTTGCTCCTTCTTTCTGGAATTGTCCTCTCCTCACTACTTCACCCTGACCCAACCGAGCCCTCTCACCCCTCTGAGGTCTCTTCATGTGCCTCCTCCTACAGGAAGTCTTCCCTGACTGCACTGTCTCCTCTGCTGTCTCCCTGCCCAGACCCCTGAGACACCACTATACACTGACTGTTCAAGCCTACAGTCAGGCCCTGGGTTAAATGCAGTTCCGTATCACCCTCTGATCACACTGGGGTGTGACTTTGAGCTCCTGACCTGTTTCTGCTCCAGCACGTGTGCCCAGTCGACCTTGGATCCCACGTCGGGGCGGCAGCACCATCTTCTCGTACAGGGCACAGTACTCCGCACACTCCTGGGTCACCCGCTCGTGCAGCTGCTCGATGCTGTCAAGAAGGTGGCCAGCAGGTCAGGGCTGGGCCTGGGTCTTCCCCAGGGACCCCCAGCCCTGCCGCAGCCCCACTCACTCCTTCTCAGTCTCCTCAGCCTGCGGGTGCTTGAGCCGCCGGGCCTTGTCCACGTCCAGGAAGAGGTCCTTGAGCAGCACCTCGGCCTCCTTCAGGCTGCTGCCCGTCTCCTGCTGGTGCTGCAGGGCCTGGCTCTGCTCACTGTTCAGCCGGTCCTGTGGGCAGGGGATGGGCAGACTTGCCAGGGTCCAGAGCCCCCACACCCCTGCTGCCCATCATTGTGGGCCTGAGCCCCACCTTTGGGACCCCAGCTATGCTGGCCAACCTCGAGGCCCACGCCAGGCACAGGGTCAGGCCCAGGGCGTCCATGAGGCAGGTGACAAAGACACAGGGGAGCCCAGCAAAGAAGGAAGTTGAGCCCTCTCTCCCACCGTGTGTTAGGGGACAGGCGGTGCAGGACAAATGTCATCTGTCCCATCTTCACCATCACCAGGGGGCACTCAGGGAGTGCCAGGCCTGATGATGGGCCTCCCATGCCACCCAGCCTGCCCACACCCTGCCAACTGCTGCCGGGTTCTCACCTGCTGCAGCCTCTTCTGCGTCTCCAGGATGTCCCGCTCCACCTGGTCGGCGCTGGCTTGCATGTGGGAGATGAGCAGGGTCAGCTCCTGGGTGGCATTCTTGGTGGGTGGAGGGGACAGTGGGCAGCTCGGTGGAAGAGGCCCCTCTGTGCCCCATCCAGGTGGCGTCCCCTGCCCTCTCTCCACCCCATCCCGCCCCCACAGCCTAGCACACTGCCCTGACTTTGGGGTCTCTCTCTGCAGGAGGCTCTGTGAGCTAGACCTGGTTGGGGGTGTTAGCACTGCCCCGCCACATGAGGGGTCAAAAGGTGAGGGTCTCAGGTCTGTGTGGTGCTGGGTGTCAGGCGGCCTCGGTGTCCCAGCCTCAGCCAGCTGTGCTGGCAGTGAGTTCCCGACCCCACCCAGCTGCCTGCCACTTCCCCCCTGTGAGCCGGTAGTACCTGAGCCAGCCTGGCTGGGCCCTGGGAGGGGCAGTTGGGCTGGCTGGGGCAGGGAGGCAGCAGCATGCCCCCCACCCCCACCTCCTCCCACTCCAGCCCTGTGTTCCCCTATACCTCCTCCACCCCAGGGAGCTTTGCCAGAGTGCTGGCTTCAGCAGCCGTCTAGAGGAGCCTCACACTGTCAGAGTCGGGGAGCGGGGGCAGGCGCAAGAGACTGCTGGGCACCCTAACATTCTCCAGAGTTGAGGGTTCAAAGCCCAGATTGTGCCCTAACTTGCTCTGAGTTACGTGGTCAGGGACGGAGGGGAAACCTTGCTTCCACCCCAGGGCTTTTTCTGTGCATTCGCCCTGCAGCCTCCATAGAGCACCTGCTGTGTGCATGCAGTCACTCTGTGGAGGTCACAAGGCCAAGCAGACCTAAAAGAGGGCAGATTGGTCCAAGCCTTATGAGCACAGTGCCTTATGGGGGATCATTATCCTGGGGCAGGGGAAGCCTTGAACTGGGTCAAAGGATGGGCCCCCCCAGGCAACGGGACAGTGCTGGTGAAGGCACAGCAGTCTGGAAGAACTCTGTGGCCAAGACAGCCTGGTTTCATCTTTCTCCATCATTAATGCTGTGTGACCTTGGGCAAGTTACTCAACCTCTCTGTGCCTGAGGTTCCTCACTCGTAAAGCAGGATTTTAATAAAAATATCTATGCCTTAGGGCTATTGTGAGCATTAATTGAATTTATCTGTCTGAAACATCCAGTGCAGGCCTGGTGCAGAGTCGGCACCCAGCACGTGTTAGTTTTTATCCCACTAGAGGGCTAGTGCCTTGAAGGCAGGGGCCTGTTGGTTCTGTCTACAGCGACATCTCCAGTGCCTAGAACAGTCCTGGCATGCAGTAAGTGCTCAGTAAGTTCATGTCAAACGAGTGGATCGCACGTGAGGTGATCCAGAGCCAACAGGGCCCTGAGGACTGAGCTGCCCCAGGCCAGGAGCACACTGCTGGGGAGCCTGCCTGGACAGTGGGAGCTGCAGGTGCTGGGCCCTGGGCACTCCTGCTCAGGTCCCGCCTCCTGGGATGGCTGCTCCCACCAGGAGCTGCACACTCCACCCTGGGTGGGGCTCAGGTGCCCCAGGGAGGACAGGTCACTCAGTGAGAGTGTTAGCTGAGAGTCTTAACCACTGTCTTTCCCGTCGGCCCAGACGCCCAGACTCGGTGTCTGTTGGTGCCTTGATCCCTATCGGGGTAATGGGCACCCCCACTCCCACACCAGCTTTTCATCCCTGAGCTTATCTCGACACCCTGGACCCAGGCGGGCTGCTGCCTCCTCTGCAGATGAGCTGAAGCCAGTGAGTGGGAAGAGCGCCACCCAATCCATCCACAGAGAGCTGAGGCTGGGCCCCAGAGAACCGGGTGGTCCAAGGGAGGCCCAGTGCCCCCTGCACCACACCCACTGGAAAAGGAAGCCCCAGCTCTATTCTGTTTTGTTTTAACAGACAGGGTCTTGCTCTGTCACCCAGGCTAGAGTGCAGTTGAGTGATCACGGCTCACTGCAGCCTCGACTTCCCGGGCTCAAGTGATCCTCTCACCTCAGCCTCCCAAGTAGCTCTGACTACAGGCATGCACCACTACATCCAGATAATTTTTGTATATTTTTTATAGAGATGGGATTTCGTCATGTTGCCCAGGCTGGTCTCCAACTCCTGGGCTCAAGTCATCCACCCGCCTCAGCCTCCCAAAGTGGTAGGATTGCAGGCATGAGGTATTGCACCAGGATTTTTTTTTTTTTTAAAGACAGAGTCACAGTCTGTCACCCAGGCAGGAGCGCAGTGGTGTGATCATGGCTCACTGAAGCCTCAAACTCCTGGGCTCAAGCAATAGGCATGAGCCACCATACCTGGCTGTTTTTTATTTTTATTTTTTTTATAGAAACAAGATCTCCCTATGTTGCCCAGGCTGGTCTCAAACTCCTGGGCTCAAGGAATCCTCCCGCATTGGCCTCCTAAAGTCAGGGATTATAGGCGTGAGCTACCGCGCCCAGCCATGAACCCCTAACTCTTCAATACAACAAGGCCCTGGGTGAGAGCTCTGGGGAGGGCTCTGGCTTAGGCAGGAGGCAGCACAGCCCCTGCATCCCTACCCCAGGGATCCCACCCCACCCCCTCAGTCCTCATGCCCTGCACCCAGGCTCCAGGGGTCATCCCAGCCAAGTAGAGCCTTGGGGCAGAGCTGCAGTCACACAACCAGGCTCTCCTGTGTCCCAGCCTCTGGCAGAGGAGGGCATCAGTGCAGGCTCCTGTCCGGCACTTCTCCCGCTGAGCAGCATCAATCTGTGGCCCACAGGCCCCCTTAGAGGATGTAGGGAGCCCCAGGCCATCCCCTGCCTCCTGCCAGGGCTGAAGTTCGGCCTGGGCCTGCGGCTCCCAAGGCAGGGAGAGAGTCCACCCCTGGGCCCTTTGTCCTCGGGACACCAAATGCCAGCACGGGGCTGGTCCTGGGCTCTGGGCCGCCGCCAGGTGGCTCAAGGACCTGGGCCTGGCACCACCCCCACCCTAGCTCCCTGGCTCCCCATCCCCTAGTCCCACTCACCAGCTGTGCTTGCTGGGGGAGCCTTTGGGGGACCCCTTGGCTGGGGAGTCCTTGGGGGACCCCTTCCCCTGGGAGCCTTTGCTCAGTCCCTTGAACATGGTCATAAAGGCAGGTGCTGGCTCAGGCTGGGCTTGGCTGGTGAAGGAGGGCAGGAGGGCAGGTGGGAGGCAGCGGGCGTCCTTGCTGGCTGGTCAGCTAAGTCTGGCAAGGTGGGGCGGCTGGGCATTGGGGAAGGGAGTTTCTGGGAGGCCCCTCCTTGCAGGTGAGGCAGCAGGCGGCCAGGCCCCAGGCCTGCCGCGCATGCACCCACAAAAACCACACTCATGCCTGCTCTTGCATAACCAGTCTGGGAGGAAAGGGCACAGCCTTGAGGGTGGGGCCGAGCCTGCCCGACTCCCACAGAAGGTTTGGACTTGTTACACCCACATGCCCAGGGGAGCGCGGTGGCGATTACACCCAGATAGGGAAGGAGCTGGGCCAGGACAGATGGGTCTGGAGACAGACGTGCACATGCAGGCGCAGGCTCAGCGGAGAGGCCCCAGCTCTGGAGCTCAGGATTAATAAACATCTCCAGCCAGCTCAGAGGCCCTGCTGCCAGGCTGGCCCCCACCCACAGCTCTCAATCCCCCAGGAGAGGAGGGGGTGTCCTGCCAGCCCAGGGCCTGGCTCTGTGTTCTCCACTGACATGATGGGGCAGCCAGGGGACGTTCACTCCAGACAACTGGCACAAGGTCCATTTTTTTTTTTTTTAAGAGACAAAGTCTTGCTCTGTCACCCAGGCTGGAGTGCAAAGGCACGATCTCGGCTCACTGCAACCTCTGCCTGCCGGGTTCAAGCGATTCTCCTGCCTCAGCCTCCCAAGTAGCTGGGATTACAGGTGTCCGTCACCACGCCCAGAAAATTTTTGTATTTTTAGCAGAGAAGGGGATTCACCATGTTGGCCAGGCTGGTCTGGAACTCCTGACCTCAAGTGATCCACCCGCCTTGGCCTCCCAAAGTGCTGGGATTACAGGCATGAGCCACCATGCCCGGCCCCATTTTATAAAGTGTGCACAGTGCAGCAGCACCAGGGCTGGCTTCAGGTGCCACTAAGCCTGGGCTCTGGCTGAGGCCCGGGAGCCCGATGCACTTGGCTTTTCCTACCTGCCTCTTCCCCCACCCAGAAATGGCCCCTGGTGGCTTTTATGAAGTCAGATTGAGTGGCAGAGAGTGATGCCAGCTTATTGGTCTTTTCCTCACACTGGGGACCAGGGCTGCTGCCTTTTCCTTCTGTGGTGACCCTCAGCGTCTTCAAGAAAGGGGCGATGGGACCCCCCTTTCCAGGCGCTCATTTTACTGGCCCAGCGTAACAGGCCCCTTCTGCAGAGGTGGCGTCGCTTTCCAGGTCATTCCTGAAATCCCCGTGGTTTTAGTGGAAGGAGGGCTTGAGGGGGAGCCAGGGGATGGAACAGGCGGACTGGGTGACATCACCTGGTCATCCTGGCAGGCCTCGCTGAGGACAAAACAGCCTGGCAGGAGAGAAAGGTCCCAGCAGATGGGGGAGACCAGGGACCGACACCTGATACTGGCCTCAGGCCCCCATGGGATAGAAAAGGCCTGTGCCCTTTTTGGGTGAATCTCATGGGAAGCTCCTGAACTCGGCCATGGAGAGGGGATGCAGTAAACCCCCATTCCTAGAGGTGGAGGAGCTGACAGGGGCAGTGGGGGTGGGGAGGGCAGCAGAGGCCCCTGACAGCAATGAGGAAACAAAGTGGTCTCCAGTGTCCTCAGCTCCCGGCCCATGTCTTGAGTGAGATGCCAATAGAGATGACTGGCCACTCAGCCTCTGCCCCAGCCTGCTCCCACTTTATTCCTGGTGACACTTGTCTTCTAACCACTCATTGTACGCCTGCAATCAACTGTCTTCAGAAAGGAGCCGTTTGTGTGAATGACTATGGGGGCCAACGCCAGCCTCACCCCTGGCCTCCCTGACTCACCTTTTCTTTTCTTTTTTTTTTTTTTTTTTGAGACAGAGTCTCGCTCTGTCTCCCAGGCTGGAGTGCAGTGGCACCAACTCAGCTCACTGTAACCCCTGCCTCCCAGGTTCAAGCAATTCTCCTGTCTCAGCCTCCTGAGTAGCTGGGACTACAGGTGCACACCACCACACCCAGTTAATTTTTGTATTTTTAGTATAGATGGGGTTTCAGCATGTTGGCCAGGCTGGTCTCGAACTCCTGACCTCAGGAGATTCGCCCACCTCAGCCTCCCAAAGAGCTGGGATTACAGGCGTCAGCCACCGAGCCCGGCTGCTTCACCTTTGAGCTTGGCCCCTCCCTGGGAGGTGGCAGTCATTGGAAGTGGGGCCCTGGGGAGAGGAAGGGAGAGGGAGAAGAGGAAGTCAGAGCGAGACAACATGAGGAGGACAATACTTGCCTTTGCTGAGTCTGAACAGGGAGGAAGGGCCCACAAGCCAAGGAATGCTGGTGGCCTCTAGAAGCTGTAATAGGCAAAAAAAAAAGAAAAAGAAAGGATTCTTCCCTAGAGCCTCCAGAATAAATGCTGCCTAGCTTACACCTCGATTTTAGTCCAGTGAGACCCATTTCCGATTTCTGACATCAAAAACTGTAAGTAATGAAAACTGCATTATTTTAAGCCACCAAGTTCATGGTAATTTGTTACAACAGCAATAGGAAATGTATACAGTGGGTCATGGAGCCTGGGGTGTGAAGTAGAGGAGAGGGAAGTCGGATTATTTGGCTAGGCTTCATGTTAATGAAAGAGGTTACAGCAGTCATTCCAATTGAGGTAGTATTCTGTTGCTGGATCACCACACCTGTAGGGTATTGTGAACTGGAATGCCATTCTAACAATTATACTTATTTTATAAAACACTCCAATATATTGTGTTGTATATTTTGTGTAACAGGTGTTAAATTTAGTCGATGTAAAAAATTAAAATAATCTTTATAATCTTTTTTTTTTTTTTTTTTGGAGACAGAGTCTCGCTCTGTGGCCCAGGTTGAGTGCAGTGGCACCATCTCGGCTCACTGCAACCTCTGCCTCATGGGTTCTCCTGCCTCAGTCTCCCGAGTAGCTGGGACTACAGGCGCATGCCACCACACCTGGCTAATTTTTGTATTTTTAATAGAGATGAGGTTTCACTGTGTTGGCCAGGCTGGTCTTGAACTCCTGACCTCAGGTAATCCACCCACCTCAGCTTCCCAAAGTGTTTTTTGTATTTTAGTAGAGACGGGGTTTCACCATGTTGGCCAGGCTGGTCTTTAACTCTTGACCTCAAGTGATCCACCCACCTCAGCCTCCCAAAGTGCTGGGATTACTGGTGTGAGCCACCGCACCCGGCCTAATCTTTAAAACACAAACGAGGCTGAGGTGGGAGGATCACTTGAGTCCAGAAGTTCAAGACCAGTCTGGGCAACATAGCAAGACCCCATCTCCACAAAAAATTTTCAAAATTACCTGGGCATGGTGGTACCTACCTGTAATCTCAGCTACTTAGGAGGCTGAGGTGGGAAGATCGTCTGAGCCTCGGGGGTTGAGGCCGCAGTGAGTCATGATCATACCACTGCATTCCAGCTAGGCGACAGACTGAGATTTTGTCTCAAAACCAACAAACAAAACACACACACAAACAACACAAATTATCATTTTATCATTCTGGTGATTGGAAGTGCAAAACGAGTTTCACTGGGCTAAAACGAAGGTGTCGGTAGGACTGCATTCATTTTGAAGCTCTAGAGGAAATCATTTCTTTGCCTTTTCCAGCCTTTAGAGGCCACTTATACTGTCTGGCTTGTGGTGACGTCCTCAGCCTTCAAGACCAGCTATCGTATCACTCTAATCTGCAGTTCCATCATCCCATCTCCCCCCTGACTCTTCTCCTTCTTCTTCATCTGTTCAGGAATCCTGTTCTTAACATTGAGCCCACCTGAATTATCCAGGATATTCCCCTTATTTTAAGATCTGTAATTGAATCACATCTGCACAACCCCTTTTGCCATATAAGTAACATATTCATTCACAGGTTCCGGGGATTAGGAACATCTTTGGGAGGCCATTATTGGGTGGACATCTTTGGGAGGCAATTATTCAACTACCACATGAATTTTTTAAGGTTTGTTTTTTTGTTATCTCCTTATTGAGCTTTTAAGAATTTTTTTTTTTTTTTTTTTTTTTTTTTTTTTTTGTGAGATGGAGTCTCACTCTGTCTCCCAGGCTGGAGTGCAGTGGCGCAATCTCGGCTCACTGCAAGCTCCACCTCCCGGGTTCACATCATTCTCCTGCCTCAGCCTCCCAAGTAGCTGGGACTACAGGCGCCCGCCACCATGCCCGGCTAATTTTTTGTATTTTTAGTAGAGACGGGGTTTCACCGTGTTAGACAGGATAGTCTCAATCTCCTGACCTCGTGATCCGCCCACCTCGGCCTTCCAAAGTGCTGGGATTACAGGCATGAGCCACAGCACCCGGCCAATTTTTGTATTTTTTAGTAGAGATGGGGATTCACCATGTTGGCCAGGTTGGTTTCAAACTCCTGACCTCAAATGATCCACCCACCTCTGTCTCCCAAAGTGCTGAGATTACAGGCATGACTCACCACGCCCGGCCTTTTTTTTTTTTTTTTTTTTTGAGATGGAGTATCTGTTGCCCATGTTGGAGTGCAGTGGTGCTATCTCGGCTCACTGCAGTCACCACCTTCTAGGTTCAAGCAATTCTCCTGCCTGGGCCTCCCAAGTAGCTGGGATTACAGACACCAGCCACTGCCCAGCTAATTTTTGTGTTTTTAGTAGAAACAGGTTTTTGCCATCTTGGCCATGCTGGTCTCGAACTCCTGATCTCACGTGATCTGCCCACCTCAACCTTCCAAAGTGCTGGGATTACAGGCATGAGCAACGAGGCCAGCCCTGCCCCTACTTTTTCTTTCTTTTTTTTTTGAAATGGAGTCTTGCTCTTGTCACCCAGGCTGGAGTGCAATGGTACAATCTTGGCTCACTGCAACCTCTGCCTCCTGGGTTTAAGTAATTCTCCTGCCTCAGCCTCCTGAGTAGCTGTGATTACAGGCATCTGCCACCACACTGGCTAATTTTTGTATATTTAGTAGAGATGGGGTTTCACCATGTTGGTCAAGCTAGTCTCGAACTTCTGACCTTAGGTGATCCACCTGTCTCTGCCTCCCAAAGTGCTGGGATTACAGGTGTGAGCCACTGTGCACACCCAGCCCCTACTTTTTCTTACCACAAAGAATCCAGTCCAAGTATGAAGCCAACCCATGGGGGAGGGCAGAGTTGAAAGAACAGTTCCAAAATGGAGTCGAAGCCCTGATCAAGCAATTCCTGAATTCCAGTGATAACAACTAGAATTTTCCAGTTACCTGAGGCAATAAATTATCTTTATTATTTAAAACAGGTTTGTTTGTTTGTATATTTACAGAACACATTTACTCTGCTATGTGTCTGGAACTGTTTTAAACACTTTACACATGTTAATTCATTCAAACTTACAAGAACCCAGTGAGGTAGGTCCATTTATTCATATTTTACACATGAGCAAACTGAAATGGAGGGACATTAAGCAACTTACCACCATCAATAGCTAATGTATGTTAGAATTGGGTTCTGAACTGACTCACCTTGGCCACTGAGTTCCTGCTCTTAATTATCACACTGCTTTTAAGTGGGTTCTCCAGTGGCATACCCTGAATTAGTAATTTGATACAAGTAGTTTATTTGGGAGATGATCTTTTTTGTTTGTTTGTTTTGTTTTGTTTTTGAGGAGTCTCACTCTGTCACCCAGGCTGGAGTGCAGTGGTGCGATCTCGGCTCACTGTAACCTCTGCCTCCTGAATTTAAGAGATTCTCCTGCCTCAGCCTCTTAAGTAGTTGGGATTACAGGCACGCACCACCACGTTTGGCTAATTTTTGTATTTTTAATAGAGACAGGGTCTTACCATGTTGACCAAGCTGGTCTCCAACTCCTGGCCTCAGGTGATCCACCCACCTTGGCCTCCCAAAGTGCTGGGATTACAGGCGTGAGCCACTGCCTGTGGCCTTGGGAGATGATCTTGAGAAACAGTGACAAGGGAGTAGGATGGGGAAAATAGTCACCAACAGCATTGTTATCAAGTAAATTACTGCTACAGGTAACTGGGTCTTAATCCTGTCGAGGAATTCTGGGAGACAGGGTAGAACACATGTGTTATCTGTTGACGCTTAATGAACCACCCCAAACTTAACGGATTTTTTTTTCTTTAGAAATGTCGCTGAGTCATAACATGGTATGAAACTATCATTAATTGTTTATTATGTCTCTTGGTTCTGGTGATTGCCTCGGCTCAGCTAAATGGTGTTTGCCTTGGGTCTTTCTTGTGGTTACTGTCAGATGGAGGGTGGAGACGGAGACCACAGGTGAAGACCACTCCCATGTCTGATGGCCGGTGCTGTCTGTCAGCTGAGACCTCAGTGGGGCTTTCAGGTAGCCTCTGTGTGTGGACTGGCCCTCCTCACAGGATGGTGGCAGGGTTCCAAGAGTGAGTTTTCCAGAGAGAGTGGACACTGCTCATGACCTAGCCTTGAAGTTCACACAGTGTCACTTCTGTTGCATTCCATTTCTTTCTTTTCCTTTTCTCTTCTCTTCTTTCTCCTCCTCCTCCTCCTCCTTCTTCCTTTCTCTCTCTGTCTCTTTTTTGAGATGGAGTCTCACTCTGTTGCCCAGGCTGGAGTGCAATGGCATGATCTCGGCTCACTGCAACCTCCGCCTCCTGGGTTCAAACGATTCTCCTGTCTCAGTCTCCTGAGTACATGGGATTACAGGCATGCACCACGACGCCCAGCTAATTTTTGTATTTTCAGTAGAGACGAGGTTTCACCATATTGGTCAGGCTGGTCTCAAACTCCTGACCTCATGATCTGCCCACCTCGGACTCTCAAAGTGCTGGGATTACAGGCATCAGCCACCGCGCCCGGCTCCCTCCCTCCCTCCCTCCCTTCCTTCCTTTTCCTTCCTTCCCCTTATCCTTCCTTCCTTCCCCTTCTCCTTCCTTCCTTCCTTTCTTCCTGTCTTTCTCTTTCTTTCTTTCCTTTTTTCCTTTCTCTTTCTCTCTTTCTTTCAAGACAGGGTCTCACTCTCCCAGAAATAAACCCACACAATTATGGCCAACTGATTTCTGACAAAGGGGACAAGGACAGTCTCTTCAGGTACAAAGAGGGAAAAAAACAGCCACTTTAATCAACAGTATTGGTAAAATTGTATACCCACATGCAGAAGAAATTGGATCCTTATCTTACACAGTGTATAAAAATCAACTTCCTTGTTTCTTTATTTAAAATTTTTTTATTTTAAAATTTATTTTAAAAGGCAGGGTCTCACTCTGTTGCCCAGGCTGAAATGCAGGGGTGCAATCTTGGCTCACTGCAGCCTCAACTTCCCAGATTCAAGAGGTCCTCCCACCTCAGCCTCCCAAGTAGCTGAAAATGTAGGCATGCTCCATCATGCCTGGCTGATTTTTGTATTTTTTGTAGAGACAGGGTCTCACCATGTTGCCCAGGCTGGTCTCAAAGTCCTGAGCACAAAGGATACACATGCCTCAGCCTCCTGGGATTACAGGCGTGCGCCATCACACCCGGCCGCATTCCATTTCTTTGTGTTTGTTTGATGTTTGTTTGTCTGTTTGAGACAGGGTCTCACTCTGTTGCCCAGGCTGGAGTGCAGTGGCACGATCTCAGCTTACTGCAACCTCTGCCTCCTGGGTTCAAGCAATTCTTCTGCCTCAGCCTCCTGAGTAGCTAGGACTACAGCCGTGTGCCACCACACCTGGCTAATTTTTGTATTTTTGGTAGAGACAGGGTTTCACCTTGTTGGCCAGGCTGGTTTTGAACTCCTGACCTCAAGTGATCTGCCTGCCTCGGCCTCCCAAAGTGCTGGGATTACAGGCATGAACCACTGTGCCCACCAGCCTCATTCCATGTCTTAGGAGCCTGTCACCAAACCAGCCCTTACCGAGTGTGGCATTGGAGTCTACCTTTTGATGGGAGGAAGGTCAAGGTCCAAGACCAGTCTTGGAGTGTCTACCCCCAGATTGTGTTATGGGAGAGA